>NC_000024.10:23022264-23630755 GCF_000001405.40 Homo sapiens
TCTGTAGGACAGCTCTGCTGGGCAGAGGTACCACTTCCACCCTCAGTTTATTTGGATTCTCAAAAGCCAGAAGGCTGGAACAGCTAAGTCACACAAACAGCAAAAAGGGCAGCTCACTCTTCCCTCCAGGAACTGTATCCCAAAGACATTTCCAAATTCCATCGATCAAATAGCACCAGTGGTGGTAGATGGACACCCTGGTTGGAAAGTATTTCCCAGTGAGGAGGAATGAGATTGCAGACCTGCTTTAACAGGCAATCTGGACATGTCTTTTTACAGCACCTGTACTGTGCTAGGAGATTCTTTCTGTCCCCAGTCGGCTTGAGCTCTTCAAAGCCTGAAGGCTGGAATGGCTAACTTGCCAAAGCAGCAAAGAGGGTGGGCCACCCCTCTTTCTGGTAGCTCCATCACGTGGAGGTGAAATGCTGTTATCAATGGTTGGCTGGAATTGTAAGCCAGTAGATCTTACCCTGTGAGGAATTGTGGAAATGAGTCCTACAGACCATCGCTGCTCAGGCCCCTGGATTCTGCCTGTTTCCTATGGGAGTGTACAAGGATGTAACCTCCTGCTTTGCTGGAGTTGCAGCTAATTTTTCTTGGAAGCCTGGAGAGCCAGATTATCTAAGGCTCTTGAATCTCTGCACTGGCCTGGGTGACTGCTCTGCTGTGACTCCATGTAGCTCTGTTTGTTAAACGGAAGGCCATAATGAAGTGGGTTAACGAGGGTATCTCCTTACCTGAGGGTTGCAAAATCAGTGACAGAATTGTGGGTTGCCAGGGTCACACATGCAATTACTGATTTACTGGGTGGAAAGTTTCCCTTGGCTTCTTGTTTTTCCCGGATGGCCCATTATTCTACCTTCCTTTACTCCATTCTCCATTAGATAAGTCGTTTCTTTGATTGTTCCCAATGCTAGTACCTGGATGTTTCAGTTTAAGGTGCTGTATTTATGCATATTTTGCATTTCTCTCTGTGAGAACTACGCAGTCCAGCAGATTCTAGCTGGCAATCTTGACTACTTTCCTCTAAAAGAAACCTACCTTTTTATTTTAAAAGAAATTAGGCCAGGCCAGTGTCTCAAGCCTGTGATCCCAGTGCTTTGGGACACTGAGGGGATCAGATCAAGAGGTCAAGGGATCAAGACCATCTTCTCCAACATGGCAAAACCCCATCTCTACTAAAAATACAAAAAAATTAGCTGGCTGTAGTGGTGAGCGCCTGTGCTCTCAGCTACATGTGAGGCTGAGACAGGAAGACGGCTTGAACCTGGGAGGTGAAGGTTGCAGTTAGCTGAGATCGCACCACTGCACTCTAGCCTGGCAACAGAGTGAGACTCCATCCCAAACAAAAACAAAAAATAAAATGTAGTGTTGTTTTCAAAAGCGAATATTGACGTAATTTAACTCTTACATTTGATGCTCTCTTCATTTCTAGTGTTTATGTGAAAGAACATGGTCAATTGTTGCTGTACCAGAGTTATGAGAGGTTCTTCTAAATTAGATAGACAGATTTATATTCTTTTTCATGGAAGGTTAAGAAAACTGAAATCTAATGTAAATGAAGAAAATCTTAGTAGAAAGGCTACTTAATGGTTGGTTTACAGCAGTATTTTTGTTTTGTTTTGTTTTGTCTTGTTTTTGTTTTTGTTTTTGTTTTTTTGGAGTTGGAGTTTCACTCTTGTTGCCCAGGCTGCAGTGCAATGGCCCAATCTCTGCTCATTGCAACCTCCAATTCCCAGGTTCAACCAGGTTCAAGTACTTCTCCTGCCTCAGCCTCTCGAGTATCTGGGATTACAGGCATGCACCACCACGCCTGGCTAATTTTGTATTTTTAGTAGACACGGGGTTTCTCCACGTTGGTCAGGCTGGTCTCAAACTCCCGACCTCAGGTGATCTGCCCGCTTCAGCCTCCCAAAGTGCTGGGATTACAGGCATGAGCCACTGCATCTGGCCATGTTAACAGCAGTATTATATGTGACAGGATGATAGGAGTGTTTTAAGTGATCAGGATAGCATTCTGCACAGTAAGAGAAACCATATGAATTTTAGAAGAAAATTCCTTTACCATTTGCAAATTAATGTAATTAAAATACAGTGAATTTAAAAATGCCTTTTTAATGGCAATGTGTGAACTTAATTTGTTTTAATAAGCCAAAATTGTTGTTTTTGTGTTATGGCTATTTTACATTGAATGTGTATTTTGCCACTGATGTTAACTTTTCCCATCTTACTCAAGGTTGTAGGTAACAGATGGTAACAATATACTATCTGGTGACAGTGAAATAACATCTCTAGTGGTTACTTTGTTAGTGGTCTTTAACTGAAAATAATTTTGAGAATATGGTTTCTAGCACTTACATTTTTGTTTTTCTTGTAACTACAGATTATTATGATGGTTGCAATGAAGACTTTGAGTATAATGGAACTACATGTTTCAGAATTCTGAACAACTATTTAAAACATTTTATCCAACTTTTTTTTAAAAATATGACTTCTCTGGTCTGCTAAACATATACAGACTTTCAGTTTTGGTTTACATGGTTTTAAATATACAGATATATCACTGTAAAATAAACTTTAGGTGTAACAGATTTATAGAGAATAATCGTATTTGTTTACGGTCATGTACCTACTTTGAGAAGAAAAGAAAAATATTAGAATGAAATAGGTAGTTATACAAGCATTGATAAGTCACCAGCAAACCAGAATCTTCAAAGAATTTGAAAGCAAATTTATTTTCTCTGCTTTGTATTAAACGTATTTATCTAATATGTCATTGCTCCTGGCTTTGAAATATCTTATGCAAATTACTTTTTTTATATCTGTTCATTTGTGGCTAACTGTAAACATAATACACAATTTTGTTTTTGTCCAATTTTGTAAAACATTATTTGTATAATTTCCTCACAGATTATGAAAGTGGCTTTGGTAAAATATAATGGTGTTCCCAAAATAACTTTCACATGTGAGTAATTTCACAGTGTGTGCATTATTGAATGTTATTTATTTAGTATATTTTATATTTTGTTTCAATTAGAAAATGCGATTAATCCAATTTTTGTTTAGTTATTGTTCATTTTACTTCATAAAATTGATATAATTGAGCTGATTAAATGCATAGGGCCAATTTATTCAAGTAAATAGTTGAATGTTTAATAAGTCATGAGGTCTTTTTGGCATATACACGAAGTAAAAAAGACAAAACTAGCTATGTAATAGAAGCTACATGATTAAAAAATAGTCTTTTTAAAATTAGCCTACTGTCTCTAGTGAAAAATTGAAAACATCTATAATAAATGACATTAATTGTTCTCAAAAAGAGATCATAATTGTATGAAAACCTTGTAAAATTATTGGATTATGGTGCTACATTTAAACATCTATGGAGGAAGGCAGAGCGCTAGCCTATGCAGTCAAACCTGGAATGGCTGACACATGTTAAGGGTATTCACCACAGGTATTGAAACCTAAAATGCCCTGAACTCTTTTCATTTAGATTAACAAAATATGGTTTTAGTCTTCCTCCTCTATATTCTGGCATAGACAGAATTATCATGCCACTTTTTTACATTTGATTTTAGGTATTTTTTCTTTCTTTGAGATGGAATCTCACTCTGTTGCCCAGGCTGTAGTGTAGTTGCACAATCTCGGCTCACTGCTACCTCTGTCTCCTGGGTTAAATCTATTCTTTTGCCTCAGTATACCAAGTAGCTGAGAATACAGGTGCCCTCCACCAAGCCTGGCTAATTTGTTGTATTTTTAGCAGAGACAGTGATTCACCATGTTAGGCTGGATGGTCTTGATCTCCTGACCTTGTGATCCACCCACCTGGGCATGCCAAAATGCTAGGATTACAGGCATGAGCCACCACACCCAGCCTTATTTCTAGGTTTTGAAACAGCTCATCCTCAACTTAATGTCTCTGAGGACAGAAATACTGTGTGATATGGAAAAACAAAACAAAACATTTATTATAACCTAAGTAGTCTTCCCTTCTGCCCTGCTGTCCTGGACTTTCAGAAGTGTAGTTCTGGCAGACATTACTGAAAGGTTGATGTGGGAAACAAGCTTAAATGAAAATGGGTTGTGTGTGAAGACTGTCTTTTTAGGAACTGGCAGGATTAGCCTTCAGTTCTGGGTAGATTTTGGGCAATCAGATGATATATAAAGAGTGGTTATGTTGTATCAGGTCATAAGAAACGCTGGATTCTGCCAGTAGTAAACCTCTGTAAGAGTGGTATTTTTTGGACTATGAATTGGGTAAATTTTTAAATATAATTGATAGGTTTGTTCTGTATATTTTCAATAATTCTTTCACAAGAGCTGTTTGCTTTATTTCTATACTGATGCAGATTCTGAGCATCTTTAATTCTGTTCATTATCAGATACTGAAAGATAAAGAATAAGTAAATGAATCTCTTTCAGTTTTTGTCGTTAATTTAGCCAGTAAATATAGTCTCATTTCTATCATCTTTAAGTTTTACTAATGAAGGCCAGAATAGATTTTTTTCTCCAAAAATTTTAGCAACTATAAAAGCATGTTTATAAAGTCACTTTTATAGATACTATAAATATCAATTGTCAAATGTGTTGATTTCTAAGATAAAATATGTGAGAATTATACTACCCAACATGACCAATAAAATGTTTTTAAGTTGTCTATATAAAACATCTATCAATTTTGAATTGCATACCTAGCTAAATTTTTTTAAGATTGAGGATAAGATGAAAAATAATTTATACAAGTAACACAAACTAAGTTTACTGAAATTGTTTACTCATTTAAGAAATCTAATTGCATTTTAAATAAATTGCTGTCACTTGTTAGTAATTGTGTATCACATTTTTTAAATATTTTTCTCTAAAACAGGTAACAGTTGGAACAAAGAAGAAAACAAAAATTCAATGATTGTCATAAAAATAAGTTTGAAGAAAATAAAAGGTTTATTTGATGACCTAATTAAAATAATGTAAAGGACTAACAACTTTGTTTTTTACACATTTTTTTTTGGCAAAGGAAACCCTGACATAGTAATCTGCAGAAAATACTACTAATTATATTCTTGAGACAACTCTTACTGAATTTGGCAGTTTGAGAATCTCCAGCACAGTCCCAGGATTCCCTAGGAATTTCTTCTAGGAGAACATCCCATGGAAATGAAGCAGAAGGCCATGTACACACACACACACACACACACACACACACACACGCACACATACACACACACTCACGCACACACAATTGGATGCTCACCCCTTAGAATCCAGTGGTTGCAAGTTGCAGAACAAGTAGGCTGTCCTCAGAGGTCCAGGGAGGGGCTATGGTCACCATCCTAGAAAAGGGGCCTGGACTTCCAGTGAGCCCTCCTGCCTGCAAGGGCCTCAGAGGCCCCTGTGCAGGCCAGCCTGGGTGCTGTGATCTGTTCCTGGACCTTGAATCCTGCCTCACCTGCTAGCTTTTTTCACAACGAAATCAGGATGGCAATGCCCAGTGCAGTCCCACCTGAGGAAAGAAATCAAGAGTATCAAGTCCCACACCCATCTTGTAACATTAAGTGACTTATTGATTTATTAGTCAGTAAGTTAGAGCAGATTAATTCGTCAATGAGTTAGTGCTCTCTAACTCCCTAAGATTACAATCTAAAAGGAAAGCTGGGTGGCATCTGCATGAGGCTGTGCATTGGAGAAAGGATAGGTCACCTGGGCTTCAGTGAGCATGTTCCCCTAGCCAATCAGTGGAAGCACAGGATGTAACTGGAGGTGGTGAGTGGGCTCTGTGCAGTGGCCAGGCAAATGTGGGGTGAGCAGCCAGTCACTGAGGGGATTTCATTGCCCATTTTTTGATGAGCAAATTGAATCCCCAAAGCCACAAGGCAGGAGGGGCAAAAGCACTGGCCAGAGGCATTACCATTTTTCTTCACTGGCAGCCATAAGTTTCAGACCTCCCTGGGCTTGCCTTGAGGAAGAAGATGCCTCTTCCTTGAGAGTCTAGGCACAAAAGCAGCCAGTCATGTGTGGCAAAGCCACCCACAGCCCAATTTATGGGCTCATGTGGGCCTCCTTAATCCACCGGCCTGTGAAACCCAACTGGAATTCCAGAGTCCAGAGTTCACATTTGGTTCTAGAACCAAAATTTTAGTACTCAGGCCAGAGCCAAACTGGACCTGTTAATTCCAAGACACAAGGCTCAAATCAGAGAACAGACTTGACTGTTCAGCTGCACCTAGGCAGTGTGTATACTCTTCCAAGCAGATCCCATTCTCTTCCTGCTTCCAATTATTTCACCTGCAAGTTGTTATTTGTACCAGCTCTTTCTCTACCCCGCGTATCCTATGATTTTTTGAAATTTCTGTGAAGACCGCATGAGCTAAGCATTACGGGTCACAGTGCTCTAGCCTACTCAGGCTGTGCCAGGAAGCAGATCTCTCAACCTTTCTTGACACTTAAGAGAGTCATGAATAAATAGTACCAACTCTATGAGGAGGGCTGTCACATATTCAGACCCTTTTCTGGTCTCCGTACTAAAATACTCTTTTCTGGTCTCCTTATCAAAAGATGCATTAGAATGACAAGGAAAATAAGGCACCAAGCTGGCAGTTCTGCCTTTTAAAGCGCAGCCTCAGCCTGGTCACAGTGAACCACAATTTCAGGGTCTTGTTCAGCATGTCATACTTTGGAAAATAGTGGAACTGGGGCCCCATATTGTCGTGGTCCGGTGAATATGGAGACGGTCACCTCAGCAGCCTGTATATACCCAGTCACACCCGTAACAAAAACAGACTCTACCAACTAAGAAGCCATCACATTAACTTATACAACTGTACCTGCAATGTGCACACACATCAGGACTTTCAGATAAACTCCTGCCAACACAACAATTCAAGTAAAGCAATAACTATTTTGAATCTAAAATCTCAGGAAGAAGAAACTCCACTGCCTAAACCAGCCTGTATGATGGATGAAACTGACGGTGTTATCTTGACTTGGGCATACCTGGTTACTGACCCTCTATAAATAGATGCTTCTGAGTGTTCAGAGTTCCAAATCTAAAAAACCTTGTCATGGTCAACCTGGAGCTTACTCTTTATCTATGAGTAATCTGAGATACTGTCCTGAGTTCTATCTGAGAACAGTATCTCAGAGAGATCTATCTAAGACGGTGAAACCCCGTCTTAGCCAGGATGGTCTCGACCTCCTGACCTCGTGATCCGCCCGCCTCGGCCTCCCAGAGTGCTGAGATTACAGGCATAAGCCACCGCGCCAATAATGTCTGAGCCCCTGTTCTGTCCCATCATGTGGCATAGGAATACAGGTCACACAAGGAGGTGAGGCTATTCCATTTTTGTTAAATGAGGGCTGACAGGTGAAAGCTTGTTCAGAAAAAAAAGTGCTAAATAAAAAGGCCATACAAACTGCATGTTTTTTGCAAGTGGGCCTGGTTATTCAGCTAGGCCCACTGACACTGTACTTTCTGCTCTCTGTGGAAGTTTCCACTAAAAGTCCATATCTCATTTACTGGTTCTGAGTCTCTTCTTTGACATCTTGATCCTTGTGCCATTTCAATGGGTGTCGAGTTTGACACAACTTACCCCATAGTGAGGAAGGATTTCAGACTCTGCTCAGTGTGCTTCAAAGCTCACCAAGGCATCAGCTATAGAAGGATGAATTTATTTTTTTTACCACTCTCATCCAGGCCTCTTTTTTTAAATGTACAATCAGTGGAATACAAAGAAAGACCAGTAAGAAACATATCGTGGTCAGAAGCAAGATTAATGCCAAAATGAGCTGTGACTGCTTTGGTAGTAAAAAGTAGCATTTTTTCTTTATCCTCTGGGCAGCCCTCAACTTCTTTCACCACTTTTTGGCTTCAGCAATGGTTTTTAAGCTCCATTCTGCCTCTGGAGGAACCATAAGCCATGGTTGGCAAATGTCTTTACTTAATCCTGCTGCAAGAAAGCTTTCTCCTGACAAACATGACCTCTGTGATTATGAGCTTATAAGAAATCTAAACAATGCCCAATCTTAAAACTTATGAAACGGAGATGAGTAGGTCTGAGGGAAACAATTTCCCACAATTTCCTTTGGCAAGTTCAAAAAATTGTGATGGTAGACAAGTGTATAGAAGAGGACAGCATAGTATAATTCCTCATCATGTGAGTTTAGAGCCAACAGTTTTTAATCCTAGCTGTGAGGGCTCCAAATAAAAACCAGAAGTTAACTCACTGCATCTGTCAATGACTAATTGAACATTTTGTCTATCACAGTGAGGAGTCTTCATTGAGGATTTTCCCATTGAATATATAGAGATAAAGACTGGAAAAGGTAAAATAGCAACTCCATGAAATCCTTAGATAAAATGTAGAAATGTTCATCTCCTCGTATCATTAGCATTTTTTGCACATATTTGCATGTATAGCTACCCATAAAGCTGATATTTTCTTTTTTTTTTTTTTTTTTTTTTTTTTTTTTGAGTTGGAGTCTCGCTCTGTCGCCCAGGCTGGAGCGCAGTGGTGCGATCTCAGCTCACTACAAGCTCCGCCTCCCGGGTTCAGGCCATTCTCCTGCCTCAGCCTCCCGAGTAGCTGGGACTACAGGCACCCGCCACCGCGACCGGCTAATTTTTTGTATTTTTAGTAGAGACGGGGTTTCACCGTGTTAGCCAGGATGGTCTCGATCTCCTGACCGCGTGATCCACCCACCTCCGCTTCCCAAAGTGCTGGGATTGTAGGCATAAGCCACCGCGCCAATAAATCAGTTATATGTCAAGTTAATATAAAAAAAAATTTCAACCAGGCGTGGTGGCTCACACCTGTAATCCCAGCAGTTTTGGAGGCCGAGGAGGTTGGATCTCTTCAGGTCAAGAGTTCGAAACCAGCCTGGCAAATATGGTGAAACACCATCTCTACTAAAAATACAAAAAAAAAAAAAAAAAAAAAAAATGATGGGCACTTGTAATCTCAGCTACTTGGGAGGCTGAGGCAGGAGAATCACTTGAATCCATGAGGCAGAGGTTGCACTGAGCAGAGATCACGTCCCTGCACTCCAGCATGAGTGACAGAGCAAGCTTCTGTCTCAAAAAAAAATAAAATAAAATGTAGAGACACACATATGATCTAGACATGTCCTGGTGGAGTAAAGTGTGTATGATCCTGTTCTGGGAAAGGAGAAGAACAGTCAGGACCTTGGATTATGTTTGTGGGATCCATTGGGACACTAATGAAGAGGCAGTCAGGTCTTGGCCTAGCAACACTGAGGCTTGCAGGGGGCTTCTGAAAGCAGCAAAACCGGCCCGTGACACTGAATGCTAGATGGGCCTGTAACAATGAAAGATCTGCCCAGAGATCTTAGCAATCTTACTAGGATGCCATGACTATGATTTGGATTGAAGACTCCGGGGCAGAGTAGCTGAGAGAGAACCTCAGCAAACACGAGCCTTGATGACTATGGCTGGGGCAATCTAAAATATCTTATCTCTTCTGTTTTATGAAGCAGAACATAGAAAGGTAAATTAAAAAAAAAAAATCAAGAGAAATAAAATGTAAAAATAAATTTAAAGCAAGTGAAAAATAGTAAGGACAAATAAAATAAACCGAAATAGAGAAAAATAGAGAAATGTAATTAAGATAAGTGAAAATAAAATGAAGATAAACAATAAATACAAAAAATAAAAGAAATAAACAGAAATGAAATAATTTCCAATAAAAAGTTTCAGAATAAGGAGAAAAAATAAAAAAGAAATATGGATAAAAAATAAGATAATATGAAGGAATATGACTAGAAACAAATAACAGAAAAAATATAAAATTAAATAAACTGCTAAAAACAAGATACAAGTTGAAGTATATTTGAAATGAAGAGAATGTAATGAGAAAAAAGAAAAATAGAAATAAAATTAAATTAAATTAATAGATAAAATGAAAAATAAAGAGAAACAAAATAAAGATAAAGAGAATGCACAAAAATAAAAAGTTAAATAGAGAAATAAGACGTCAGGTTAATCTACAAAACATTTCACCCAACAACAGCATAATACATAATACTTCTAATTGTATATGACACATTTTCTAAGATAGGCAAACTTGTGAGGTAGCATGCTAGTTTTAGCATATTTAAACTGATGGTAATCACAAAAAGTATTTTTTCTGACTACAATAAAATACAGCTGGAAGTTAAAACAAAACCATCATGTTTGCATATATTTGAAAACTGGACATATTCTTGAGCATACTATTTTTCAAGTGTTAGAACGTGCAAGTTTTTTAGATGTTAATGGTATACCAGGTGATCTATGGATCAATGAGATGTTTAAAAATGGTGATAGTTTTTGCAGAAGTACTAAATTATTCTAAAATGTTTGAGTCAATATTTACCTGTGTAACTCAGGCTGCAGTATAATATCATAATCATGACTTACTGTATCTTTGACCTCCAAAGCTCAGTTGATCCTCCTACCTCAGCCTCACAAGTGCTGAAACTGCAGGTGCATGTTGGCATGCTCAGAAAGTTTTTGTATTTTTTTTTTTTTTTTAGAGACAGGGTTTCACCATATTTCCCAGGCTGGTCTCAAACTCCTAGGCTCAAGCAACCCACCTACCTTGGCTTGGCTCCCCAAAGTTCTAGGATTACAGGAGTGAGCCAACACATATTGCCCTATGATTTCTATAAATACTCAAAAAACCACAAGTAACCAAACAACCTGTAAAAAAATAAATAAACTCAGAGGAATAATAGTTTTGTATTTCAAAACATATTGCAAAGTTACATTAATCAAAACAGTGTGGTGCTGGCATAAAGACAGAAAAATAAATGTTGAAACCGATAAGAGAAGGCAAAAATAAATCCACATGCATATACTCAGCTTATCATAAATGAGGGTTCCCAATCCTCATGTTGCAGAACTTTCTCCTTACTTCAGCAAAATTGAGTTCTTCTCACGTGACTAGGAAAGATTAGGCCCAGGGATACTCTGAAGGATGAAGGGTAGAGTTGATTGGGTAAAAAGAAGGAAAGAAAAACTGTCAACAGAGTGAGTGGGAGTCCTGTTTACAAGTCCCACCTCCTGGGTAGATTAACACTAAACCATCACACAAGAACTGCAGAGGCCAGTCTCCTTCTCCCTGCACAAGGAGTGAAGTTTCCCTGGCTCCAATCACTTCCCCCAGTGTGGACATGGATACTATTCAGAGAGAATCAGTTGAAAAAAGGCAGGCTTCATCTGGGAGAAGCAGTCTGATTTTTCAGTCTTTATGCTGTTTTAGGCTTGAAGATGGGGTTTCACCCAGGACCATTGGCTGTTTTCTAACTCTGTTATTTCCCCATATAAAGAAGTACATCTAACTGCCATTAGAATGAGGAGAAGGATCAGGACCAACACCACTTTTAAGAGCTTCCTGTTGACAGGGGGCACTGTTTTGGAAAACCGGCAGTCAGATTTTCCTAAGAGGCCTACCTAAGTGTCTCCAGTGAAAGGGGCCTTGTCTGAGGCTCTGGTGGCATGAATTTGGTAACCTAAATGGGAGAAGAATCAAACTGGGTTATTAAAAATCATGTATTAAAATAAAGTAAAATAAAACAAGGGGAAGGTGGCAAGGACAGCTCAAAAATTCCAAGGTATTTTTCCAGTTTACATAGGAAGGAGAAGGACAAAAGCACAACTTGAAAATTTTCTTTCACCCTTTTGCCAGCATGTCTGGCTTCTGTGTTCTTTTGCCCTGAGTCCAATCCTAAGTTAAGCCAACCAGTCTAAGGTTGGAGAATGCATCTGAGGTGACTGTCCCATAGTATGAATACATGATTACCTGTCTGTAAAAAGAAGACAGAGGAGAAAACAAGGTAAAAAGTAAGCATTTTTTCAAAGGAGGCCCAAAATTTCAGGATGCATTTAAAAGGAATATAGACTGATAATGAATGGCTACTCATCTAGAAGGAGAGTGAAGACCATGTATCCCTGATTCCTTTATCTTTCTAGGAAATATCCAGTGTATGTTGAGGGATAGAAGAAAGAATGTTGTCTTTCCCCCTTGCATCCTTGTATCCCCGAGTTCCAGGGATTGTGATAGGTTGCAACCCATGGATGTCAAAGCAGCTTTCACTCATGTTAACAGGAAGGCCTGTTGGGGGTGGAAATATCTGCTCTTACCTACATATGTCCTATCTTCCCTGCTCTCAGTAGTTCTGGAGTTCATTAGACTTCATTTATGCAACAGATACTATCATGGCCTTTATCCGTGAAATGTGAGGCTTGGCTTAATCCACTGGAATTAGTCATGCTCACTTCCACGGTGAATTTTAACCACCATAATCATCTGCCTCTGGATTTCTCAGATCCAGTATTCTTTCTTAGGGCTTCAACCTGAGGCTTGGAATTGAGGTTGGGACAAAAATGTTCCTCAGGGGATTGCATGGACTCCTCATTAGCAGCTAAATGCTAAGATAAAGCTGTGGAATTGAGTCCTCTTTCCACAAGGAAGAGAAAAAAATGCTTGTGACAAACCCAGATAACTAGTGGCAATAGTTAACTTTGCCAAGATTTGGGGGGGCACCCTGTTTATTTTCATCACTGAAAAATTTGCAGGGTAATTGCCTAGAACTAGAATATTAAACCAGATTTTTCATCGCTCATCCCTTTTTGTTTCTTCTGAGCTGCGGTTGAAGACTGCAAGCTTTTTCATAGGAATAAGCATGGTTGGTCTAAAATGTAGGCAAAAATTCAAACTTCATGGTTTTAAAATTTAATGACAAATGTATAAGTTTTGATACATGATCTTTCTCTATCCAGTCCTCTAATTTAAAAAAAAAAAATCATGAAGACCTGCCGGTGACAATATTTAATTTGTTTATTGATTTGTCATATTTTGCCTTAGCTGTGTTGAAGTACATATCATTTATACCTAATTTGTTCAGTTGTTTTTAATTACAAAGTCACGTAAAATTTTCCAAATACTTTTTGTTTATCTAGAATAAAAAATAAAGATGTGTAGCAGTAAACTTAATTAAAAAGAGAAACACTCTCTACACTATAAATTATAAAATATTGATGAAAAAAGTAAAAAAAAAGATATTTTTGCTCATGAGTTATAAAAAATATTGCTAAAATGGCTATGCTACACAAGGAAATCTACAAATTCAGTGCAAACTCTATAAAATGCCAAGAACATTTTTGAACAAAAATGAAATTAAGAGGCATAAAATTTATGGGGAACCAAAAAAACACTCCCCAAATAGCTGTGAAAAAAGAACAAATCTGAAAATATCAAACTACCTGACTCCAAAACATACTGCAAAGCTATAACAAGCAAAACAGCATGATACTGGCATAGAAAACAGACACATAGACCAAAGTATCCAACGATCCCAGTAACAAAATTCATAAACCTAGAGCCAAGTAATTTTTAAGTTGCTTAGAACATACATTGAAGAAAAGACAATCTTTTCAACGAATGGTGCTAAGAAAATGGATTATTTAAATACAGAGGAATACAACTAGTTGCCTACCTGTTACCATATTAAAACAATTTAAATAAAAATAAATAGAAGATTGAAATGTAAACTCAAACTTATAAAACTATTTGAATAAGACATAGAGAAATTCTTTACTAAACAGGACAGGAAAAACATTTTAAATAAGATCTCAAAACCACAGGCAAGAAAAGCAAAAGCAGACAAATAAAATTAACAGAATCTAAAAAAAAAATTTACATAGCAAAAATAAATTAACAGAGTGAAAAGACAACTTACAGTGTGGGAGAATATATTTGCAAAATATACATATCACAATGGAAAAACATAAAGATATATAAGAAACGTAACAGCAAAACTAACTCACAATTTAGCAATAGGCAAGATACACTATGTGACACTTCTCCAAAGAAGACATGCAAATGGCCAAGTACATGTGAAGATGCTCAACATTATCATTAGAAAAATGCAAATTAAAGCTACCACAAGATACCAAATGACTCCAGTTAAAACGGCTACAATTATAAATAATACGTGCCTGGCCGTTTCAACAGGAGGCATTGTGACATATCTCTGGTCATTTAAGTCTATCATTTAAGTGATATACTCTCCTCTTCTGCCTGGACACTACCCATAGGGGGCATTGTGCCATACAGTTGGGCACAGCCCCAAAGTTATATGATTTTTCTGCCAGGAGCCTGCCTACAAGGAGAATATGGGAACATTTCTGCCTCAGCGTTTAGGTTATGTGGCTGTCATGCCTGTTTCATTACTGCAGAGTAAATTTTGACAAATAATTAGGCACAGCTCAATATTCTGACAAATCACTAGGCATGATAATGACTCATATGTGGACCTCCCAAATAGGAGTAAGTTTGACTCTTGTAACTCGCTTTAGCAATGCAAGTGATGTCTTAGATCTCTTTCTGGTAAAAGGGTCACCGAAGATTATAACACCCTCAAATATTTTACAGCCCTTGGCTTGTACAGATAATGCCATAACAAAACCCAAATGAAAGATGAAGTTGTGAGTCTCATATGCACACCCAGCTGACAGGAAGTACTGTCAGCATCTCATGTATATGAAGCCTACTGTGAAACATGAAAACAGGACATGTATGTTATTGTAAATCTCATCTCTGCAATAATCTCCCAGTGTGAATGTCATACACATCTTTGCCAAGCATCTGTGTGATTTGACTCTCCAGACAGGTTCCAGCATGTATATGAGATTGTGATCTCTACCTGAGCCAGCGTCTAGGTGATGTGATTCTCCTGCCTGGACCCTTTTCTCAGTAAGGATTGAGACATACCACTGGATCTAACATTCAGGTGATGTTACATTGTTGCCTGGACCATATTCACAGGCATCATTGTGACATATTACTGTGTCCACCACTTAGGTGATGTAACTCCCCTCTCTGGAATGGACCCTGAACACAGAGAATGGTAGTGCCATATTGGCAGGCCAGGGCATACAGGTGATGATACTCTTTTGCCAGGGATATATTTCAAGGAGGTCATTGTGACATATCTCTGGGCCTGTCACCTAAGTGATGTGACCGAACGCTTGGGCCTCACCTACATAGATCGTTGCAACGTAAAAGTTAGACCTGCATCAAGATGATGTAACTCTTTCAATCTAGTGCTGTCCTAGGGAAACTTGTGACATATCTCAGCACCCAGCACCCAGGTGATGTGGCTCTTCTGCCTGGGTTCTCCCCATGTGTTATATTGTGATGTACACATAAAGAAGCACCTACGTGATATGACCCACATTTTCTGCCTGAGTCCTGCCTACTGGGGACACTGGGACATATCTCTGAGCCCATGACCTAAGTGATATGACTCTCGCCCCCTGCCTGGGCTTTTAAAATAGTGGGATTATGACATATTGCTGAGCCCAGCATTTAGGTTGTGTGACTCTACTCTTTTTTTTGAACCATGCCCACAAAGGGAAATTTTGACCTATTGCACCCAGATGATGTTACTCTTCTGCCAGAATCCTGAATAAAGAGATAATTATTGCATAGTGATAAGTCCAGCACCCTGATGATGCTACTGTCCTGCCTGTGCCAGAGCCACAGAGGGTGTTTTGACACATCTTTGGCTTATTCTGTAAGTGTTTTGGCTCTCATCTCTTCATTATGTTTTTCCACATGTGGAATTGTGTCATATTGCTGGGTCCAGTATCCAGTTAATGTGGCCCTCTTTCCTAGACTCTGTGTAGAGAGAATATTGTGACATGTTAATTGCCACATCACCTAAGTAATGTTACACTTTTTTTTTCTAATTTTTTGCCCACAAATGGGATTATGGTTTATATCTTGCTTCAGTTCACAGGCATGATGAGCAAACTTATACTGGGATTCAGTCAATGGAAGATATTTTGCCATTCATCACTAGGCTTATGGCAATAGAAAAAATTCTTGGTTGAATATTTCTACAAAGCTCACAGAAGTTTACGACACGAATTCCTGTGGTATAAACTTTATGGGTGGTACAGAGCATTTTATAACAAGGCCCAGCAAAAAGTTAAAATTGTGACTCTCAGTTTCACACCCAGGTGAAAGTAAAAGTTGTCACCATCCCACATTTACAAAGTACACTATGGAGTTACTGAGTCTAACATGACAACACAGTACAAAAATGGAGTTGTGACTCTCACATGTGGATCTGGCCACAGGTGTAATCGTGACTCATTTTTGGGCCCAGCTCACAGGCATAAAAATGCTTCTCATTCCTGAATGTGGCCTAAATTAGAGATATTGACTATCATACCTGGATTTAAGACAATATATAAGATTGTGAGTCCATATGAGCCTATGGGCCTCAGAGAAGTTTGCAAATATAATGGATGCCGTTTGAAGCCCTTGGATGTTGTAGAGGGTGTCATTCGGTGGTCCAACACACACGTGACAATGTGACTTTGTTACAGACGCCAAGCTGACAGTTAAAGGTGTCACCCTCAAACATGAGGAGATTGTGTCATATCACTGTGCCGAGTACCCAGGTGTTAAAACTTGTGCTTTAATTGTTTCCCATGTGTGTATTTTGACATATCATTGCATAAGAATCATAACAGTGTGACTCTTTTGCCTGGACCCTGACAGCAAGGGATATTATCACATTTCTCTGAGCCGATCAGCTAGGTGATTTGCCTATTTTTCCTGTACTTTTGCCCCAAGGCACATTGTGACATCAGTGGTCATAGCATCTAGGAAATGTGACTCTCGTCTCTTGCCTAGGTTCTGCCCACAAAAGGAATTGTGACATACTACTGAGCGCAAAACCTAGGTAATGTAACCATCCCCTTTATTCTGGAGGCAGCCAATAGGGGAAATTATTACGTATTGCTGAGCTAAGCACCTAGGAGGTGTGACTCTCCTCTTTTTCTTCAACCTTGTCTACAGTCGACATGGTGTCATATTCATTGAGGCTGTTCTCCGTTGACATGAATCTTCTGACTTGGCCTGCCTATGAAGGAGATTATAATGAATTCTGTGCTCGGAATCCAAGTAAGGCAATTATGCTGCCTTGTTTCTGCCCACAGGTGAAATTTTAACATATACCTGAGTTCAGCTTACATACACAAATATAACTATCATATCTTTACCCAGAAGGGAGACATATTTTTACTCTCATGGTCAGTCTCATGGCCATAAGTAAAGAAATGAGTCTCCTAATTGCATAAAGTTCACAAAGGATTATGACACTCAAGCATATCATATAAAGTCTGAGTGGTACACAAACTGTCATAACAGGGAACAGTAACCAGGTGCGATTGTGACTCTTGGATGCATGCCTAGCTGACACGATTGTCATTCCCTCACAAAAATATGATCTACAAATAAGGTACTAAATTGTTACAAAAAAGATCAGTTGAAGGTTGAAATTGTTTCTCTCATACACAAATCTGACCCACAGGTGGTTTGGTGATACATGATTCAGCACAACTGTGAGGCCGTGACTCCCCTACTGGAACACAATCTTCAAGTGGGACTGGGCATCTTATACATGGATCTTGCCCATTGTTGAGATTGGGACTCCTCTGCTTTGACACAACTCACAGGAGGTGTTGACTCCTCCTGTACGTACGTGAAGCCAGGACTTCTGTGACTGTGAAACATTTCTGAATATTTCCTACTGTGTGATTAGGACATAAAAGTTAGCCCAGCTCCTGAATAATTTGACTCTCTTCTTTAGGCCCATGACCACAGATGAAATTGTGATATACATGGACCATACACCTAAGCATAGGTGCCTGGGCCTGTAGACAAAGGGCACTTTTACATGTCACTGGGAACAGCTCCCAGGTAACGTGGATTATTTGCCTAATGCCTGCCTATGAAAAGCACTGTGGCTTATGTCTGGGTTCATCATGTAGTGATGTTACTCAATTCTACTGCCTTGGCCCTGCACTAACGGTGCATTGTGACACATAACTGGGTACTGCTCCCAACTGATGGGACTCTCCATTTTGGTTTCTGCCATCAGAAAGCTTTGTAACATGTAACTTGGCTCAGCACCTAGATGATGTTTCTCCTCTCTTGACCTGCCCTGACCACAGGGGAGATTGTGACACATTGCTAAATCCAGCGCCAAGTTAAGGTCACTTTCAAACTTTGGTCCTGCACATAGTGGCCATTGTGACATTTATCTATACCAATTGCCTAGGTGAAGTGAGTCTCCTCTCCTTTCTAAGCCAAGCCCAAAAGGGAAATTTTGATACATCGTTTAAACCAGCATTCAGGTGATGTGATGCTTCTTCCAGAAGTCTGCCCACAATAAAGATTGTGACAGCTCACTGGACCAGCACCCACCCAGGTGATGTGACCTTTTTGCTTGCTGTCTGCCCATGGGGATATTGTGCCATACAACTGAGACCAGATAAGAGGACTAATCATGACTCTTAAACCTGGAGCCAGGTTATATGCATGATGGTGGCTCCCACTCCTGGAACTTTCCACCAGTGTTATTGTGACATACACTTCTGCCCAGTTCCTGAGTAATTTAGTAATCTTGCCTAGGTATAGCGCACAATTGAGATTTGGACATATATCTCAGCTGAGCACTTTGGTGATTTGATTCTCCTGTCTTAACGTTATCCTCAGGCACGTTTGTAGCATGTCTCTGGATCCATCATCTAGGTTACCTCAGTCCCCTCTCCTGCCTGAATTCTGCTTCCACTGGGTATTGTAGCATTTTTAAACACTGCATTCAAATTATATGAATTTCTTGCCTGATCCTTTCAACAAGAGACATTATGACTTACCTCTGGACCTATCATTTACATGATATGACTCTCCTCTTTTCTGGACCACTGCCCACAAGGGGTGTTGTGCCATACAGTTGGGCATAGGCCCAAAGTTATGTGATTTTTCTTCTAGGAATTTGCCAAAAAGAATAATATTGGAAGATTTCTGCCTCAGCATTTAGATTATATGGCTCTCATGCCTGTTTCATTACCACGGTGTAAATTGTGACATATATCTAAGCACAGCTCACAGGCATGATAAGGACTCCCATATGTAGAACCCTCAAATAGGAGTAATTTTTAATCTCATAACTTGCTTTAGAGTTATTTAAGTGATTAAGTTTCTTTATGGTAAAAAGATTGCAGAAGATTGTAACAGCATAAGTGATTTTAAAAAGCCTTCATCTTGTACAGAGGGTGTCATAACAGGACCTATCACTAAGGTGAAATTGTGAGTCTCATATGAACACCCAGCTGACAGTTAAAGACTGTAACCATCTCATATATATAAAGCCAACTGTCACTGATAAAAATGGGACATATGTGGTATTGTTAGTCTCATCCTGGGAATTTTCTGCCAGTCTGACTGTGATATAAATCTTTTCCGAGCATCTGTGTGATTTGACTCTCCAGACCGGTTCCAGCCCAGTGATGTTATTTTGAAATCTATGAGGGCCAATCTCTAGGTGGTTTGACCCTTCTGCCTGGGCCCCACTCTCAGTAAGAATCAGCTGAGCCATGCCCACATAAATTATTGTGACACATCACTGTGTCAACCACTTAGGCGATATAACTCTCCTCAGAACGGGCCCTGAACACAGTTGGGGATAGTGACATATGGTTGAGCCACAAGTCACTATCCCCAGCAACCAGACAAGAATGTGACTCTCTATGCACACCTAGTTGATACAATTGTGATTCTCACGCATAAACAGGGCCTAGTAATGAGGTACTAAATCTCACACATAAAAGTCATCAAAGATTGAAATCATTACTCTCATACGGGGATTAGATTCACAGGTGTTTTGGCAACATTTGAACCATGATTCAGCATGCCTGCGGTGCTGTGACTCCCCTACTGGAACACAATCTTCCAATGGGACTGGAGCTCCTATACATGGATCTTGACCATTGTTGAGATTTTGACTCCTCTACTTCCACCAAACTCATAGAAAGAGTTGACGACTTACATACAGGAAACGAGAACTTATGTGGAATGCGAAACTTATTTGCAAACTTTTCTGAGCGTGTGATTGGGTCAGGTAACTTTTCCCAGCACATGAATGATTTGACTCTTTTTCTAGGCCCAGACCACAGATAAAATTGCGCCATAAGTATAACAAACACCTTTGCAATATATAACATCTACCATGTTTCTCCTACAAAGGGCACTTTTATTTATCACTCGTATCGTCACCCTGGTGATGTGAATTATCTGCCTAAAACATGGCTACAAAGGGAATTGTGTTTTATAACTAGGTCCATCACATAAGTGATGTGACTCCCTTCTACTCCTTTAGCCCTGCACTTACAATGCATTGTGACACATAACTGCATCCAGGTGATGTGATTCTTTTTGGGGGATTCTGCCAACAGAAAGCATTGAAACATAACGCTTGGCTGAGCACCTAGGTGACGTTGGTTCACTTTTCCTGTACCCTAACCACATGGAGATTGTGACATATTGCTGGTCCCAGCACCAATGTGAGGTCACTCTCCAGCTTTTGTACTGCACAGAACAGACATTGTGACATAAATCTAGGCCAATTGCCTAGGTGAAGTAAGTCTCTTTCTTGTCAAAGTCTTGCCTACACACAAAGTTTTCATATGTCACTGAAATCAGCATTCAGGTGATGTGACCCTTCAGCCAGTGTCCTGTCCACAAAGTAAGTTGTGATATCACACTGGAGCCAAACCCTCATAGGTTATGTGAATTTCTTGCTTTCCTTCTGGCCAGGTAATATTGTGCCATATACCACAAACCATAGCAAAAGTCTAATAACAACTCATATGAGTGGAGCCAGGACATATGCAGGATGGTGACCCTTATTCTTAAGCCTTTCCACAAGTGTAATTGTGTCTTATACCTTTGTCCAGCTCCTAAGTGATTTAATAATTCTGCATAGGTATAGCCCAAAAACAATAGTCTCATAAGTACCTGAGCCAAGTAACTTGGTGATTTGACTGTGCTATCTTAACAATGTCCTCAAGGGGATTTGTAACATATTTCTGGACCCATCATCTAGGTTGCATAACTCTCCTCTCCTGCCTGTACCTGGCTTCCTTTAGTAATTGTAGCATTTCCAAACACTGCATCCAAATGATATAAATCTCTTGCCTGGGCTCTGTCACAGGAAGCACTGTGACATATTTTTGGGCCCATCATTTTGGTGATATGACTCTCCTCTCCTGCCTGGAGACTGCCCACAAGAAACATTGTGACACAGAGCTGAACTGAGCACACAAATATATGATATTTGTGACAGAACCCTGCCTACAAAAAGAATACTGGAATATTTCTGGCCCAGCATTTAGGTGATGTGCCTGTTCTGCCTGTTTCATAACCGCAGAGGGAATTAAATCCTATATCTAGGCATGGCTAACAGGAATGATAATGACTGTCGTATGTGGACTCAGGCAATAGAGGCTATTTTGACTTTTATAACTAGATAACTAGTTTTAGGGACATGACTGATACCGTGGACCATCTTTTATACAAAGGTTGCAAAAGATTACAACACTCACACATATTTTACCAAGTCTTTGGGTTATACAGAGGGAGTCAAAGCCGGGCTCAGCACACAGGTAAAATTGTGAGTCTTGTACTCACACCCAGCTGACAGTAAGAATTATCATTACCTCACATGGATGAAGTCAATTGTCAAAGATGAAAATAAGAAATGATTGGTATTTAAAATCTCACCTTTGGAATTTTCTGACAGTGTGATTGTGATATAAATTATTGCCAAGCACTTGTGTAATCTGACTCTCTAGACTTGTTTCAGCTCATATATGGGATTGTGATATCTACTTACGCCAGCCTCAAGGTGGTGTGACTCTCCTGCCAGGGCCCTTCTCTCCGTAAGGATTGTCTTATCACTGGATCTAGCACCCAGGTGATGTTACATTTTTGCCTGTGCCATGCCCACCAAAATTATTAGGACATATCCCTGTATTCGCCTCATAGGTTATATAACTCTCCTGTCTGGAATGGGCCCTGCACAAAGGAAATATAGAGACATATTGCAAGGCCAGGCACACAGGCAAGAGAACTATTTTGCCACAGCCATGCCCAAAGAAGGGAATCATGACATATCTCTGGGCCTGCTACCTAGGCTATGTGGGGCTCTTGTTGGGGTCCTGTCAACCTGGAGTGTGACATATTTCTAGGCAAGGCACACAGGTGATGGTACTCTTTTGCCAGGGCTATGTTCCATAGAGGATATTGTGACACATCTCTGGGCCTATCACCTAGGAGATGTGAGTCCCTCCTTGGACCCTACCCACATGGAGCATTGTGACATGAGCAGAGGACCTTCAATTAGTTGATGAAACTCTCTTTGCTGGGTGCTATGTGAAGAGATCCTTATGAAATACCTCAGAACCCAGCACTCAAGTGATGTGGACCTTCTGCCTGCATGCTGCTCTCATGTTCCACTGTGACATATTCCTAGGGCAGCATCTAGGTGATATGACTCTCCACATCTGCCTGAGCCCTGACTACTTGGGACACCTTGCAATATCTCTGAGCCCTTGACCTAAGTGATGTGGCTCTTTTGTTGCCTGGGCCTTCACGATAGGTGGATTTTGGCATATTGCTAAGCCCAGCACTCAAAACATGTAACTCTCCTATTTTTCCTGAATTATACCCACAAAGAAGAAATTTTGACCTACTGAATGGCTCAACACCAAGGTGATTTTTCGCTTCTTCCTGGATTATGCATAAAGAGGAAATTATGGCATATTGCATATTGCTAGGCCCAGCACCCTTATGACTGTGACTCTCCTGCCCATGCTGGAGCCACCGAATATACCTTGACATGTCTTGGGCCCATTATGTAGGGGTTTTGGCTCTCATAACTTGGTTTGGTATTTTCCACATGTGAAATGTTGTCCAATGCTTGGTCCAGCACCAGGTTAATGTGACCCAAATTTTTATACCCTGCCTAGAGAAGGCATTGCGACATATTGCTTGGTACATGATCTATGTAATGTTACCCTCCTGTCTTGTTTTTTGCCCACATGTGGAATTATGACATATACCTTGCTTTAGTTCACAGGCACAAAGATCAAACTTATATTGGGATACAGCCAATAGGAGATATTTTTCCTCTCATTGTTTGGCTTAAGGCAATATTTAAGGTCCTGGGTTGCATATTTGTACTAACACACATAAGCTTACAACACTAACTTATATTGTTTAAACTCTTTGGTGGTAAAGAGTTTCATAACAGGGACCAGCAAAAGGTTCAGAATGGGACTCTTGGTTACACACCCAGGTGCAGTTAAGAGTTGTCACCATTCCATATTTATAATTCCCACTATTGAGGTCCTGAGTCTAACAAAAGAATACAGTACACAGTTAAAATTGTGACATTTATATGTGGCTTTGGCCACAGGGGAGATGGTGATTCATTTCTGGACCCAGCCCACAGGCATAATAATGAGTCTTCTCCCTTAACCCTGCCTATAGATGTCGACTATCAAACGTGGTTTAGAGCAATATGCAAGATTGTGAGTCCATAGGAGCAGGCAGGCCACAGAGAGGTTTGCAACTCTCATACAGGTTTCATAAAGCCCTCGAATATTGTAGAGAAAGTTATATATTGTCTGAGCATACATGTGAGATTGTGACTCTAATATACATGCTCAGCTAAATGTTAACAATGTCATCCTCAAAGATGATGGGATTGTGTCATATCACTGGGCCTAGTACCCTGGTGTTGAGACTTTTTGTCTCAAATCCCTTTCTGTGGGTGCATTGTTACATATCGATGGGTTAGAATCATAATAATTTGACTCCTCTGCCTGGGCCCTGTAAACAGGGAATATTATCACATATCTCTGGGTCTATCAGCTAGGTGATGTGTCTCTCCAGTCTGTGCTTTGCTCCCAGAGGACAGTTTTAAATATCACTGAAACTAGCGTCTATGTAATGTAACTCTTCTCTCCTGCCTGGGTCCTGCTTACCAAAGGAATTGTGACATATGGCTGAATGTAAAACCTAGGTGGTATGCCTGTACTCTCTCTTCAACAGTTTATATCTGTGCTGCATTCTGTTTTATTACTTTGGTGCTCTATTTTTATACCAGTACCAGAGTGCTTTGATTACGACAGGTTTGTTTTGTGTTTGGAAATTGTTAAGTATAATGCTTCCAATATTTTAATTCTTTTTAAAGATTGCCAGGCTTTTCATGGTGCCTTGAGATCTTACATAACTTTGTGGGGTTTTTTTCTATTTTTGCAAAAGTATAATTGAAAATTGAAACAGGCTGTGTTGAATGTGTTGGTCACTTTAAACAGCATGGGTATCTTCACAATATTAGGTCTTCCAACCATTGAAAAAGAGCGTAATAAAAAGTGTGTTGTAGCTGGGGGTAGTGGCTCATGCCTCTAACCCAGAACTTTGAGAGGCCAGGAGGATGCATGGCTAGTTCAGGAGATCGAGATCATCCTAGCCAACATGGTGAAGCCCCGTCTCTGCTAAAATACATAAAATTAGCTGGGTGAGGTGGTGCATGCCTGTAATCCCAGCTACTCAGAGACTGAGGCAGAAGAATCGCTTGAACCCGGAGGTGGAGGTTGCAGTGAGCTGATATTGCACGACTGCGCTTCAGCCTAGTGAAAGAGATACTCCATCTCAAAACAAAACAAAACAGGAAATTGTGTTGCTTAATCTTTATAAGTTTTGAATTTTTCAGCTTTTCTTCTGTTACTGATTCCTAGTTTCATTCCATTTGGGCTGTAAATAATTGTAAAATTTTAGTTAAAAAATTATTAAGGCTTCTGTTGTGGTGTCACATGTGGTCCATCTAGAAAAATGTTTTCTGAGGTATTGAAAAGAATGTGATTCTGTTGTCTGCATACATTTGTTAGGTGTAACTATTGTGTAATGCATTCAGGTTTTTTGTTCCCTCGTTGATAGTCTCTCATTATTTATTTACTACTGAAAGTGAAATATTGATGTATTTCCATTATTATATGGTTGTCTATTTTTTCTTCAATTCTGTCAATGTTTGCTTTATGTGTTTGGGAAAATTGTCATATATTTATAAGTTATTAGTGAATAAACCCTCTTACTATAATTGAATGTCCTACTTTGTCTCTTGTTAATTTTCACATAAAGTAAATTATATGAAATATGGTAGTTTTCATCTTAAGGAATTGTTGCCTCTTCTCCTCTCATTTGGTTAACACTTGCATGAAATGTATTTTTATCCTGTGATTTTCAGTCTTTTAAAATTAGATATGAAATGAGTCTTTTGAAGACATGACATAGTTAGATGTTCTTATAGATAGTGATAGAGGTCTTTTTTTTTTTCATTTTGAAGGATACTTTTGCAAAATATAGTATTCTTGTTTAGAACTTTTTTTTTTCAGCGTTTTACCAATGTCATCCTACCCGCTTCTTGCTTGAAAGATTTATGTTCATAAATTTACTGGTAATTTTGCAGAAGTGTGAATATAAATAATACATTTGTTTTTTTTTCTTTCTGCATTCTTCATTCTCTTTTATGTGACTTCCAAAACGTTGCTTAACTTGTGTCTTGTTGTAAATCTCTTAATGTTAATTTTATTTGAAATTTGCTGAGCTTATTGATCTTCTCATTTTTTTTTTACTAATGGTGAAGTACATATTAGTCTTTTTCTGTATTTCCACTCCACAATTTTTATTTCTTTTTGTGCTTTTTATTTTTTGTTGGTTTAATTTTTGTTATTTCATTTATTTCCTTTTTCTTAATTTATTTATTTCCATTTTACTCACGGAGCATCACTAAATCGGCAATGTTAATTTTTAAGGGTAATTAATTTTTTTAAGAATATATCTAGACTATAACTCATATTGTCTCTGTTAATTTTTACCTCCCCGTTTTTTAATAATTGATTTCTGGATATTTATTTTTATCTTTGATTGAGCCATATTATCTTGATGTTTCATATATGTTGTAATCTTAGGTTGCAATTTGTATAATAAAATGTGACATGTCAAAATCTGTATTAAGTTTCTTTTGTCTGGGGGAATAAAATACACATTTTTTAGGCTAGATATTCTTCGGTCTCTAAAGCTTATTCTGTAAATGTTTTCTCTGGGCTTGTGTGTTTTTTAGTTTAAAAGGTTTTCCCATATTTTTCTTTTTTCTTTTCTTTTCTTCTTTTCCTTCCTTCCTTCTTCTCTCTTTCTTTCTTTCTCTCTGTTTCTTTCTTTCCTTCCTTCCTTCCTTCCTACCTATCTTCTTTCCTTTTCCTTCCTTCCTGCCTTCTTTCTTTCTTTCTTTCTTTTATTCTTCTTCTTCTTCTTCTTAATATTATTATTATTAATTATTATTATTATTATACTTTAAGTTTTAGGGTACCTGTGCACAACGTGCAGGTTTGTTACATATGTATACATGTGCCATGTTTGTGTGCTGCACCCATTAACTCGTCATTTAGCATTAGGTATATCTCCTAATGCTATCCCTCCCCCTCCCCCTCCCCCCACCCCACAACCGTCCCCAGTGTGTGATGATCCCCTTCCTGTGTCCAAGTGTTCTCGTTGTTCAATTCCCACCAGTGATTGAGAACGTGGGGTGTTTGGTTTTTTGTCCTTGCGATAGTTTGCTGAGAACGATGGTTTCCAGTTTCATCCATGTCCCTACAAAGGACATGAACTTATCATTTTTTATGGCTGCATAGTATTCCATGGTGTATATGTGCCACATTTTCTTAATCCAGTCTATCGTTGTTGGACATTTAGGTTGGTTCCAAGTCTTTGCTATTGTGAATAGTGCCGCTATAAACATACATGTGCATGTGTCTTTATAGCAGCATGATTTATAATCCTTTGGGTATATACCCAGTAATGGGATGGCTAGGTCAAATGGTATTTCTTTCTGTTTTGAGTGGGAGCTTCACTGTTGTTACCCAGGCTGGAGTACAATGGCACAATCTTGGCTCACTGCAACCTCCAGCTCCTGGGTTCAAGCAATTCGCCATCCTCAGCCTCCTGAATAGCAGGAATTACAGGAGCCTGCCACCACACCCAGCTAACTTTTGTATTTTTAGTAGAGACAAGGTTTCACCATGTTGACCTGGCTTGTCTTGAACTTCTCACCTCTGGTGATATGCCTGTTTCAGGCTCCCAAATTGCTGATATTACAGGTGCGAGCAACCGCTCCCGGCATTCTCCATGTTTCTTATTGAGATCCTATAGTCAGTTGCTATACCCCTTTTCTGCCTTCACTTGTAACAGTCATTTAACTTTGGTCTCAGCTATCCAAAACTGTCAGTTACCAACTTTCCTTTCAACACTGCCATGGAATATAGAAATTAGTTTATTGTAAGGTCTCAAAAACCCAGAAGCATGGACACAGGTGTCACTATTTTATTTATTATTGGACGGTGGAGACAGGAGTTGGGAGTCGATATTTAAAGTCATCATAGGATGAAGAATGGCTTTCGTGGGTAAACGCAAAATACTTTTATTAAACCACTATGTGGTTTTTTGCATTTTGCTCCCTTCGGGTGCTGCAAATTTTTACCTGGTTATTAGACTTCTCACAAAGGCATTTTGATCGGTGTATTTCTGTTAAGTTTAAATTTGTATTAAGGAATTAGAGCCTGTGATATTTTATTGTCACCTTGTTAATGTGCTTTGTTTAATTATATATTTGTAAGTTGTATTCACCTGAGTCTAATGAGGGAGAGATTTATAGTCCTTTTATTTTCTTAGCTTTCTCTTTTTATTTTACTGTAGAGCTATTGCTGGAGTATGACATAAAAGAATCATTTCAAAAAGTGATCCTGAGAAAATATGGTAGCTGTGACCTTAATGGTTTATATTTAAGGAAAGACTACCAAAGTGTGGGTAATTCCCATGTGCAGAAAGCAGTTATGATGGGCTTTATCAATGTTTGTTAATTACCCTTAGCAAAACCTGTCAACCTAATAAATAAGGCAAAGCTTTTGAGTTGTGCTCAAACTTCACTGAACATAAAAAAAGTTTTGGTGGAGACAAGTGCTGAAAATGTGAAGAATGTGGCAAAGACCGTAGGTTGTTCTCAGATTTTACTATAAAAAAGAGAATTCCTACGGCAGAGAGATGGTACAAATGTGAAGAATGTGTCAAAGCCTTCAATATTTCTCAAACCTTGCCGAACATAAATTTGAGTTTAAAATGAAGAGAAACCCTACAAATGTAAAGAATGAGACAAAACTTTTTCCTGATGCTCAACCCTTATTAAACACAAGAGAAATTATACTGGAGACAGACCCTACAGATGTGAAGAATGTGGCAAATCCTTTAAGTGCTTCTCAGACCTTACTAATTATAAGAGAATTCATACTGCTGAGAAATCCTACAAATGTGAAGAATGTAACAAAGCCTATAGGTAGTTCTCAGACCTTCATAAACATAAGATAATTCATACCGCAGAGAAAACCTACAAAGGTGAAGAATGTAATAAACCCTATAGGTGGTTCTCAGACCTTAGTAAACATAAGACAATTCATACTAGAGAGTCATACTCTACAAATGTAATGCACATGGAAGAGCTATTATGTAGTTCTTTGTCCTTAGTAAACATAAAATAGTTCATACTGGAGAGAAACCCCACATCCATGAAGAATGTGGCAAAGCCTTTACCCGCTCCTCAACCCTTATTAACCACAAGAGAATTCGTATGGAAGAGAGACCTTACAAATACAAAGAATGTGGCAAAACCTTTAAGTGCTTCTCAGACCTTACTAGTCATAAGACAATTCACACTGGTGAGAAACCCCACAAATGTGAAGAATGTGGCAAAGCATTGAGCTCATTCTCACACCTCATCAGACATAAGATAACTCATATAGAGAGAAGCTCCACAAGTGTTCAAAATGTGGAAAAGCCTTCAATAAGTCCTCATTTTGGGTTCAACATCAGAGACTTTATACTGAACCAATACGGTATAAAGTTAATGACTGTTTAAGAACATTTAACTTATGGTCTTGGAGAGTCTCTAGGAAGTTGCTTCATAATCTGAGTGCTTTTTTGTTGGGTACATATATAAGTGTTTACTATTATGTAATGCCATTCTTTGTCTTTTTTAAAACCTATGTTGACATAAAGTCTGTTTTGCCAGAAACTAGGATTGCAGCCCCTACTTTTTTTCTGTTTTCTATTTGCTTGGTAGATTTTTCTTTTTTCCTTTTTTCGAGCTTATTTGAGATGGGTGTCTTGATTATAGCACATCATTAGATATTGATATTTTATTCAGCTTGCCACTCTGTTTTGTAATTGGGGAACTTAGCCCATTTTCATTTAAGGTTAGTATTCATATGTATGGATTTGATTCTGTCACTATGATCTCAGCTGGCTATTTTGCACATTTATGTGGTTGCTTTATAGTGTCATCAATTTATGATTTTTAGTGTGTTTTTGTAGTGACTGTTATAGTCTTTTTCTTATTTAATGTTTTCTTTAGAAGCTCTTGTAAGTCAGGTCTGTGCTAAAAGATTTCCTCAGCATTTGCATATCTGAATAGGATCACATTTATTTTTCACTTCTGAAGCTTACTTTGGTTGGATATAAATTTTTGATTTGGAATTCTTTTTTTAAGAATGTTGAATATTGGTCCCTAATCTCTTTTGACATGTAGCATTTCAACTGAAAGGTTTGTTGTTTGCCTGATGGCCTTCTTTTAGAGGTGACCTGTCTTTTTAGTCTAGCTGCCTTTAATACATTTTTTTTCTTTCATTTTGACCTTGGAGAATCTCATGATTACGTGTCTTGAAAATGACCTTCTTGTGAGGTATCTTACTGGGATTTTCCCCATTTCCTGCATGTGAATGTTTGCCTCTCTATATAGGCTGGGAAAGCTCTCTTGAATGATATCTGAAAATAAGTATTTCAAGTTGTTTTTATTCTCCCCATCACTTTCAGGCACTCTTTTTAATCATAGATTTGGTTTCATTACATAATCCCATATTTCTTAGAGGTTTTGTTTATTCCTCTTTTTTTTTTTTTTCACTCATCTTGTCTGTCTTATTTAAGAAAGCCAGTATTGAAGCTCTGAGATTCTTTCCTCTACTTGGCCTATTCTGCTGTTAATACTTGTGATTACATTACAAAGTTTTCATATTGTGTTTTTTCAGCTCTATCAGATTGGTCACATTTTCCTCCTCATTGGCAATTTTTTCTATCCATTCCTGCAATTTTTTTCCCTTCATTGCATTGGGTTGCAACTCCATTTGTAGCTCAATGAAGTTTATTCATTTCCGTATTCTGAATTATACTTCTGTCATCTTAGGCCTCGGTGGAAATGTAATTTTTTCATTTGGATGAGAGATGTCACTGTGGCTTTTTGTGTTTTCAACATTTTTGCACTGATTTTGTCTAATCTTTGTGCGTGTATCTTTGAGATTGCTGACCTTTGAATGGGGTTTTGGGTTTGTTTGTTTGTTTTTTTTTTTTTTTTGATCCTATTTAATGGTCTTGAATATTTGATGTGGAATAAGGTGTTTGCAACTAACAGGCTTTGTTCCTGGGAGATTTTTTTTTTTTTTTTTTTTTTTTTGGTGGTGGAGCGGCTATGCTCAGCTCACTGCTCGGAGGCTTCATACTCTTAGGAACCTGTATTGAGCTCCAGCTGTCTTCTCTGGCTCCTTGATATTTAGAGTCCACCACTCTTTGTGACTAATGTGTCACAGCTTCAGAAGAGTGTTAGTGGATATGGGGTTTCTGCCTGTCTTTGGGCATTCACCTCAGTGACAGGAACAAAGCAGCTAAGAGGGGAGTAGGCTGTATCTGCTGGAGACTGTGTGTGCTGTTGCACTAAAGTCTTATTTGTGGCCCCTCATGAAGTTCTAATTGTTCAGAGTGTGGGAGGATACACTGCTCACCACACAGTGTTAGCAGAAAAGCAGGGGTGAGGCTTTCTGGTTCTCTACCCACCAGAGCTTTATCTACAGTAGAAGTTGCTGAGGGTGGCAGAGGCATACTGCATTCCCACTTGCTGGTGGGGCAAGCAAAGCCAAACCCACCTTTGCAGACATATGCCAGGAAAGTAATATGGAGAGTTGCCGTGGTATCAGGGGAAGCTGCAGTATGAGGAAGATACATGTGGGCTGCAGAATGGGGAAGATACATGTAAGCTGCAGTGATAGGGTCTGCCTTGCTGTAGTTCTTCAGGGGTCAGGCATGGATTACCATTGCCGATGCTGTGGTATTATCTTCCAGGGTAACTGAGACTGCCCTGTAAGCAACTGTAGCTAGACTGGGACCCTGGGAGAGGCCCGAAGACCAAGGAGTGCTCGGTTGGACCACCCCTTCTGATTTGCAACATTATCCTGTAGAAATTAGTTCCCCTCAGGCTAAAGTCTCTTATGGGAGCAAGTTTAGTCTATAGAAATGGCCATCACTGGCCTTATTTTACTATAGATGCTCTTGCACCAAACCCTCTGGAAACCATATGAGCTGGCTTACTGCCCCACCTCTTTGCTGGTCTTCTGGGGGGCTGCACTTGAGAGAGATGTAGGTCATCAATCCCTCGGTGCAGTCAGCCCTGGATGGAAAATATGTGCTTTCAGCCAAGTTAGGGGCTCACTGTCTGGTGAGGAGCACTGGGGAGTTTGTGAGCCCCATGGAGGATGGTCTAACCTCCTCTCCTTGGGCATAATGCAGCTCGTTTGAGGTGTGAATAAGGCAATTAGGGTTTGGGATATTTCATTAGTTTGAGGGTAGCAGGGACAGCTCTTCTGCACAGGCAATGATGAAATATATTCAGTTGCCCCTGGAAGCTGTGTCCATGGAGTTCCTAAGTTTTTGCTGGCTCAATAGCTCTGGCAATGATTGGCTAGTGGCCCAGGCCTGGAGGACCTGCCCACTGAGAATATATAAGAACAGGAACACATGTAACAGTCTGACCCCTTTTGTGAAAAGCTGCTGCATCTGCAATACGCTGGGTGTCCACTACAGTATCTAGTCACCTCAGATTTTCCGGTACCTGAAGTTATCACCAGTGAATGTGCAAAAAAAGCAACAATGGCACATGCCTTTTTCTCTGGGAGCTCCATCCCAGGGAGGTATAGACCTGTTTTCAGCCCAAAAGCACTTGTAGGAAGTAGCCAGAAATGCCTGTGGAAAGGTCTTCCCCAGTGAAAAGAAAATGACTGGGGATCCACTTAAGAAAGCAGCCTACTGGGTGCAGCAGCTCTTGCCTGTAGTCTCAGCACTTTGGGAGGCTGAGGTGGGCGGATCAACCTGAGGTCCGGAGTTGGAGACCAGCCTGAACCAACATGGTGAAACCCCATCTCTACTAAAAATACAAAATTAGCCAGGTGTGTTTGTGTATGCCTGTAATCCCAGCTAGTCTGGAGGCTGAGGCAGGAGAATCATTTGGACTCAAGAGGCAAAGGTTGTGGTGATCTGAGATTGCTTTATTGCATTCCAGCCTGGGCAACAAAAGTGACACTCTGTCTCAAGAAAGAAGGAAGGAAGGAAGGAAGGAAGGAAGGAAGGAAGGAGAGAAAGAAAGAAAGACAAAGAAAGAAAGAAAGAAAGAAAGAAAGAAAGAAAGAAAGAAAGAAAGAAAGAAAGAAAGAGAAAGAGAGAAAGAAAGAAAGAAAGAGAAAGAGAGAGAGAAAGAGAGAAAATGAAAGAAAAAGAAGGAAGGAAGGAAGGAAGAAAGAAAGAAAGAAAGAAAGAAAGAAAGAAAGAAAGAAAGAAAGAAAGAAAGAAAAGAAAAGAAAGAAAGAAAGAAGGAAGGAAGGAAAGAGAAAGAAAGAAAGGAAGGAAGGAAGGAAGGAAGGAAGGAAGGAAGGAAGGAAGGAAGGAAGGAAGGAAGGAAGCACTGTAACCATCTTTTGTAGAACAGGTCTGCTGTGCAGAGGTACCACTTCCATCCAGTTTATTTGGATTCTCCAAAGCCAGAAGGATGGAACAGGTAAGTGACACAAACAGGAAAAATGGCAGCTCACTCTTTGCTCTAGGAACTGTAGCCCAAAAAGTTTTCAAAATTCCATCAACCAAAGAGTACCAGTGGTGTTAGCTGGAGAAACTCATCAGGAAGTACTTTCCAGTGAGGAAGAAGGAGATTGGGGACCTGCTTTAACAGGCAGTCTGGCCATGTCTTTCTAGAGCACCTGTACTATGCTTTGTGATTCTAGTCAGCTTGGGCTCTTCAAAGCCTGAAGGCTGAAATGGCTAAGTTTCCCAGGCAGCAAAGATGACGGCCCACTCCTCTTTCTGGTAGTTCCATCCCAGGGAGATGCAGTGCTGCTACCAATGGTTGGCTGGAATTCTAAGCCAGTACATCTTACCCTGTGAGGCACTGAGAAAATGCGTCCTACAGACCATCAATGCTAAGCGCCCTGAATTCTGCCTTTTTCCTATGGATATGTTCAAGATTGTAACCTCCTGCTTTGCTGGAGTTCCAGCGAATTTTTCTGGGAAGGCTGGAAAGTCAGCGAATCTAAGGCTCTTGAATCACTGCAGTCTTGAGTGGCTGCTCTGCTGAGACTCCCTGTAGCTATGTGCATTATACAAAAGGCCCCGGTGAAGTGGGTTTATTAGGGGATCACCTTACCTGAGGGTTGCAAAGATCTGTGGAAGAATCATGGGTTCCCAGGATCATGCATTCACTTACTGCCTTACTGGCTGTGAAGGTGTCCCTGGCTCCATGTTGCTTTCAGGTGTCCCGGTGTCCTGCCTTGCTTTACTCCATTCTCCTTATGTTAAGTTGCTTCTTTGATTAGTCTCAATGCAAGTACCTGGTGTTTCAGCTGAACGTCACGTATTTATGCACACCTTGCATTCCTGTCTATGAGAACTACAGAGTCTAGCTGCCTCTTTCTAGTCAGCAATCTTGATCACCTTCCTCTAAAAGGAATATACTTTTTATATTAAAAGAATTTAATATTTTTTGAGAACATATATTTTCAAAAGCAAATATTGATGTAATTCATCTCTTACCTTTGGTGATATATCTTTATTTCTAGAATTTATGTGAAAGAGCATGGTCAATAGCTGCTGCACCAGAGTTATGAGAGGTTCTTCTATATTACAAGGACAGATTTATACACTTTTCCATGGAAGATTAAGTAAACAGAAATCTAAGATACCTGAAGAATTTCTATGTACAAAGGCAACTTAGTTGTTGGTTTACGACAGTATCATAAATGACAGGATGATAGGAGTGGAGTAAGGGCAACATTCTGCATAGTGAGAGAAACAATTTGATTTTTAGTTGGACATTGCTTTACCATTTGCAAATTAAGGTAATTGGAATAAAGTGAATTCCAAAATGCCTTTTTAATGAAAATGCGTGGACTTAATTTCTTTTAGTAAATCAATATTGTTATTTTGTTAAAGCTATTTGACATTGAATGTGTATCTTGCAACTGATGATAAGTTATCCCATCTTAACCAAGGCTGTAGGTAACTGATGGTAACAATATACTACTGAGAGACAGTGGAATAACATCTGTAGTGATTCCTTTGTCAGTGGTTTTTAAAATGAAATAATTTGGAAAGTGTGGTTTTTACAACTTACATTTTTTTTCCTTGTAACTACAGGTTATTATGATGGTTGTAATGAAGATCATATTAGTATAACGGAGCTCTATGTTTCTGAATACTGAACAACTATTTATAAAATTTGATCCTACTTTTTCTCTATTAAAGGTATGACTGCTCTGCTCTGATAAACACACACAGACCTTTAGTTTTGATTTACATGAATTTAAATATAAGAAATATATTACTGTAAAATAAACTCTAGGTATGTAACAAACTTCTAGAAAATAATCATATTTATTTATGGTTGGTTACATTGAGAAGAAAATAAAAATATTAAAATGAAACAAATCCTTTTACAAGTGTTGACATCTTACCAGCAAGCCAGAAACTTCAAAGATTTTCAAAGCAAATCTATTTTCTCTGCTTTGTATTAAGCTCCTTGATTTAAAATGTGATTGCTAGTGGCTTAGAATCATCTTCTGCAAATTTTTCTTTTTTTGTAGGTTAGCCTGTTGCTCACCCTAGACATAATATATAATTTTCTTTTCATCAAAGTTCATAACACTTTCTTTGGACTGTGCTTGGTGGCTCATGCCTGAAATCCCAGCACTTTGAGTGGCTGAAGCAGGTGGATCTCCAGAGATCAGGAGTTTCAGACCGGCCTGGCCAACACGGTGAAATGCTGTCTTTACTAAAAATACAAAAATTAGGTGGGCATGATGGCGGGCTCCTGTAATCCCAGCTACTCAGGAGGCTGAGGCAGGAGAATCACTTTAACCCAGGGGATGAACATTACAGTGAGCCAAGATGGTGCCATTGCACTCCAGCCTGAGCAACAAAGCAAAACTTCATCTCAAAACAAACAAACAAGTGAAAAGACATTCTCTGTACAATCCCCTCAGAAATTATGAAAGTGACTTTGATAAAATGTAACGCTATTCGGAAAATAATTTTTACATGTGAGTAATTTTACAGTGCATGTATGGTATGCTATTTATTTAGTACATTTTGTATTTTTTCAATTTCAGAATTCTATTTAATCCAATTTTTTTGTTTACTTATTGACTATTTTACTCTATAAAGTTGACAGAATTGAGTTTATTAATTTTATTGGGCCAATATATTTAAGTAAACAATAGAACGTTTAGTAAGTCATGAGGTCTTTTTGACATACACATGAAGTAAACAAATACAATACTAGGTATGTAATGGAAGCTATGTAATTAGAAATAAATATTCCTTTTAAAATTAGCCTGTGGTCTCAAGTGAGAAATTTAAAATATCTATAGTAAATAAATGACATTAATTCTGCATACGAGGAGAGCATAATTGTAACCAATGCTGCACTAGTGAATCTCACAATTGAAACAAGATTAAGAGATGGACATTTTAGCAAAACTAAGTGAAAACGTTGTAAAATTTTCAGATTATGTTTCTGCATTTAAACATTTAGTGAGAGAAGTAGTGCACAAGTCTATCCAGTCAAACTTGAAATGGCTGACACATGTTAACCGTATTCACCCCAGGTATTGACACCTAAAATGCCCTGAACTCTTTTCATTTAGATTAACAAAGTATTGTTTTTGTCTTCGTCCTCTAAATTCTGGCTTAGACAGAATTATCCAGCCATTTCATGTAGATTTGATTCTAGATTATTTATTTATTTATTTATTTACTTACTTACTTACTTACTTACTTTTTGAGATAGAGTCTCACTCTGTCACCCAGACTGCAGTGCAGTGGCATGATCTTGGCTCACTGCAACCTCCACCTCCCAGGTTCAAGTGCTTCTCCTGCATCAGCCTCCTTAGTAGCTGGGACTACAGGTGTGTGTCATCACGCCTGGCTAATTTTTTATATGTTTTAGCAGAGGCTGAGTTTTACCATGTTAGCCAGGAGGGTCTAGATATTTTGACCTTATGATCTTCCCTCTTTGATCTCCCAAAGTGCTGGGAGTACAGGCATGAGCCACCATGCCCTACTGGATTCTAGATCTTGACACAGCACATTTTCAACTTAATGTTTCTGCAGATAGAAAAGCTGTGTAATATGGAAGAACAAAACCAAACATTTATTACAGTTCAAGGAGATTTTGTTTGTGCCCTGCTGTCCTGGATTCTCAGAAGTGTAGGGCTGGCAGACATTACTGGAAGGCAGAAGTGGGAAACAAGCCTAAATGAGAATTCCGTGTGCGTCAAGTTTGTCTTCTTAGGAACTGGAAGGATCAGCCTTCAATTCTGGGTAGATTACGGGCAGTTGGGGGGGTATATAAAGAGTGGTTACGTTCCATCAGGTTCTAAGTCAATCCACCTTCTGCAAGTAGTAAAACCCAGTAAAATTAGTATTTGTTTGAAATATGAATTGGGTGATTTTTAAAAATAATACACATAATAGGTTTGCTCTGTATATTTTTTAATGATTCTTTCACAAGAGCTCTTTAGCCTTATTTCTTTACTCAAGCAGATTCTGAATGTCATAAAATCTGCTTATTATCAGATACTGAAAGATAAAGCAAAGAATCTTTTTAATTTTTTGTGGGAAATTTAGCCTGTAAATTTAATCTCCTTTGTATAATCTTTAAGTTTTACTGTGGAAGACTAGATTTAGGTTTACTAAGTTTTTGGCAACTATAAAAGCATATTCATAATGTAACTTTTAAAGATACTATGAATATCAATTTTCAAGTGCGTTGATTTCTTTTTTTACTTGAGAAAGATAAGCTATTTGAGAATTATATTACCCAACATGTCCAAAAAATGTTTTTAATTTGCCTATTTAAAAAAATCTGTTGATTTTGAATTGCATACCAAGATAACCTTATTTTAAGATTGAGGATAAGATGAAAAATAATTTATGTAAATAACATAAACTAAGTTTACTGAAATTATTTACTTATTTAAGAAACTTGATTAAATTTTAAATAAATTGCTGTCACCTATCAGCATTTGTGCAGCATTTTTTTTAAGATTTGGTGTCTAAAACAGGTAACGATTTGGACAAAGAAGAAAAGAAAAATTCAATGATTGGTATAACAATAAATTTCAGAAAATAAAAGCTCTGTATGATGATGTAATTAAAATAATGTAAAGGATAAAAATTTTAATATTTGTTTTTACAGATTATTTGGCAAAATCAACCCTGAGACAGCAATGTGTAGAAAATACTACTAATTATGTTTTTGAGAATCTTATGGACTTTGGCACTTTGAGAACCTTCACTATAGGCCCAGGATTCCCTAGGCATTTGTTCCAGGAGAATATCTTATGGAAATGAAGCAGAAGGCCATGACCACAAAGATAAACGGATGCTCATCTAGAGACACGTAGGTGCAGGTTGCAGAAACAGTAGGCTTTTCTTGGTGGTCCAGGAAGGGGCTATTCCCACCATCCTAGAAAAGGGGCCTGGAACTCCATTGAGCCCTCTCTCCTGCAGGGACCTCAGAGGGCATTAGGGGAGGCCAGCCTAGGTGTTCTGTCCTGTCCCTGGCCCTTGGGTCCTGCCTCATCTGCTATCTTTTTCCACAAAGAAATCAGGATGGCAACCCACAATGCAGCCCCACTAGAGGAAGGAGATAAAGAGAGTCAAGGCTCACACCCATCTTGGAACATTAAGTGACTTACTGATTAGCTAGTCCAAAAGTTAGAGCAGAATTTGGTGGTGTGACACCCTAAGATTACATTCTAGGAGAAACCTGTATGGCACATGCCTGAGGCTGTGCGTTGAAGGAGTGTTAGACAGGTCACTTGGGCTTCAGTGAGCCTGTGCCCCTAGTCAATTCATGGAGACACGGGCTTGATAAGAGCAGGCAACAAGGGTGCAACACAGCAGACATGCTTAGCTGTCAGTTGGGCAAGGAGGGGTAGGCATCAGAGTTCCCTGCAGGGGAGAACCCTCTTAGGGCCCTGAACTGAACCGAGAGATTCTTCAGTTTTTTGAAGCACAGGCTGTACTTGGAGCTTCAGGGGTGGCACTGTCCTGTGGCATGGTAAAGGTGGGGTAAGCAGTCAGTCACTGAGGGGCTTTCATTGCTCATTTTTCTGATGAGCATGATTGAGAGCCCAAAGCCACAAGCCAGGAGGGGCAACAGCACTGGGCTGAGGCATCACCTTTTTTCTTCACTGGCTCCCATAAGCCTTCCTGGCATGCCTTGAGGAAGAAGATCCCTTATCCTTGTGAGCGTAGGCACAAAACTCATGTGAGGAAAGCCCAACAACAGCCTCTTTTGTGGGCGCACCTGGGCCTCCCCACTCCAGTGGCCTGTGAAACCCAAATGTAATTCCAGAGATGAGAATTTAAATTTGGTTCTAGAAACAAAGAGTTCAGCTCCGAGGCCAGAGCAGAAGTGGACATGTTAATTCCATGACACAAGGGCCAAATCAGAGAAATGGATTGACTGTTAAGCTGCACCCATGCAGTGTGTGCACTGACCCAAGCAGGTCCCATTCTCTTCCTGTCTCCAATTATTTTACCTACAACTTGTCATTTGTACCAGCTCTTTCTCTATCCCCCACATCCGGTGGTTTTTGAAATTCCTCTGAAGGCTGCATGACTAGAGTTAAGGGTCACAGCACTCTAGCCCACTCAGGCTGTGCCAGGAAGAGAGATCTCTCAACCTACCTTGACACTTAAGAACCATGCATAAATAGTGCCAACTCTAGGAGGAGGGCTGTCACATCCTCAGACTGTTTTCTGCTCTCCATACCAAAAGATAAATTAGAGGCCGGGCGCGGTGGCTCACGCCTGTAATCCCAGCACTTTGGGAGGCCGAGGCGGGCGGATCACGAGGTCAGGAGATCGAGACCATCCCGGCTAAAACGGGGAAACCCCGTCTCTACTAAAAATACAAAAAATTAGCCGGGCGTAGCGGCGGGCGCCTGTAGTCCCAGCTACTTGGGAGGCTGAGGCAGGAGAATGGCGTGAACCCGGGAGGCGGAGCTTGCAGTGAGCCGAGATCCCGCCACTGCACTCCAGCCTGGGCGACAGAGTGAGACTCCGTCTCAAAAAAAAAAAAAAAAAAAAAAAAAAAAAAAAAAAAAAAAAAAAAAAAAAAGATAAATTAGAATGACAAAGAAAATAAGACACAGACCTGGCAGTTCTGCCTTTTAAGGGCCAGCCTCAGCCTAGTCACCGTGAATCACAATTTCAGGTTCTGCGTCAGCGTGTCCCACCTTGGGAAATAGTGGAACTGGGACCCCAGAATGTCATGATCCAATGACAGTCTGGAGAAGGGGCACCTCAGCAGCCTGTACAAACCCAGTCACACCTGTAACAGAAACACACCCTACCAACTAAGAAGCCATCTCATTATCTTAGACAACCATACCAGCAATGTGCACACACAATGGGCCTTTTAGTAAACTGTCAACTCAAGGATTTAAGAAAAATCAAACCATTTTGAATTTAGAGTCTCAGGAAGAAGACCCTCCACTGCCTTAACCAGCCTGTATGATGGATGAAACTGACAGTGTTAACTTGACTTGGGCATACCTGGAGACTGACCTTGTATTAAAAAAAAAAAAAAAAAGCTTCTGAGTGCCCAGAGATCCAAGATAAAAAACCTAGTAGTGGCTAACCTGAAAATTATTCTTTCTTTATGAGGAATATCTCAGTACCAGGTCTGTTCCATCCTGTGGCATGGAATACAGACCACACAGGGGACTGAGGCCACTCCTTTTTTGTTAAATAAATGCTGACAGGTGAAAAGTTGTTGAAAAAAGTGCTAAATAACAATGCTATACAAACTGCATGCTTTTTGTAAGTGGGAATGGTTATCATGCTAAGCCCACTGACAGTGGACTTTTTCCCCTCTTTTTAAGTCCCCAGTAAAACTCCGTATCTCATTCACTTGTTCTAAGTCTCTTCTTTGACATCTTGAACCTGGTGCCATTTCTATGGGAGTTGAATTTGATGCAACTTATCCTATATTAAGGAAGGATTTCAGACTCTGCTCAATGTGCTTCAAAGCTCACCGAGGCATCAGCTAAGAAAGATGCTGTTGTTCTCCTTAACACTCTCATTCAGGCCTCTTTTCCTTAGATGCACAATCAGTGGTGTACCAGGAAAGATGACTAAGAGAAACATCGTGGTCACAATCAAGATTAATGCCAGAATAAGCAGCGAACACTTGGAAATCAAAAGGGAGCATTTTTCAATGCCCTCAAATTCTGTCTTCAGTTCCTGGATTCAGTAATGGTTTTGAAGATCCATCCAACCTCTAGAGGAACCATGGGCCCTTAGGAGGTAAACACCTACACTTAATCCTGGTTCAACAAAGCTTTCTCTTGACAAATATGATGTCTGTGATCGTGAGCTTCTAAGCAATCTGCACAAAGCATAACCTGAAAACCTATAAAAGGGAGATGAGTAGGTATGAGGGAAATAATTTTCCACATTTTTTCTTGGGAAATTCAAAAAATTGTGATGGTGGGAAAATGTGCAGAAGAAGACAGCATATTAAAAGTCCTCATCAGGTGATTTTTACCACCAGAGTTTTTAATCCCAGCTATGAGATCTCCAAATAAAAACCAGAAGTTACTTCACTGCATCTATCCATGATTTATTGTACAATATTTTGTCTATCACAGTGAGGGGTCTTCACTGAGGATCTTCCCATTAAACATATAAAGATAAAGAAAGGAAAAGGTAAAATAGCAACTCCATGAAATCATAAGATAAAATGTAGAAATATTCATCTTCTCACATCAATTGCATTTTTGTACATATATGAATGTGTATCTACCCATAAAGCTAATATATTCAAAATAAATCAAATATATGTCAAGTTAAAACTTAAAACAAATTTTTTTGACTGGGTGCAGTGGCTCACACCTGCAATCCCAGCACTTTGGGGGATCGAGGAGGGTAGATCATTGAGGTCAGGTGTTTGAAAGCAGCTTGGCCAACGTGGTGAAATCCCGTCCCTACTAAAAATACAAAAAAGAAAAAAAAAATTCCTGGCATCTGTAATCCCAGCTACTTTGGAGGGTGAGGCAGGAGAATCACTTGAAACTGAAAGGCAGAGGTTGCAGTGAGCTGAGGTCACGTCACTGCACTCCAGCCTGGGTGACACAGCAAGACTCTGTCTCAAAATTTTATTTTTTAACGGCAAAAAGATTCACATATGGTGCAGACATTACTTGTTGGAGTGGAGTGGGTGCGGCTCTGTCCTTGTAAAGTAGGAAGAGCAATCAGTGCCCTGGATTGTGTGTAGGGAACCCATTCGTACACAAATAAAGAGGCAATCAGGGCTTCAGCCTAGCAATACTGAGGCTTGCACGGGGCTTTCGAAAGCAGTAGAAATGGCCTGTAAAACTGAATGCTAGATGGGCTTGTAACAATAAAAGATCTGTCCAGGGATAACAGCAGTTCTGATAGGAGCCCCTGACTATACCCTGCCTCAGCAAAATGTAGACAAATAAAGAAAAAATAATTCAAGAGAAATAAAATTTAAAAATAAAGCAATTGGAAAATAGTAAGGGCAAATAAAATAAACTGAAACAAAATAGAGAAAAGTAAAGAAAAATATAACTAAGATTAGTGAAAATAAAATCAAGATGAAGATAAACAGTAAATACAATAAAATTGAGAAATAAGAAAATTTTAAGAATAAGAAGAGACAAGTGAAAGTAAAAAAGAAATGCAGAGAAAAATAAAATAACAAAGAGATATGCATGGAAATAAATAAAAGAAACAAGAAATTGAATAAAATTACAAACAACAAAAATCTAGAAAATTTGAAATTGAGACTATAATGAAAAAACAAAAAATAAAAAATGAAGTAAAATTAAATTAATAGAAAAAATGAAAGTAAATAAAAATAAAGAGAAACAAGATAAAAACAAAGACAAATGTACAGAAAAATAAAAGATTAAAAAGAAAAATAAGATCTAGGGATAATCTACAAAACATTTCACGCAACGATAGCATAATACATAATATTTCTAATTACATACAGTTTATTTCCTAAGATAGGCAAACTTCTTAGCTAGCATGCAAGTTTTAGCATATTTGAACAAATGGTTATAAAAAAGTATTACTTCTGACTACAGTAAAATATAACTGGAGGTTCAAAACCAAAAGAAAGCTAGCATGTCTGCATGTATATGAAAAGTAGACAAATTCTTCCGCACGCTATTTTAAAAGAGTTAGAACATGCACGTTTCTTTAGACGTTTATGGTATTCAAAATGATCTACAGATCAATGAGACCTCTTTCAAAAAACCAATGGTAGTTTTTCCAGAAGTACTAAAATATTCTGAAGTGTTGGCATCAATATTTGGCTGTGTCACCCAGGCTAGAGTGCAGTGTCCTAATCATGGCTCACTGCATGTAGCCTTGAGCTCTGAAGTTCAATTGATCCTCCCACCTCTGCCTCACAAGTAGCTGGGCCTGCAGGTGCATGCCACCACGGTCAGCAAGATTTGGGGGTTTTTGTAGAGACAGGGTTTCACCATATTGCCAATGCTGGTCTCAAACTTTCTGGACTCAAGCAATCCACCTGCCTTGACTTCCCAAAGTTCTGGGATCACAGGAGTGAGCCACCAAATATTGCCCTATAATTTTTATAAATGCTCAAAAACCACAAATAGACAAACAACCTGGGAAAATATAATAAAGTCAGAGTCATATATTTTTTTATTTTAAAACATATTGCAAAGTTACAGTAATCAAACAGTGTGGTGCTGGGAAAAAGACAGAAAAATAAATGTTGAAAGAGATAAGAGAAGCCAGAAAGTAACCCACATGCGTATACTCAGCTTATCTTAAACGACGGTTGCAAATCCTCATGTTGCAGAACACTTTCCTTACATCAAAAAAAATTGGGTTCTGGTCACATGACTAGAATATATTAAGTCAGGGACGCTCTGAAGGATGAGGAGTAGAGTTGATTGGGGAAAATGGAAAAAAAAAAAAGAAGAAGAAGAAGAAAACTTTTAACAAAATGAGTTGGAGACCTGTTTACAGGCCCCCACCTCCCAAATTGATGAACACCAGACCATCACAGGAAACTGAAGAGTCCAGGCTTCTCCTCCCTGCACAAGAGGTGAACTTTCCATGGCTCCACTCTCTTCCCCAGTTGTGCAGGTGGATATTACTGAGAGAAAATCAGTTGGAAAAAGGAAGGCTTTATCTGGGGCCAACAGTCTGATTTTTCAGACTTCAGGCTGTTTTAAGCTTGAATGTGTGGTTTTGCCAAGGACCCTTGGCTCTTTTCTAACTCGTTATTTCCCCCCTTTAAATGAGTACATCTGACTGCCATTAGAAGAAGGATAAGGATTAGGACAAAAACAACTTTTAAGTGCTTCCTGCTGAGAGGGGGCACTTTTTTTTTTGGAAAAAAATGGCAATCAGATCTCACTAAGAGGCCTATCTAATTGTCCCCAGTGAAATGGGCCACTGTTCAAGGCTCTGGTTGAGTGACTTTTTGAACTTTGGTAGGCTAAAAATAAAAAGAATCAAACTGGGTTATTAAAAAACATGTACTGAAATGAAACAAGGGGCAAATGGCAAGGTCAGCTCAAAATTTCCAAGGTCTTTTCCCTTGAAAAGGGAAGGTCTTTTCCCATAGAAAGAGGAAGGACAAAAACTCCAATGGAAGAAAAAAAAAATTGTTTGGCCAGCATGTCAGTCTTCTGGGTTCTTTTGCCTTGAGTTCGATCCTAAGCAAACAAGTCTAAATTTTGGGAAATTAACTCTTCCAGGCTTTGAGGATGCATCTGAGGAAAGTGTCCCATAGTATGAAGACATGATTACCTATCTGTAAATAGAGGACAGAGGAGAAAGAAAAAACAAAAAACATTATTTTCAGAGAAGTCCCAAGGGTTTAGTTTGCATTCAAAAGGCACATAGACTGAAGACAAATGGCTACTCATCTAGAAAGAGAGAAGCAGTTGTCCCTGGTTCCTTTCTCTTTCTTGCAAATTTCCAGGGTATGTTGAGGGATAGGAGAAAAAATCTTCTCTTTCCTGCTCCTATTCTTCTATCCCCGAGTCCCAGTGATTGTAACAAGGTCCGTCCATGGGTGTCAAAGCAGCTTTCACCCATGTTAACGGAGAGAACTAGGGTGGTTGAAATGTCTGCTCTTACCCACGTATGCCCTATCTACTCTGCTGTCAGTAGTTCTGGAGTTCACTAGACTTTATTTATGCCAAGGACACTAGCATAATCTTTATCGATGAAATGGGAGGCTTGGCTTAATTGTCTGGAATTTGTCATGCTCACCTGCACTGTGCCTTTTATCCTCCATTATCATCTCCTTCTGGATTTCTCAGATCCGGTGTTATTTCCTAGGGCTTCAACCTGAAGCTTGAAACTGAGGTTGGGACAAAAATGTGGCTCAGGGATTTGCATGGACTCCATATAGTTAGCTGAATTTTTAGATGAAGCTGTGGGATTGAGTCCTCTTTCCACGAGGGAGAGAAATAATGTCTTGTAACACACCCAGATATCTCGTGGCTCTAGTTATGCTTGCTAAGATTTGGGTGGGCACACTATTTATTCCCATAACAATGCAGGGTTTGCAGGATAATTGCCCAGAACTAGAATATTAATCCAGATTTTTACCAGTTTCTTTTCATTTCTTCTGAGCTGCAGTTGAATATCACTAATTGGCTTACAAGAATAAGCCGGTTTGTTCTAAAATGTAGGAAAAATGCAAATCTAATGAGTTTAGGATTTAATGACAACCATATAATTAGTTTTGACAAATAATCTTTTCCATTCAGTTCTTTTGTTGTTGTTGTTAGAAACAAATAATGATAGAACTGAGTTCTTTGTGAAATCAGCTTTAGTCGTATGCTTGGATTCATTATTTACATAAAGCACAGCAAGAAAAATTATTCCTACATAGTTATTTTACATTGGCTTTAATAGAACTCTTCCACAAGAAATTTCAGAGAGGACTTTCTGAAGTCAAACCCAGCCATGGTTTTGTACCATCAGTTAGTTATGAGTTGGGTTATCCTCTTCTCTTATGGTCCCAAAATAAACTTGGAGCCCCTGGGCCTGTCCAAAGTGTCATTCTTTACTTACCACAGATCTGGAACCCTGCACAAGGACTCTGTAGATAAGGTATAAGGCCAGTTTATCCAAGGGGCTATTATTGGCTCTGCAAGTTGAGCTTGACTGCTTAAAGGGAAGCAGAACTTTTCAATCAAGGCCTTGATAAAACAACCAGTTTCTCTAACTGTGTCCTGTTGCAAATAAAATAGACTATTATTACACTGATTCAAACAGCTATATTGCCATAAGTTAAGAACACTCATAACTATTTTTCAAATTCTGAAGAAGCCAGGAAGAGAGAGATAAACATGATTCAAATTTTCTTCACAGGAGTACACCTTACTCAAATATTAAAGGCTGTAAACAGCTCAAAATAAGTTTCCTTGACTATGGTAAACAATACATGAGTCAGTAATGTTACAAGCAAAAATAGGAAAGATTACTTCATGTTTCTATCAGTCCAGTCCATTCAGTTAACTCTTGTTTTGTTTAATATTCATAAACATTTTAGCTCTTCATGGGTCCTGGTAGGTTTTTCCTGTATTCCTGTCACAGCTCCAAAGTTTTCAGAAGCCTGCATTTGTGAGCACCAGTCAAAGTTCTATAGCTGATTAAAAAACATTTTTGGAAAAATGTCAAAACCAGATGACAATTGTCTGTGTTTAACAAAACATCCAGAGTAGTTACAGTCAGAAAGATGATTGACAAAAATTTTGGTTATGTCTATGGTTTGCAATAACTTAACATAACAGCATTAATTGTGGTTGACAGCATATATGTCAGACATTAGAATTTTAGAAATTCCATACAATTTAGGAACATGTATTAGTATTATTCATGAAAATGCCATCTAAAGAATATTGAAAACCATTTTTGGGATTCCTTGTAACTAAACACGTTGTATGATCCTGTATAAAGCTCTCGTGGATACTCCAGGCACCCTCTTTAGCATTCAAAAACCAGGAATTAGGAAAGACCATTTTGTAATCAAAGTTTGATTTTGAGAAGGATATTACATGTTAGGAGTTTGAAATGCTTGATGTTATAAAATAAAATTCCAGATTACCATAAATTATTTATTTAACGAAAATAATGACCTATAAATAAAAAAGCAGAAACTTTTACATTATTTAAAAATTTTCCTTCAGAGCAGATTAGTGCCTTAAGAGTACTTTTTGTGCTTTCATTTCAATGCTCAATTTACAAAAAAACAAAAAACAAAAACAAAAAAACATATAATATCCTCTTGAATTTAATTGATATTCACACACAGAATTTCTTGGAAAGATTTATTTTTACAATTCTTCCATAACTTGTTTGAACTTTCAGCTTTATCATCTGTAATTCAAAACGGTTGTTTGATCCTAGGCAAGAATTTATATTTGCATGCCTTCTTATAATGTTGTATTAAAAACACATTTTACCGTCCTTACACACCTTGTCTGGAAATGTACTTCCAGTGGTTTCAATTACATATTATCACGGTAAATTTTAGCAATTTTAACTTTAATGTAAAGCCAGGTAAATTGTCCTAATTATGTGCTAGGAGCAGCCATAATTAAGGGTGTGTTTAGTTCCATTTTTCCTCAGGCTTGACCAATTGTGAAGCAAAGTTGAACTGTTTTCAAAAACCAAAAAAGCAGTTATAACCTTAAAACATTCAGCAAACCTAGTATCTGACCTGCATAATTTAGTCCACCTACTCACATATTGATGACATTTGTGTTTTACTGATAATCTTAAGGCTGTTTTTATTTCTCAAGCATTAAAGTCATGTGAACTAAAACATACACATCTTTCATCTTTCCTTCAAAAATATTTGATCCAAGTGCTTATCATTTTTTCAGTAAATTTATTGGAGCTCTTTTACACACATACAGTCAGAAGAAAAACCCAGTACCTATAAGATTTTAAATCTGCCAATTTCCTGATTGAATTACTGGCCTCTCATGCATCCATTTTTTTCTTTGCTTGTGTCCCCTTCCTTGACATTTCCATGGCTCCACCTCCTTTTCCCAGTGCGCGTGTGGGCATTACTCAGAGAGAAACAGTCAGGAAAGGGCCGATTTTATCTGAAATCAGCAGTTCAATTTATCAGCCTTTAGGCTGTTTTAGGCTTAAAAGTGGAGTTTTGGCCAGGACTCTTGACTGTCTCCTGTCTCTATTACTCAAAATGAGAAAAGGTCCCTTGGCTATCTCTGGTCTCTATCACTTTACATGAAAAAAGAACAGTTTATTTAACAAATGAGGTAGAGAATACTGAATACTCAAACAAAAAAACAATTTTTGAACCTTACCACAAGGATGAACTTAAAATGAAACAGGACTTATTTTTATAGCTGTTGTAAATAATTTTTTTCTTGAACTTTTCTTTCAGATGGCTCATTCTTGGCATGTAAACATGCTCCTAATTTTGTATGTGAATTTGATATAACGCCACTTTACTGAATTTCTTTATTAATTCTCAAGATTTTTAGTGTACTATTTAGTTCTGCTATATAAAAAATTGTATGATCTGTGATCAGAGACAATCTGAATTTCTCCTTTTTCATTTGGATGTCTTTTATTTCTTTCTCTTGCAAAATGATCAGGCTGAGAATTCCAGTACTCTGTTGAATGAAAGTGGTAAAAGTAGACATCATTGTCTTGTTCCAGATCTCAAAAGAAAAACTTTCCTATTTTCCTGTTCAGTGTGATATCAGCTAATGAATTTCATATTTTGCCTTAATTGTATTCAGGTAGATACCATCTATACCTAATTTCTTCTGTTGTTTTAATCACAAAGGCATGTTAGATTTTTCCAAATACTTTTTTTGCATCTAGAATAAAAAATAAAGGTGCCTAGCAGTAAAACTAATTAAGAAATAAACACTGTCTACACTGTAAATCATAAAACACTTATAAAGAAAGTAAGACATGAAAAGTTTGAGAGATATTTTTGCTCATTAGTTATAAAACATATTGTTAAAATGGCTTTGCCACTCAAGGGCATCTACAGATTCAATGCAAACTCTATAAAATACCAAATGACATTTTTTTCACAGAAATGGAAAAAACAGGCCAAAAATTCATAGAAAACAAAAGAAAACCTCTCCAAATAGCCAAAGTAATCCTATGAAAAAAGAACAACCTGAAAGCATCAAAGCACCTGACTTTAAAATATCCTACAAAGCTACAACAAGCAAAAGAGCATGACACTGGCATAGAAAACAGACACATAGACCAAAGTATGCAGCGATCCCAATAGTAAATTCAGAAACCTAGGGCCAAGTAATTTTTAAGCTGTTTGGAATATGCACTTAAGAAACGACAATCTTTTCAATGAATGGTGCTAGGAAAATTGATTATTTAAATGAATATAACTAGATGTCAACTGGTTACCTACCATATTAAAACAACTTAATTATATATAATTAGAAGACTTAAAGGTACAACTCAATCTTAAAAACTATTTGAATAAAACATAGGGAAATGATTTACAAAATAGGACAGGAAGAAAATGTAAATAAGAACTCAAAAGCATAGGCAACAAAAGCAAAAGCAGGCAAGTGAATTTAACAGAATCTAAAAAATATCACATAGCAAAAATAAATTAATAGAGTAGAGACAACTTACAGTGTGGGAGGATATATTTGCAAAATATACATACGACAAGGGATAATCACACAAAATATATAACAAACACAAAAGCAAAAATAACCAGAATTTAGTAATACATGAGAGACCTTAAGTGAAATTTCTCCAAGGAAGACATACAAATGGCCAAGTACCTGCAAAGATGGTCAACACTATTAATTATTAGAAAAATGCAAATTAAAGCCACAATAAGATACCAGATTACTCCAGTTCAGATGGATATAATCAGAAATAATACGTTAATACGTTCCTGCCACTTTCAACAGGAGGCATTGTGACATATCTCTGGGCCTATTATTTAGGTGATATGACTCTCCTCTTCTGCCTGGAAACTGCCTACAAGGGCCATTGTGCCACAGAGTTAGGCGTAGCCCCAAAGTTATGTGACATTTCTGCCAGGAACTTGCCTGAAAAGAGAATATTGGAATATTTCTGCCTCGGCATTTAGGTTATATGGCTGTCATGCCTGTTTCATTACCACAGAGTAAATTTTGACATATGCCTTGGCACAGCTCACAGGCATCATAATGACTCTGATATGCGGACCCCAGAAACAGGAGTTAATTTGACTTTTGTAACTTGCTCTAGAAACACGAGTGATGTCTTGGATCTCTTTCTGGTAAAAAGGCCACAGAAGATTATAACAGCCTCAGATATTTTATAAAGCCCATGACTTGTACAGAGAGTGTCTTAACAAAACCCAGAAGGATGAAATTGTAAGTTTCACATGCACACCCACCTTAAAGTAAGGACTGTCAGATCTCACATTGTCACTCATGAAAACAGGACATGTGTGGTATTATAAATCTCATCTCTGGTATGTTCTACCAGTGTGAATGTGATACAAATATTTGCAAGCATCTGTGTGATTTGACCCTCTAGATTGGTTTCAGCCCACATAAGGGATTGTGATCTCTACCTGGGCCAACTTCTAGATGATATGACTCTCCTCCCTTGGATGTCCTCTCAGGATTGTGACATATCACTGGATGTAAAACCCAGGTGATGTTACAGCTTCTAGAGGATGTGACCATCCTGCCTTTGCCATTCTCTAAGGATTGTGAAATATTACCAGATCTAACACCCAGATGATGTTACATTCTTGCCTGCGCCATTTCCGCAGACATCATTGTAACATATCACTGTGTCCACCACTTAGGAAATGTAACTCTCCTCTCTGGAAAGGACCCTGAACACAGCAGGTGGTAGTAACATATTGCTAGGCCCAGGCACACAAGTGACGGTACTCTTTTGCCAGGGCTGTGTTTTAAACAGGGCATTGTGACATATCTTTGGGCATATTACCGAGGTGATGTGACTCAAAGCTTGGGCCTCACCCACGTAAGGCACTGTGACATAAAAGTTGAACCTACACCAAGGTGATGTAACTCTTTCACCTTGATTCTATCCTAAGGGAGCCTTGCAACATATCTCAGGACCCAACACCCGGGTGATGTGGTTCTTCTGCTTGGTTTCTGTCTATGTCTTATACTGTGACGTATACCTAAAGAAGAACCTAGGTGATAAGACTCTCCTTTTCTGCCTGAGTCCTGCCTAATGGGGACACTGGGACATATCTCTGAGGCCATAACCTAACTGACATGACTCTCTTTCCCTGCCTGGGCCTTTCAAATGGTGGAATTGTGACATATTGCTGAGCACAGCATTTAGGTCATGTGACTCTCCTGTTTTTATCTGAACCGTGCCCACAAAGAAAAATTTTGACGATTTGCACACAGAGGATGTTACACTTCTGCTACGACACTGAATAAAGAGGGAATTATTGCATACTGGTGGGCCCAGCAGCCTGATGATGCTACTGTCCTGCCTGTGCCAGAGCCACAGAGGGTATTTTGACATATCTTCGTCCCATTCTGTAGGTGTTTTAGCTCTTATCCCTTGGCTAACTTTTTCTACATGTGGAATTGAGTGATACTGCTGGACGCAGCACCCAGTTAATGGCCATTTGGCCACCTTCAAACCACACTGAGACGGAAGCTCGGCTTTTGTGCAGTCCAGCAGTACAGAGAAACAGCAACCCAAAGTGTTGGGTTGGGGTTGCTTCTTCCCAGAGACCAAAGCATACCACCTCCTCCGCTATCCTAGTGTGGGAAGGAGGGTCAGGATGCACATGCATCAAGCACCCAGTGCCCAGCAATCACTACCACAGGCAGCAGGGAGATGAGGCAGAAAGGGTGAGGAAAGTAGCAGTTGGAATGTGTGTGTGCAGAAAAGCTACTAACCCTCTTATTTCAGCCACAGTTAGCTCACTGCAAGCAACAGAAATCCACTCTGGGAAACCTAAGCCAAAAGGAAGATAAACTGAAGAACCAGAAGACAGAAAGGGAAGAAGGGGGATGGTGGCAGAAGGTACTTTGTGGGAGAGATGGATCTTTCTCAAACCTTTTATCCCTGCCTGTTATTTAATCATGATTGGGTTCTTTGGGAAGAGGGTACGGCTGGCCAGGGGAGAGCAGGATACCGTGAGTGGTAGCTTCCAGGCATCTGTCTACCAACACAGGGGAAGGAAGCACGTCCCTCAAAGAAAGCCAGGATGCTGGCACCAGAAAAAGGGCGAAGGATGCTGAGCATGGGGAGGACAGAGATGTCTCTTCTCTCTTTGGGACTGTATCTTGTCACCTGTAAAATGGGGGAAAACTGTGGCTACATTGTGAAAATTTAATGAGATAAAACAGCACAGTGTGGCTTATGGGAAGTCCCTAATATATAATAATTTTAAATAATTGTAGCTAAATAATTTTAGCTTATCATCTTAATTTTTGATTCAGCTCTCTCTGAATTTTACATCCTAGCACAGATCAATGATCTTGCAACTCCAACCACACCATTTTGCAATTCTGAACCTCTACCTAGAGAAAGCAGTGGATCTTTATACATTCGACACAGCCCTTCCCTCTAGAGTAATAAAAAATAAACCTAGTTTTGCATAAGTCTTTTTCTGTAGGCTGGGTCTCTGGAGTAAGTGAACCCCATGGCCAATCCATCTGAAGTCAAGGTTAATAGGGCCGTGATACTAAAGATGTGGTATTAAAGATCTCCTTCTGGTACCGCATTCTTTATGATGCATGGCCAATTACCCACTAAGGAAGATACTGCAGCCGTAGCAATTTTATCCCAAAAGCATGTCATTTTATTTTTATTCCCACTGACAAGCACATACCTCTTTAAATAAAAAAAAAAAGAAAACGAAAGTGACTATTGCTCAAACTTACATTTTGCCCACACATTTTTCAACTCTTGGGATTGTATATTCCAGTCCGGATATGGGCACTAACCAAGCCTTTCCTGATGGATGGGCTTGGCTGTTTTCTCCATGGTTTCTTGGCTCAAATTTTTGGCAAATTACATGTTTTTGCTTAGTTTTTGGGCAAAACTAGATGTTTCTGTGGCTTTGCAGTTTTTCTCCACCAAAAGCATGAAATTTGACCAATTATTTACTGATAGAGTTATGGAAAGATGAAGCTGTGGCAGATTTCAAGTTTCAAAATCCATCTCTGGTTAATTTGTTTGAAATAATTGACTATAGGATATGGTAGATATCAATTATATGACAAACCTTTTAGGTTTTGTTTAATGTTAAAAATAAAGTGATAATGCTGGCCTTAGCATATTAATTAATGACTTTCGTTTTCATCCTAAGAACAATGGGAGCACATTAATCTTTGGCAGAAGATAAAGTGACCAGATTTGTGTTTTAACAGGTCTCTGTAGCTATTGAAAATGGACTGGAGAAGACGAATTGGAGTGAGAAGAGAGTGACAGAATCAGATAAAAATGTGCCATGTTACTATGAGCAGGAGATGAGGCAGCCTCAACCAATATGGTGCAGAGAGAAGAAAATCACTTGAGAGAATGGATTAAACTGGGTGGTTAGCAAAGAGAACTGAATCGAAAATTATGATAGTAAGCTAAATAATTTTACACACAAAAAGGCAGAGTTGCATTCACAATTAGTCTCTTCAGACTGAATATTACAGCCAAATTATAACAATTGGTGTTGCAATCACTTCCCTTGGGTTTGTATCCAAGGTTAAGAATGTCAGCATCCAGAGGTCCAAATTCTTCTTCTTTTTTTTTTTTTTTTTTTGAGAGGCCCAGAGGCCCAAATTCTTAATGTTTTTAGATGATAAAGTTTATTCAAGGTAGACTGTCTGTGTTGAATAATTTAGCCTCTTACAAATTTCAAGAAAAAATCTATTGTCCCTCTTCTCCACCACAGACACACTTTAATTGAACATTAAGCATATTTATTAAAGAAACATTCTCTTTTGCTTTTTCTCCCAAGAGAGATGGTGTTCTTACTCAGAGTTATAAGTGTCAGAATAAAGAATGCCCATGAGGTTGAATTGTATGATGCTACGGTAAAGTGAAATAAACATTCTCAAAAACATGATTATGACTTACAAACAAACAAACAAAAACCAACAAACAACTTTCTGTCGAGGAATTACGCTTTTGGGACAGAAACTTTCCTTTAAATTTGAACAGCTGCATGCCGACAAAGAATATGAAAAAGGCACAACACACCGATTATGAAAACATGACTACACTTTAAGAGAACACAGAATTTTTCAGATCCATCTTAAATCTCAGGAGTTCTAGACCGAGACAGGAATGAGTGCTCTTGTTGCTAAAATCACTCTGATGTGCTTCTTGTTAAACAATTCACTCAGCAACATTACAGATTAGCACACACACACAAAAATTGTTTGTAGGTGAAAAATTGTTTGGAAAAGGACACCTTATTAGCCATGTTATCTACTTACAAATAAAAGCCGATTTTTGGCTCTCCTGAATGAAAAGAAGGGTAATTGGAGGATATCTGGGGCTTACTAACTTGATTTTAGGCCAGGGGTGTCCCAGAATCAGGGAGCTCCTGAAGAGGGGCCTTGTCATAGGAACTACCTGATCTGAGCTTCTCCTCAGTCCGAGATGTACCAAGGCCACTGCTTGCCCCGTGTTTACAGGATTCAGAGTCTTCAGGGAAAGTTGAGCCCAAGTGGTAGAGTCTTCTTCCCCAGCTGTGTTCTCACCTCCCAAAGCCCCACACAATGGAAAATCCCTCAAGAGGAGGCAGTCACAGAGAGAAGTGGAGGCCAGGTGGCCTCCAAATGATCAATGTCATACAGGGCTCCTGTCTGCTCTACGGCCACCTCTCAAGTTGTTCTTTCCTAGGTTCCTTCTTAAATTTGATAGATTTATCCAAAACAGGTATGAATTCAGATCCTACCAATTTAATATTGCAAGAACTCACCCAGGGGAAGGAATAGAGCTTAACAGTAATGTTGAAAAAGAAAAAGGAAATTTTTAATAAACAAAAGGTATCAATAAAATGGAGGACTCTTTATCTACTTAATTAACTGTTTGGTGACCCTGATGAATTTAATGATACTCAAACCACCTAAGTAAGTGAGCTACTGGGACTGAAATTTTGGCTCTCTCTCTCTCTTTCTTTTTTTTAGAGAGGGTCTTGCTCTGTCATCCAGGCTGGAGTGCAGTGACATGATCAAATCTCACTGCAGCCTCCAAATCTCAGGCTCCAGCAATCCTCTCATCTCAGCCTCTCAGATAGTCAGGACTACAGGTACATGCCACCATATCTGGCAATTTTTTAATTTTTATTTTTTGTAGAGACAGGGGCTCACTGTGTTGCCCTGGCTCAAACTTCTAGCCTCAAGTTATCTTTCCATCACAGTCACCCATAGTACTGGGATTACTGGCACGATCCCCTGTGCCTGGCCTTTCTTTGTTAAAATTCGCCTCTAAGTGGCAGCCCTTGAAATGTATTTCTAAACTGCTGTGAACAATTAAGTTTGATTTTTTTAAAAAAGTAAGAAGAAACCCGATTATTCAGACCTTGCACTAATTCAGGCTTTCCTTCCTACCAACCAGCCCCTTTTAAGATGGTCTCATGAGTTATTAGCATCTTCATCAATGTGTCAACAAGAATGACTACCTACATCTGCACAACAGTTTTCAAGATATTTCCATGGTTATTATTCTCTTATCTGGCCCCACCCACATCCTGCTGATTGGTCCATTTTAGAGAGAGCCGATTGGTCTGTTTTACAGAGCGCTGAATGGTCTGTTTTGACAGGGTGCTGACTGGTGCATTTACAATCCCTGAGCTAGACAAAGAGGTTCTCCACATCCCCACTAGATTAGCTACATAGAGAGTGTCGATTGGTGTATTTACAAATCCTGAGCTAGACACAGAGTGCTGATTGGTGCATTTACAAACCTTGAGCTAGATACAGGGAGCCAACTGGTGCATTCACAATCCCTTAGCTAGACATAAAGATTCCCCAAGTCCCCACCAGATTAGCTAGACACAGAGCTCTGATTGCTACACTTACAAACCTTTAGCTAGACACAGAGTGCTGACTGGTGCATTCACAATCCCTTAGCTTGACATAAAGGTTCTCCAAGTCCCCACTAGATTAGCTAGATACAGAGTGCCAATTGGTGCATCCACTAACCCTGAGCTAGACACAGTGTGCTGATTGGTGTGTTTACAAACCTTGAGCTAGATACAGAGTGCTGATTGGTGTATTCACAATCCCTTAGCTAGACATAAAGATTCTCCAAGTCCCCACCAGATTAGCCAGATACAGAGTGCCGGTTGGTACATCCACAAATCCTGAGCTAGACAGAGGGTGCTGATTGGTGTGTTCACAAACCTTGAGCTAGATACAGAGTGCTGATTGGTGTATTCACAATCCCTTAGCTAGACATAAACACTCTCCAAGTCCCCACCAGATTAGCTAGATACAGAGTGCCGGTTGGTGCATCCACAAACCCTGAGCTAGACACAGGGCGCTGATTGGTGTGTTCACAAACCTTGAGCTAGACACAGTGTGCTGATTGGTGCACTCACAATCCCTTAGCTAGACACAGAGGTTCTCCAAGTCCCCACTAGACTCAGGAGCCCAGCTGGCCTCACCCAGTGGATCTTATACCAGGGCCACAGGTGGAGCTGCCCGCCAGTCACTCACCGTGCGCCTGCACTCCTCAGCCCTTGGGCGGCCGATGGGACCAGGCACCATGGAGTAGGGGGTGGCGCTCGTCCAGGAGGCTCAGGCCATGCAGGAGCCCATGGCGGTTGGGGGAGACTCAGGCATGGTGGGCTGCAGGTCCCAAGCCCTGCCCCGTGGGGAGGCAGCTAAGGCCGGGTGAGAAATCCAGCACAGCGCTGGTGGGTCAGCACTGCTGGGGGACCCGGCACACCCTCTGCAGCTGCTGGCCTGGGTACTAAGTCCCTCACTGCCTGGGGCTGGCAGGGCTGGCCGGCCACTGCAAGTGCAGGGATCAGCAAGCCCACACCCACCCAGAACTCTAGCTGGCCCACAAGCACTGCACGCAGCCCTGGCTCCCACCCCTGCCTCTCCCTCCACACCTCCCCGCAAGCTGAGGGAGCTGGCTCCGGCCTCGGCCAGCCCACACAAGGGCTCCCATGGTGCAGTGGAAGGCTGAAGGGCTCCTCAAGCATGGCCAGAATGGGCGCTGAGGCTGAGGAGGCACCGAGAGTGAGCCAGGGCTGTCAGCATGCTGTCACCTCTCAATCCCCCCTGGCAGTTTTGGAGAGTCACTGCTGCCAAAGAGTCTATTTGGGATTATAAAGTAAGAACAGATTTCGCTATTTCTTGCAAACTGTCTGAGATATCCTTGGAGAGTGTGTGGTAGTAGGATAATGAAGTAGATAAACCACATATTCTGGTTCCTGTAGCCATAGCCATTCCTAACCCTTTAAGGAGGGGTATTAGTTGTATGGCTCTGCACTGACAGACTTGAGCTTTGAGGGGTACTGATAAGGTCTGATTTCCTGCGGCAATGATAATGTTGGGACTTAGACTAAGGTGCAGGTGCCTGTCAAGTTAGTGGGGAGGCAGATACAGGTCGTTGTTCCACATAAGAAGAATCTGCCTTGTCTGGGTAGACAGAACTTAACCCTGGCTTTTAAAGGAATAGTGTACACTGTTTTTTTTTCTTTACTATTTCTTTCTCTCTCTTTCTCTCTTCAACTCCTTCTTTGTCTCTTCCTCTCTTTTTAACTCTCTCTTTGACTTTCTGTGTCTGTCCCTCTTTCTCTCTGACTCCTTCTCTTTGTCCCTCTGTTCCTTCCTCTCTCTCTCTCTTTCTCTGACTTTCTTTTTCTCTCCTTCTTGCTGGTCTTTCCCTACCTCTGCCAGTCACTCATGCTGCTGTTCTCCCCTCTTCTTCCCATTTTGATGGCTTTGGCAGTGTAAGAGTGCCACCTACTTGTGTTTTTGCATTGCATGCAATAATTCTATAATTTCCTTGTGGCATTTAACAGGGGTTCCCCCAGAGGTTAGGAACTCCCTCTCTTTCCATATTGCAGCATGGGCATGTAGGATTAGATAAGCATATTTGCTATCTGTATACACATTTATTCTTTTTCCCTTTCCCAGTTCTAAGGCTCGGGTAAGTGCCACTAGTGCTGCTAACTGGGCACTGGTCCCTGGGGGAAGAGGCTTACTTTCAAGTATGGATACATCACTAACTATGGCATAACCTGCCCTTCGTATCCCATTCTCCATAAATGAACTTCCGTCGGTATATAGGTTAAGGTCAGGATTAGTTAAAGGGACTTCTAAGAGATCATCTCAGGCGGCAAAAGTCTGGACTATAATTTGTTGGCAGTCATGCTCGATTGGTTCCCCATCCTCTGGGAGAAAAGTGGCAGGGTTGAGGGCCATGCACATGAGTATTTGAAGCGCCAGTCCCTCAAGGAGTAGCACCTGGTATCTAAGTAGGTGGTTGTCTGATAGCCACAAACTTCCTTTGGCACCTAGTATGCCATTTACATCATGAGTAGTCCAGACAGTGAGATCCTTTCCTTGTATTATTTTGATAGCCTCTGACACTAAGACGGCCACTGCTGCAGCTACCCTTAAACAGTGAGGGCAGCCTTTTGCTACTACATCAATTTCCTTACCTAGGTATGCCCCTGGTTGTGGGGTTGTCCCACGAGTCTGAGTAATGACTCCAAGAGCTATCCTAGCTCTCTTTGTGAAGTATAAAGAGAAGTTTTGTCCTGTGGGAAGGCTTAAAGCTGGAGCTTCTACTAGGGCCTGCTTTAAGGTTTTGAAGGCTGTTTCTGCCTCTGGTTCCCATTCTACTAGATGAGTATTTGCCTTCTGGGTTTCCTTGATTAGAGTATAGAGGGGCCTGGCTATCTTGTTGCATCTGGGGATCCACAGTCGGCAAAAGCCAGTAATTCCAAGGAACCCCGCAACTGTTTTAATGTTTTAGGGTGGGGATAAGCCAGTAGAGGCTGTATTCATTCCTTGCTGAGGGCCCTGGTCCCTCTGGCTAAGATTAGGCCTAGATATTTGACCTGCTCTAGGCAAAGCTGGGCCTTCGACCTAGACACCTTGTACCCTTGATTAGCTAGAAAGTTCAAGAGATCTAGAGTAGCCTGCTGGCATGAGGCTTCCAAACTGGTAGCCAAAATAAATCATCCACATACCAAAGGACCAGAGTGCCTGGACTTGAGAAGTGGCCAAGATCTTGGGCCAGTGCCTGATCAAACAGGTGAGGGCTATCCCTAAACCCTTGGGGCAAGACCGTCCATGTTAAGTTGGGACATGTGGTTTGTGGGATCCTCAAAGGCAAAGAGGAACTGGGAGTCAGAGTGCAGGGGAATACAGAAGAAGGCATCCTTGAGGTCCAGAAGCATGAACCATTTTGCTTCCTCTGGTATTTGAGAGCAGGGTATCGGGGTTGGGTACAACTGGATATAGAGGAATTACTGCCTCATTGATGAGTCTAAGATCTTGCACTAGTCTCCACTGACCGTTTGCTTTTCCTACTCCTAGGATTGGGGTGTTGCAGGGATGGCTGCATTTCCTTACTGAGCCTTGAGCTTTCAAATGTTTAACAATATTCTGTAGCCCTTTATTAGCTTCAGGCCTTAAGGGATAGTCTTTGATAAGGAAAAGTGGTGGGATCTTTTAAACTGATTTGGACTGGGTGGGCATTTTTTGCCCTTCCAAATTGTCCTTCCAATGCCCAGACTTCAGGGTTGATTCCCTCCTCAAGTAGGGGACAACAAATGGGTAAGTTCTTCCCCATATTCATGTAGATAATAGCTCCAGCCTTGGCTAATATACCCCTCCCTAATAAGGGTGTGGGACTTTCAGGCATAACAAGAAAGGGATGTGAAAAGACCAAAGTCTCCCAATTACAACTCAGGAGGTGGGAGAAATACCTGGTAACAGGTTGTCCCAGGATTCCTCAGATGGTAACGGACCTTGAGGACAGTCGTCCAGGACCAGAGATTAACACTGAGAATGCCGCACCAGTGTCCAGGATGAAGTCAATTTCCGGGCCCTCAATAGTTAAACATACCCGGGGCTCAGTGTGGGTGATGGCATGAGCTGGTGCTTGCCCGGGGCACCCTCAGTCCTGTTGTTGGATTATCTGGTTGGGGGCTTCTGACCCAGGAAAACTTCATCCTCTGGGGCAGTGCACCTTCCAGTGATTGTCTCAGTGTAGTGGACATGGACGAGGGGGCAGCTTGTTTCTCATTGGACAATCTTTTTTAACGTGTCCTAGTAAGCCACACTGATAACAAGCCCTACCAGGTGATTGGACTGCTCCATTTTCTGTCCTCTCTGAATCACCAAGGTTTGTTTATCTCAGGGCCAGGACTAAGGCTGCAGCCTTTCTCTGACCTCGCTTTTCCTTTTGGGCCTGTTCCTCTTGGTCCCTATTATAGAACGACGAGGTTTGCCAGGTTTAATAATGCCTCTAGATTTTGTTCAGGGCCCAGGGCTTGCTTTTGGAGCTTTCTCCTGATAGCTGTGGCTGATTGGGTAATAAATTTATCTTTTAGAATCAATTGACCCTCGAGGGATTCAGGCGAGAGGGGAGTATATATTCTTAAGACCTCTCGTAGCTGCTCGAGGAAGGCAGAAGGATTTTATTCCTTTCCCTGTGTTATGGTGGACATCACTGAATAATTCATGGGCTTTTTTCTAATCCTCCGTAGTCCCTCTAGAACACAGGTCAACAGATGTTTACAACTCCAGTCCCCATGATCTGAGTCAAGGTCCCAGTGGGGATCCATACTGGGGATGGCTTGCTGACCAGTAGGGAATTTGTGCCTTTCTTCAGCTGTCATTCTATCATTTACTGACTAAGATACCAGGTATCTCCAAACTCTCAGGCTGCAGCTAAAGCCACATTCTTTTCATTAAAGACCAGGGTTTGATCTAAGAGTAGCATGACATCTCTCCAAGCGAGGTCAAAGGTTTGCCCTAGACCCTGTAGGACATCTACGTACCTATCAGGATCATCTGAAAACTTCCCCAGGTCTGCCTTGATCTGCTTTAAATCAGAGAGGGAGAAGGGGACATGCACCTGGGTTGGGCCAAGTTCTCTGCCCCCTACAGCTTGAAGGGGACATAACCGATTGCCTGGGGGGCGGGTTGTGGTCCTCTGGAGATTTCTTTGCTTATTTCCTTCTGGGCAGGGGAGATTAGAGGAGGATTATCATTCATAGGAAGGGGAGCTATAGGGAGGCTAGGATATGGGGGTAAGCTGAGAGGTCCTCCTGTGGGATGTAAATTGTAAGCTTTGCATAGTTGTGTATTCTCCCTCAATGAAAAGAAAGCTTGGACATAAGGTATTTCACTCCATTTGCCTTCCCTCTTACAGAAAAGGTCAGGATGCAGGATAGTATTGTAATTTCTACTTCCCTCACGTGGCCATTTTTCCCCATCAAAGAGGGAATATTGGGACCAAGCCGTAGTGCAGAAAAAAAATGAGCCACCTCTTTTTCAGGGTTTGTGGGTTAAATTGGTCCCAATGGTTTAGCATGCATTTCAAGGGTGAGCCTGTTGATGCCTGAGTGTTTCCCATCTGAAAGACAAAACCGCCTGCGGTTTTGGTTTGTTTTGTTTCTCCCCCTGCCCTAGAACCCGCAACGGTCCCTGGACCCTGCTGATCAGAATAGTTGCACTCACCAACGCATCAGCAGAAACAACCCCTGCCCAGGAACCCACAATGGTCCCTGGACCCTGCTGGTCAGAATAGTTGTGCTCACCGACGCTGCAGCGGAAACACTAGCTTTCCTTCCAGACCACATGGAGGACTGAGGAAGGTCGGTCCTTACCGATGCATTCTCAAAAACCTGCACCCTTGCCTGTCCTCCTAGACCACAAAGAGGACAGACTGAGAAAAATCGGATTTAGTGGCCCTTACCGACACATTCTTAAAAACCTGTTAGAGTCCTAAGCATTCACCTTTTAGTGTTGGGACTTTACCCCTGTCCTATACAGATGTTATGCCCCAAAAATGAAGTGGAGGGCCATACCCTGAGGGAGGGAGGGGATCTCCAGGGTGGAAGAGTGACACATTTTGTCCTCACTTACATGAATAGGAAGGATACAATTTCTGAGGCTCCCCATATCCTAGCTTCAGGAATAGTTTTTGTTAGGCCTATTAGTCGGAGGAGGGATCCTAAAATTCCAGGTAGTCCCCACTACGACAGGGCTTTGGGCAAAAGTTATGTCTTTCTGATTGGTGAGCCCAGGTGCCTGAAGAAAGTAACAGAGTCCTGGACTTTATACTAGAAATCATTCTTATAGGAGAAACTAGAAAAGCACCAGAGACAGGTAACAATTTTTAGAAGGAGGACTAACCTCAGAGAAGAGAGTCAAGAGGAAGTTTGTGTGGCAAGCATTTGGACACAGAGGGCAAGGGTCAGGGATAGATAAGATAGATGGGTGAGTCTCGCTTGGGCGACATGCCTTTGAGAGTTCCACTCATGGCCGTAGGGTCAACCAACGTGTTGTCGGGACCCCGGAGCTGAATGGCTTTCCTCTCTGTTGACCCTCGGCTGAGCCCAGAAGTACAGGAAAAGCAGAAGCTTGTTCTAGGCAAACCAACGCTCCCAACTCCGAAGAGCTGGGGGTTGTTAGAGAGCCCATTTCCAGAAAGCCTGACACCCGTGTCTTTAGTCCGGTGGCCACACTAGTCGCTTTTAGCTGGCCGACAGGTGCCCGATATTTAACCCCCGAATTCTAAGGAAAATAGGATAGAATAGCAAGTGAAAGGGGTCTGATGGTACTCACTGCTTGGTGACAGGCGACAGTCTCACCGCTTGGCGATAGTCCCTTCGTGGTCACCAAAATGTGTCCGGAATTGGTGGGTTCTTGGTCTCACTGACTTCAAGAATGAAGCCGTGGACCCTTGTGGTGAGTGTTACAGTTCTTAAAGGCAGCATGTCCGGAGATTTTCCCTTCTGGTGTGCGGATGTGTTTGGAGTTTCTTCCTTCTGGTGGGTTTGTGGTCTCGCTGGCTGATGAGTGAAGCTGCAGACTTTCGCGGTGAGTGTTACAGCACTTAAGGCAGCACGTCTGGAGTTGTTCGTTCCTCCCAGTGGGTTCATGGTCTCGCTGGCTTCAGGAGTGAAGCTCCAGACCTTTGCAGTGAGTGTCACAGCTCATAAAGGCAGTGTGGACCCAAAGAGTGAGCAGTAGCAAGATTTATTGCAAAGAGCAAAAGAACAAAGCTTCCACAGAGTGGAAGGGGACCCGAGCAGGTTGCCACTGTGGGCTCAGGCAGCCTGCTTTTATTCTGTTATCTGACCCCACCCACATCCTGCTGATTGGTCCATTTTAGAGAGAGCCGATTGGTCTGTTTTACAGAGAGCCAATTGGTCTGTTTTACAGAGAGCTGATTGGTCTGTTTTGACAGGGTGCCGATTGGTGCATTTACAATCCCTGAGCTAGACGCAAATGTTCTCCACCTCCCCACTAGATTAGCTAGATACAGAGTGTCGATTGGTGTATTTAAAAACCCTGAGCTAGACACAGAGTGCTGATTGGTGCATTTACAAACCTTGAGCTAGATACAGAGTGCCGACTGGTGCATTCACAATCCCTTAGCTAGACATAAAGATTTTCCAAGTCCCCACCAGATTAGCTAGATACAGAGCTCTGATTTGGTGCATTTACAAACCTTGAGCTAGACACAGAGTGTGGACTGGTGCAGTCACAATCCCTTAGCTGGACATAAAGATGCTCCAAGTCCCCACCAGATTAGCTAGATACAGAGTGTCGGTTGGTGCATCCACAAACCCTGAGCTAGACAAAGGGTGCTGACTGGTGTGTTCACAAACCTTGAGCTAGACACAGAGTGCTCATTGGTGCACTCACAATCCCTTAGCTAGACACAAAGGTTCTCCAAGTCCCCACTAGATTCAGGAGCCCAGCTGGCCTCACCCAGTGGATTTCACACCGGGAGGCAGGTGGAGCTGCCCACCAGTCCCTCACCATGCACCCACACTCCTCAGCCCTTGAGTGGTCAATGGGACCGGGTGCCCTTGAACAGGGGGCGGTGCTCACTGGGGAGGCTCAGGCCAGGCAGGAACCCATGGTGGGGAGGGGGGGTGATGGCGGGGACTGAGGGGGGTGGCAGGAGGGATTGGGTGGGTGGGAGCGGTTGGGGGGGGCGGTTTTGTGAGGACAGCGGCGGAGGGCGGGCGGCGGTACGGGTGTGGAGCCTCAGGCATGGGGGGCTGCACGTCTGGAGCCCTACCGCACGGGGAGGCAGCTAAGGCCCGGCGAGAAATCGAGGGCAGCACCAGTGGGCCAGCCGTGCTGGGGGACCCGGTGCACCCTCACAGCTGCTGGCCTGGGTGCTAAGCACCTCACTGCCTGGGTACAGCAGGGCCGTCTGGCTGGCTGCTCCGAGTGCGGGCCTGCCAAGCCCACACCCACCCGGAACTCAAGCGGGCCCGCAAGCGCCGGGAGCAGCCCCGGATCCCCCCGCCGTGCCTCCCCCTCCATACCTCCCACAAGCGGAGGGAGCCGCCTCCAGCCTCGGCCAGCCCAGAGAAGAGCTCCCATGGTGCAGCGGCAGGCTGAAGGGCTCCTCAAGTGCAGCCAGAATGAGCACTGGGGCCGGGGAGGCACCGCGAGCAAGCGAGGGCTGCCAGCACGCTGTCACCTCTCACTAAGACAGAGATTCTCAAGTTTTTCCAGTTCACAGCTCCCCTAGTATCTCTATAATTTTTTCATGGCACATACAGGTCAAAATAAATACCCCAAAATTTGTTTATGAATTAGTCAGGCCCAAATAATTTACCAATTATTTATGTCCTGAAAACACAGTGGCCACTTCAGGAAAAAATAATACAGACAGACTGAAGTAAAAATACATTTACTTTATTTTCAAATGATCACAATTTTTTTTTTTTTTTTTTTTTTTTTTTTGAGACGGAGTCTCACTCTGTTGCCCAGGCCGGAGTGCAGTGGGCCAATCTCGGCTCACTGCAATCTCCGCCTCCCGGGTTCACACCATTGTCCTGCGTCAGCCTCCCGAGTAGCTGGGATCACAGGCGCCGGCCACCATGCCTGGCTGTTTTTTCTTTTTTTTTTGTATTTTTAGTGGAGACGGGGTTTCACCGTGTTAGCCAGGATGGTCTCAATCTCCTGACCTCATGATCCGCCCACCTCGGCCTCCGAAAGCGCTGGGATTACAGGCAGGAGCCACCGTGCCCAGCCACAATTTCTTAATAATGTGAGGTGTGTGCCTGTTGGGCACTGAACAATTACTCAGACCTTGGACTCAGATTGGATACTGCCATTCTCATTTCCTATTTCACGTTGATTTTTTTCACAATGCGTCTTTTTTATCATAGCAACTGTCTGAAACTCAGATACTGTGCAAAACCATCAAAACCAGTGTTTTTGCACAGTATCTGACGGATGTTAATGAGTTTCCTTCAAAAGTCTAAACTACCTTGCAGTGTTCTGATGTGTTCACTGAGGCACCTCAGAGAGCCTCAGCAACAATTTGAGAACCATGGCATACAAGTCACCATGCTATGTCTAGATATGGCTGTGCTGGAGGAGTAATGCCTTCTAACCTGCCTAGCAGTCACTTCCTCTGTCCTTTACAGGCTCCTGTGTCATGCCAGGAGGACAAAGGGCTGATGATTTGACCAGCAGTTTCCTGGCTACCATTCCTCAGCCAGGAGGAACCAAGCTTCCCAACATGAAGCAAAACCAAACCCATTTAAAAAGTAAAGGTGATGATGGTAGGCTCCTGCATGTTTTCTGAAATTACCTATATTCCTCTCATCCTGTGCTCACAGGCATGTGACATAGGTAAGACTGAAAACTGGATTGAATTGTGAGGAAAGAACAAGTTTTCCCCAGCTCCCAAGCACGTCCCATCTGAATACTGGAAACTATGTGTAAATCTTAAACAGCAGGGTGTGGAGGAGAATCCGTTCAAATTAGAGTCGAATGTTATGAAGACATCCCAGGATCCTCCTGGGGAAGGAGATCTGAACCATCAGGCACCTGAAGAACTGCTTGGTGGCGAGGTAGTGTCGAGGCATTTCAGTGTGGTTAGTGCTACACATAGCCTCTATGCAGATGGGTGAGAAGCCTGATTGTCTTTGACTAAGACTGAATTTGGTTCCACTTCAAACTCTTATTCTACTGCATGGTAGAAATGAAATAGCAGGCAGTTCAGGCTTTCCCATGATGTTACACAAAACAATATGAAATTGCTGCTATTTGATCATTTCTAAACTATAAAAATTGCAACTACATATGGCCCAGATGATAATTTGTCTCCATCACTCCCAGGGTTTGTGACAGTCATGATCCCAGGGGCCACCTGGTTTCCATCACCACCCACTCTGTTGTGCCTCCGAGATGTCCTTGCTCTCCTATGCTCTCCATCACTGGTCCACGAAGACCTCATCTGCCTTAGCCCCATCAGCCAGGGCTTTCTGAGGCTGGAGTGAATCATCTCAGCAATTCCCACATCTCCCTTGGGTGCTGCTATGAAAGGTCTGTGACAGGAATGAGGCACAGTCCCTTTTCTCAGTGACATTTACCAACAGCCAAACTCTCGTGGTCCCTAGTCTCTGTTCTCTCCCGCTCTCTGGAGTGAGAAGAACCAGTTCTTCCAACTTTATTTACTCTTCCAAGTCAAATGCTTCTGGCATCAACTTAGTACCTGAACTGTAAGGGTCAGGGTTTTAAGCTCCTGCATCTCAAACCTTTGGTGTGGAAACAGAAAACATGAGTTTCTCTTCATATTCCCCAGCATCCCTCCTTTTAGACAGCAGATACCTCCCAGTGTAGCTCCAATGGGAGAAAGCCCTTGGGGTGAAAATAGTGAGGAAATCAGGACCCGCGCATCACCTTGGTGTGCAGTGGGTGTCTGGCTCCTCTCATGCCTGGGTCTTGTCCAGGTGTGTGGGATGCACCTGACAGGGAAAGTCCTGACCTCTCATTTCCAAGCTGTGTAACCCTGGGCAAGCCACTGACCTCTCTCCAAACATCAGTTTCCTCAGGCCCTCAGAGTTAGAAAACATACTGCCAGCAGGCCCAAGGCTCATCCTGTATGGTCAAATACAGTCAAGCAGAGAGAGAAAAATCTTCTGGATTCAATGCAAATGCAACAACTTCCTGTTGCATTAGGAGTAGCAAGACTGGCTGGCTTTCTAAAAGCTTAGAGATATTATTTTTGAAGCTATCTGTGTATACTTTATTCCCTTTCATACATACCCCTCCTGGCTGACCCAAATGAAAAAAGATACGAAACTCGTTTCTGGCCCGGCTCTTGCCTGCTCAGATGGAATGTGTGGTGATACGCCCATTTTTCCGCTCAGCTGTATTCCTGTTTATTCCTGTGAACACATGGTCTCTGTAATTGGCAATAATTTTTTTCTTTGGGATATTTACCTTCCTTTTGTGGGACAGCCCAGATTCTTGGGTGGATTCGTTTCCCACTCAATTACCAGAAAAGGGCACAATGTGATTGGGAGAACTACGTGGAAGAAAGCTCAGCTCCCAGGCCCTCACACAAGCAACTCTGTGCTCCCATCTATGTCAGAGCCTGGGGACTATGAGGAGATTGCAACGGAACATCCTGTCCCCTCCACCAACATTCTTTCCCCACGAAGCAGTGGCATTTTCTTTTGTGTTCTCACACAATTCAGACTAGGTGGAGTAGCCTGTACGGAATGACTGGAATGACCCTACTGAGCAGAAGTGTTCCCCTTCTCCCTTGCCAAAACTGTGGGCTGAGAGAGAACCCGCCTGATAGCCCCCTGCTTTGGAGGTGTTTCTGCGGTGGTCCTTTTAAAAAGGGTGTATTCGGGGCATGGGTTGAAACACCAAGCAAGTGTAAATCACAGGCTTCACACACTTGCCTTTTGGGAGGCAGGTCAGCTCCAACCTGCAGCAGCTGAGAAAGAATACATAGGGGTCCTTGAGGACAGAGAGCTTTGTTGATGACCAGCCTTAGGGTATAGGAGAAAGAGAAAGGCCGGAGCAGCCACAGCCACTTCTCTGTGCCCAGCAGTGTAGCCACCCGCCTAGCAATGCTCCAGCCATGCAGAATGGGCCTGCCTCCTCTCTGCCTTGTCCTGAGGATGGAGATATCTCTGACCTGGAGGTCCTAGGACCTCACTTCCTAAATGTGTGACCCTAGATAAGTTGCTTAACCTCTACCGGAACCTCAATTTCATCATCTGTAAAACAAGAATAATCAACCCACCTACCTCATAGGGTTGTTTTGATACTTAAATGAGACAAAGCATGTGTCTAAGGGTTTTCTGATTCGTAAAACACCACAGGTGTATAAGGATTGTTTTCCTGACTTATCTTAGGACCTTTTGAAAGAGACCTTCAATAAGAGACCTTCAATAAGTTCTCTAAGTTCAACCTCTACTATGCACAATCCTGAAAGGTCGTCTACCCTCTGCTTGAATCCTTGCTATTATGGGAAACTTACTACCTTTCTTTGAGGAAAAACTCACTACCACAAAGCCCTATGACTTGAGCTTCCTCTGGTTAAATCACAGCCATCTCACATAAGCTCCAGAGTAAATGGGAAGGGAGAACCTGACTCATCCAGCAATAGCAGAAAGATCATCACGTAGATTGTGTTGTTCTGCTATTTACAGATATTTGTGAAAAACCTGAAGTCAGTGTCATTCATCTTCCCTTTTGAAGGTTAAGTGTGTTTGTTTTTGTTTTTGTGACCAGAAATACATTAAAATTGGATTAGGAGCCATGTGCAGAAAAATTCACTGATGCTCAGTGCAGTGTATTCATTGTATAAACATGGAATAAAATGTTTGTCCCAAGATTATTTCACTTTGTCCACTTAGAAAGATTTCCTGTGACTTGCATAAATGTGGAAGAAAGCGTCTTCATTTCTTTTTAGCCAGGATCATTTGATGACATTTTGAAATGTCAGGGAGACTCTTAACTTAAATCTGACCTACAAAGGGCCATTGAGAACAGTGAAGTGTGCCCCCAAAGCCAAAAACTTTGTATAGCTTTAATTTCAGTACAGAGGTAAATCGACTTCTGCTTTTGGATTTAAGATTTGGCAAGCATGTGAAATTAAGTATCACTAAGGGGGACTTTTTACAGAGGGAAGCTAGGAGATTATGAGTGTTAGGGCTTACAGATTTAATCTGCAATTAGCATAAACATGCAAAGGTCACCCTAAAGAGATGCATGCCCCTGTGATCTGTAGGGGTAGCTGTCAGAAGTAGAGAGAAACGGCAAACAGAGTTTTGCAAACAAATGTGTGGTGGGGATTCAGGTTTTCATGTACGTGTTGCATCTGTGGCCTAGAAGATATCAGACACATGGCCTAGGAGAAATCAAGGGTGAGAAGTCACCAGCCCACAGAGAAGATATCACTAACCTTGAGGCTAACAGAAGTAAATGACAGCTTGTGGCAGCAGCTGTTGGTCACCAACTCAACAGTGATTACCTCCTTCTTCTTTGTTAACAGAAAATGATTTCTGTTCAGGAACTGAGCAGCAGATAGTTTTTAGAATCTGGACCCCATTGAAGTTTCAAGGTGTCAACCTTGATTAGTCTGTGTCCAAAATTGTAGTTCTGTGTCCCTTGTTAGTGATTGGTTTACGATGGGGCATGTGCCACAATTCTGATCAATGAGAAGTCTGCTAGAGGTACTTCTAGAAGAGTTTTCCTTACTTTTAAAAAAGAAGAAACCAAAGAGACTTTCTGTTTCTGTCATTTGGATGTTGCTGGGAGATAATGTGATGCTTGGAGCTGTTGCGGCCATTTTGCAACCATGAGGGGAGGACCCTGAGGCAAAGGCAACATGCTTAGGGTAACAGAATAGGAACATTGACAAATCTAGACTCCGTATTAGGTTGATGTGCTAAACCAATCAGTGCCAGTACTGCCTCCCTGTAGACTTATTACCTGGTCACTCACAGATGAGACTATGGAGTCAGACTTCCTAGGTTCAAATTCCAACTTTACCACTTACCAGCTGTGTGACTTTGGACTTCTCTGTGCCTCATATTTCTGATTTGTGTACCTACCCTGTAGTATTCTTGTTAGAATTAAATGAATTAATACGTGGACAGTGCTAGAACCATACCTGATCACTCAAACATTTAACATTCTTTCATCATTTAAGCCATTTTGAGTTGCATCTTCTAGTTGTTGCTTTTGAAAGTATCCTATGTAACACAGCAACTTTCGGTTAATGTTTTCCTGTCAGAAAGTTAGGAAACTAACAACAAAAACACAAACCATCCCTTAAACAGTGGAAAAAGGACTTGAGTGGATATTTCTCCAAAGAAGAGAGGCCATGGCCCACAAACACATGAAAACATTCTCAGCATCATTCATCATTAGGGAAATGCAAATAAAAAGGAGGCACCACTGTACACCCATTAGGATGGTAATGACTTTTTAAAAAGAAAACAGAAAACAGCAAGTATTGGTGAGGATGTGGAGAAACTGGAATTTGTATATTGCTGGTGGGAATGTAATATGGTTCAGCCACTGCAGGAAACAGTTGGTGGTTCCTCAGATGACTCAACACAGAATTATCACAGGACCCTGCAATTCCACTCCCAGGCGTCTGTACCCAAAAGAATTGAAAACAGGGATGCAAGTACATGCATACACATGTTGATAGCAGCACAGCAGCCAAAAGGTGGAAGCAAACCACATGTCCATTGATGGATGAATGGATAAATAAATTGTGATATATACATACAGTCGAATAACATTCAGCCATAATAAATTAGAAAAAATGATGGGAAATGAGAAAAATATCCCATTTACAAAAGCAACCAAAATCACAGAATACTCAGAATCAAACACAGAAGAAATACAAAACGGCCTAAGGACACGGAAGAAGACATGAAATGAAGGGAAACATCACACACGTGAATGAGCAGGCTCAGGCCTGACAAGATATCAATTATTTCCCAGTCACCCTGTGAATTTAATCAATCTTTAATTTTTTAACTTAGCAAACTGATTTTTAAATTCTACTCAAAGAATACATTTGTAAAAGCAACTGAATTAATTTTTTTAAAGGAGCCAGGTGTGGTGGTATGAGCCTGTAGTCCCAGCTACTCTGGAGCCTGAGCTGAGATAGAAAGGTTGCTTGAGCCCAGAAGTTTAAGACCAGCCTGGACAACACAGTGAGACCCCATTTAAAAAATTAAAGGGGATAGCTCTTACTAGATAGTAAGATATATTTTAAAATTACTATAATTTAGGAATTTGATACCAACATAGGAATGAGAAAATTGATTACCGAACCAGAAATCAGAATTTGTCATATACTGATTGGTATTTGCAATCGGTAGGAAAAGGAAAGATTAATTAAATAGTCCGGGAACAACTGCCTTGAAACTAATATACTAAAATAAATTCCACGTGGATTAAACACAAAAATAAAACCGCAATAGAACTCAAAGAAAATATAAGTAAATATTTTCCCATTTATCAGAACCCATCCACATGGTTCAATTCAACTGCAGGGGAGGTTTGAAAACGTGTGTGGTTTTTTGGGAGGCACTCACTGTTATTGTCATAGATACATAACCTATTTCTAGGGATGAGGGAAAGGACAAAACAAAGGATTGAAACTGAAGGGCTTTCTGCCTATCCTCATGTTTATCAAAAAAATTCCAATACCCAAAATACACCATCCCACAATTATAATTGGTTGCATAGGCAAAGCTTCTCTTTCTCGTTTGATGATCCTAGTATATCTCTATAAGGACCACATCTTGGCTGATATTCCAGCTGCACATTGGAATTACATCTGTTCTCATTCTCATATTAATAATGAAGCTTGATTAATAAATTACAAGGGCTAACTCTGGAGCTATTGGTTCAAAATTCCTTGCCAGTGAGGAAAACAAAAGAACAACTGTATTTTAAGAATAGATCCACCATAATAACATGCTGATGGTCAAAACTGATCAGGCAGTCTGGATGAAGCCTCACACCTTCCTACACTTTGCAAAAGAAGTAGCAGGTAAGGAAGGACTAGCCTGAGCTCCTGTTCAGCCCTGGGGAGGGAGCAGGTATGATGGAGCTGGCAATGTGGTCATTCCTGCTGTGCTCAGCCAATTTGCTTGAACTTCAAACAGAAGTGTTAACTTCACGGTGTGCAAGTTCATCCATCCTCTGCTTTTGTCCTCCTTGGAGGCTTTCAGTGGCACATGTTGGGGGAAGAAAAGGCACTTGTTCTCTTCTCAATTGTACAGAGCAGCTGATCAGTGTCTGCACGAATTCCTGAACAAAGAACATATTTCAGACCTTCTTATTGCTTGCTTATTTAATTTAACAGATGTCAGTTGTGACACACACATACGACTTTCTCCCTAGGCAATGGATTATGGCAAATTTCATTTTATGCCTGGCATGAAAGCCATGCAATATTGGGTATTGAAAGGACTTTTTTTTTTTTTTTTTTTTTTGAGAGACAGAAAGAGGGGAAAACCTGTTGTGCCTTAAAATCCCTAGTAATGCAAGAAAACCAATTTCCACAAAGGCATTGTCCTGGAAAGCTTTGTTGGTTTATGTCGCTACCTAATGGGAATGTGTCAGATTACACAAGGGCTGTTGTGTCAGGTCACACATCCTGTCACAATGAACACACTGGTGGTGTGTGGGTGGGAATGCAATTTATGGGGATGCCTGCGCTGGATGAGATGTTATCTTCACATTCTGTGTCTACTTCTAGTTATTTAACCTTGGCCAAGTCCCTCAACGCCTCTTAACTCAAGGATCCTCACCTAAAGGAGGGTTCTGGATGCCAGCTTTGTGAGATTGTTGACAGAACTAGGAAAAGGTGTACTTAACTGGGCTAGGTGGCTCATGCCTGCAATCCCAATGCTTTAGGAGGCTGAAGCAGGAGGATCACTTGAGGCCAGGAGTTAGAGACCAGCCTGGGCAAGATGGCAAGATCTCATTTCTTCAAAATAGAAATTAAAAAATTAGCTGGGTGTGGTGGTGTTAGCATGTATTATACACCATACCTGGGTAACAGAGAGACTCTTTCAGGGAAGAAAAGAAAAAAGAGAAGAGAGAAGGAGGAAGGAAGGAGAGAAAGGAAGGAAAGAAGGAAGGAAGGAAGGAGGGAACAAAGGAAGGAAGGGAGGGATGGAGGGAGGAAGGAAGAGAAGGGAAGAAGGAAGGAAAGAAGGAAGGAAGGAAGGAAGGAAGGAAGGAAGGAAGGAAGGAAGGAAGGAAGGAAGGAAGGAAGGAAGGCAGGCATGTATTTTAAACTGAGGCATAGCCCAAAGCTCGTAAACTCAGGGTTCTGTCAGTCCATGTAGTAAAATCATGAAGCCCTACATATTTTTTCTTCTTTTGGTATAAGTTTCGGTTTCAGAGGTATGTTTTTTGACACAAGTAAAACTTCCAGCATGGAAATAAACTGCAGTCAATGGCTGCCCTGGAAGTTGGAGAGGTGATAGGAAACTGCATTGAACTGGACTGCATTGAACTGGTTTGAGTGGCTGCATTGAACAGGACAACACTTATCTGGTCTCAGGTGGATGACTGCTGTCAGCCCAGAATGGCCAGGATGTGTGGCAAGATCTTTCTGTTTACCAAAATCAACCAACCACTTGGGATATCCTGCTTGTAAATGCTGGCCCAATTTTTTAAACACTACAGGGGCTAAAGAAATTATCCCTGGGGACCAGGTTCAGCTTGTGGATCTCAGCTGGCGCTCTGCTGCTCATTGCTATAGACTTGCAAGAAGGTGGGTGCTAGGTGTGGAGCCTATGCTATCTGGGGTACTCTATAAGTGGGGAAGGGGGGCTCAATGCTCCATGTCTGTGGGGAGGTTAGTGGGAATCTAGAGACAGAATCAGGATTGGGGACCTGAATTACTATGTTACTGGCCTGACACCAGAGGCTCAGCCTGGTAGAGGCCTACGTAAGGCCTTCCCTGGTCGTCAATCCTCCTTCCTCGCCACCATGTGTTTCTCTCCTCTTCCTTGGGACAGCTCTCCCTGAAGCCTCCAGGCTTCCCTTATGAGATCCCCCCAAGAGCTAAACAGTTCCTGGAGACCACTGAGAAGACTGCCAGACTGAGAGTCAGACTTGTGGATACATACTTACTGTTTGGCCTTGAGCGGGAACCTCCATCCCTCTGAGTCTTTGTTTCCTCATTTGTAAAGTGAGGAGGAAGAGAAAAGCCTTTCCCAGCTTCTCAGGATGGCACCCGGGTACAGATCATAGAGATGATGCATGAGGCATGCTTTGTGAACTTGAAAGTGCTGAGCAGTACTTGGTCATTTTAAAACAATGACATCTTCTTTGAATAATTCTTAAATCCTGGTACAGAATTAAGAAAGGATCATCTATTCAATTAGTCAACTATTTGTTCAAGAAATATGTACTGAGCCTTCCATTATGTGCCAGGTACTTCTAAGCAATAACTAAGACAGACATGGATTGCCTGTCATGAAATGTCAATTCTAGAGTAGGAGGCAGAGAATAGGGAAGAAAGGACGGGAGGAGGGAAGAAAGGAAAGAAGGACGTGAGAAGGAAAGGAAGGGAAGGAGAGAAGGACAGAAGAAATGAGGGAGGGAGGGAGGAAATGAAGGAAAGAGGGGAGAAGAGAAGGAGGGGAGAAGGGGAGGAGGGAGGGACGGAGTGAAGGAAAGAAGCCAGCTTAAAATTGGCCATGATGAGTATTTATACTACTAACATTGGAAAACTCAGTAAATCAGGGTTCTTCCTGCAGGCTGACTTTTAAATATTTGCCGTAACTACTGAAGCCAGAGGTTACAGTGAGGAGCCAGAGGAGGATTCTGAGTGCAGGAGAAACACAATTTGCTACTCATTTTATCCATTTTTCAAAGGATCCTCTTCACCATGTACAGAATAGACTGGAGCCAGGCACAGTAGCAGCGGGAGTTACCAGCCTAGAAGGCTGTGAAATAACCCAGGCATGAGATGCAAGGGGCTTCGGTTGGACTAGCAATGGAGTAGCCAGACATGGATGGTTGGGATATGATGGGGGGCAAGGCTGACAGCGTTCATTTGTGGATTGGCTGTGAGGTAAAGATAGAGACAGCTAGTGAATTGTACAGAAACACTCTGTTCATGAGGAGCTTACAGTTTAGTGGCAGAAACAAAGCAGGCAGTCAGCTAGGACTTTCACAGATATTTATTTATACTGGCTTTCAACGACATATAACACAGGGAAACCTAGCCACATTTGGAAATGAAATGTCATTTGAGCTTTGTTATGGTGAGGTATGATACAATCACACACCCATGGAGGTATTTACATATAATTTCCTCCACACCTGATTTGGTTCTGCAAACACCCCAGGCCCTATACATGTCATTCGCTAGTAATGTGCTGCGTCAAGGAGGCGTCAGAACCGTGTGAGCTTTCACACATTATCTACCCACCCAACTTCTGGGTTTTGCCTATTCTGTCAGGGTCCTCTGTGAGCTGCTGGGGTAATGGGCAAAGGGTGGAGATGCAAATGAAAATAGAAATGCTGAGTGAACAGGTTATCTAGTGGAAAGAGGGTGCCAAAGGAAGCAGGGTAGCTAGTGTGAGTGGACTGTTTGATACAGAGTGTGGGAAAGAGTAAGATCTGGAGATGCCCGGATGAGGGGAGTCTTGAGGAAGGAAATGAATGATGAGTTTCTTCAGGGCTGATGATAGGTTATGTCATTCAACCCATTCTGCAATGACCACCATGTGACTTTGCTCCTAATAAATAAGCAAATTATATTTCCCCACCCCTTGATATGGGGTTTGGCCATATCACTTGCTTTGGCTGAAAGACTGAGATGAATGGGAGTGACAGGGAACTCCTTATGAGATTTCTTCTTTAAAGGCTTTCCACATTTGCCATTGTCATCTGCCATTGTTTGCCACAGGAGGAGAATGAGAGACACACGCTGCAGAGCCAGCCTAGCTAAGCCCTGCCTCGGTCAGCCAAAAAGCAGCTGACCTGCAGACATGTGAGCAATTATAAATGGTCATTGCTTTATCCTGCCGAGTCTTGAGGAGGTGTTTGCACAGCAACAGCTGACTGATGCAGGGACTTACAGTGTGTCCCACAGTGTAGTTTGGCTTTTCCTCATTTGGTGTAAGTAGGGACTTCAGTTACTTCTAAATGCTTTCCAAGTGGTTGATTACTATTTATTTTGGTAGTATTGAAAGTGTCTTTGCAAAAATTCTATCAGTGAGAAAAATTATAACAGTAAGCTGAGCTAACTAGTTACACGTAGTTAGACAGGCATGACTGGGGCAAGAGAGAGATCTTTCCTCTCCTACCAGGAATGTTAGGTGATAGTTTGAGAACTATCACACTGTCTCTGAAAAAAAGATAATTTGGGGGTCTAGGCACAGTGGTTCACACCTATAATCCCAACACTTTGGGAGGCAGAGACCAACAGATAGCTTGACCCCAGGAATTCAAGACCAGCCTAAGCAACAAGGCAAATCCTGTCTCTACAAAAAATACAGAAATTAGCCAGGTGTGGTGGCACACACCCGTAGTCCTGGCTACTCAGGAGGCTAAGGTGGGAGGATCAATTGAGCCCTGGAGGTTGAGGTTGCAGTGAACCATGATTGCCCCACTGCACGACACCTGGGGTGACAGAGCAAGACCTTGCCTCAAAAAAAAAAAAAAAAAAAAAGCTTTTGTTACCATAGGTAGTTAGGCAGACATGAGCAGGGAAGGAGAGGGCCCTCTTCACCAGGAATGTCAGGCGACCATAAGGTGATAGTGAGGTGGTTGTTAAACTGTCTCTAAAATAATAATTGGTTGCAGCCAGCGCCAGGGAAACGCAGTCTCCCAATAGATAGAAAACACCTGAAACTGATGATCAGCAGCTTCCTGATTAGATGGCAGGAGTTGGGTGAGTGAACTCAAGCATGCACACTAAGAGGCAAAATGGTGGAATTAACTGGTACCTCACCTTCCTTAGGGAATACTCAACCGGTAAGGGAAAAATGTTTCAAGGCGGCCTGAATACAACTTTAGTAAACACACTGCACACGTGGCCCCTCCTAAGTGCTGGCAGGCCACCCCAAGGGAAGGATCAGGGGAGAAGGGCACAATCACCCCAGAAGCATAAAAACCCAAGTCAACGGTCAAACCTTGCACTTGATCTCTCAAGTCACCCGCTTGCCCCTCTTCCAAGTGTACTTCACTTCCTTTCATTCTTGCTCTAAAACTTCTTAATAAACTTTCACTCCTTCCCTTAAGCTTGCCTCAGTTTCTCCCTCTGCCTTATTCCCTTTGGTTGAATTCTTTCTTCTGAAGGAGGTAAGAATTGAGGTTGCTGCAGTCTTGTGTGGATTCACCACTGATAACAGTTAAAATGGTAAATTTTATGTTATGTATATTTTATCACAATAAAAATTACCAAATAAGAGATAATTGGCTATTTAAACATAAATAATAACCATGTATTATAGGGGTTATGACTTATATAAATTGGAAGACAAAAACAATAACATAAAGGCTGGTGGGGGGAGAAATAGAAGTATACCCATTTGAGGATATCATACCACATATGAAGAGGTATAGTATCCCTCAAAATATATCGTGATAAGAAAAGATGTATGCTACCACTAAAATAATAAAACAAAGAGTTAAAGCTAATAAGTCTATAAAGGAGATAAAAATGGATCATAAAAATACTCAACTAATTCAAATCAATCCAGTTAATCTAAATTAATCCAATTAATCTAAAATAAGACAGAGAGGGAGGAAAAAAGGAACAAAGAACAGGTGGAACAAATAAGAAACAAATGCCAATGTGATAGAGTGAAAGTTAGCCATTACAGATAAAAAGTTTAAATAAAAATAGTCCAATTAGCCCCATTAAAAGGCAGACTGTCAGATTGGATAAAAATGCAAGACAACTTTGTGCTGCCTGCAAGAGATGCACTTTAAAATATAAAGACACAAATGGGTTAAAAGTGAAAAAAAATTTTCTTTTCTTGAGGCCAGGCTGTTCTCAAACTCCTGCGCTCAGGATCCACCTGCCCCAGCCTCCCAAAGTACCGGCATTACAGGCATGAGCCACGGGGCCTGGCCAAATAGTCTAAGTTTTGACAAGGGTATGCCATTGCTGACACTGGCCAAGAGGAAGCTGGAGTGGCTGAGCAGTTTTCTGAGAGCCAAAACCCAACTCTGTGTGTGAGTTTTCAGCCACTACAAAGGCCTTACCACAAGTTTGTTCCATGGGTCCTCCCCACCGGCCTCGGTGCACAACCAGAACCAGAGCACACAGTCCCCTAGGGGAGTTGTATCAAAGACTCACGTCCCCCCGCACTTATGTTCTTACACATACCTGCATTCCCAGCCCAGATACGTCCATGCAGAGGTCCCCGGATCAGGAGGGTCCTGGCAGAGGTCTTTCTTGGCTGCCTCTACTAGACACCAACTTCTTGAGGGTAACCTGAAAAACATGCTTTTCTCTCTTCTTCTTCTTCTTCCTCCTCTTCTTCTTCTTCTGCTTCTTCTTCTTCTTCCTCTTCTCCTTCTTCTTCTTCCTCTTCCGCTTCCTTCTCTTCTTCTTCCCCTTCTTCCTCTTCTTCTTTTTTCTTTTCTTCTCATTCTCCTCCTCCTCCTCCTCCCCCTCCCTCCTCCTCCTCCTCTTCTTCTTCTTTTTTTTTTTTTTTTTTTTTTTTTTTTTTTTTTTTTTTTTGAGACTGAGTCTCATGCTGTCGCTTAGGATGGAGTGCAGTGGCGCGATCTCGGCTCACTGCAACAACCTCCGCCTCCGCGGTCCTCAGTATTAAGTATCTTCCACTCCTAGCCTTCCCCAAACTCCCACCCTTCACCACAGGGTCCATAAATTCCCAGCAACAGCGAAATAGCAGGAGGCTCATGTTCGGCAGTCCGTCTCGCTAAGCAGGGAGATGATCATCCCCATACCCCAAACTCCCCTCCTCTGAGCTGCTCCATGGGGGAAAACATGGAACATTCTGGGAGCTGGCACTTCTTCCTTTTTTGCTTCTTGCTTATACTGTTGCATAAGTGAATAAAGTCTTGATGGTTTCTTTTTTTTTTTTCTTTTTAAGTTTGGCCGTTTTCTTAACTGACCACGTTAAAACCTGGCAGCTCAGCTCTCTCTCCAGCTGAGCCCTCGACAGAGGCTATATTAATATACTAAAAGAAGTAAATCTTAGAGTGAAAAATGTTACCGTAGGCAGAGAGTCATTTCAGCATGACAAATTGGTCAGTTAATGAAAATGTGACAATCCTAAGGGTTTAGGTACTTCATAACAGTGCTTCAAATACATGAGGCAAAAACTAATAGATTGTAAGGAGAAATAAACACATCCATAATTGTAGCTGGGAATTTCAATAATCCTTTCTCGATAATTAATAGAACAAGTGGACAGAAAATCAGCAAGGATATAACAGATTTGAACAATACTATCAAACAACTCCTAATTGACATTTTTACAACACTCCATCCAATGGCAGCAGAATATATATTATTTTCAAGTACACATGGGCCATTTACAAAGACCAACTACATTCTGAGCCATAAAACCATTCTCAATATACGTAAAAAGATTCAAGTCATACAAATATGTTCTTTGACCACAGTGAAATTAAATTAGAAATCAATAGAAGAGGGATAACTGAAAAATACCCAAATATCTAGAAACTAAATAACATGCTTCTAAATAACTCACAGTTCAAAGAAGAAATCAAAAGGGAAATTACAAAATATTCTGAGGTGAGTGAAAATGAAAATACAGTATATAAGAATTTGTAGGATGCCACTAATGTTTGGCATCTAATACTAATACTAATGGAACTGTATAACACCAAATACCTATTTTACAAAAAAAAAAAAAAATGATTCAAGGCAATGACCTCAGGATCCATCACAAGAAATAAATAATAAAAACAAGAGTGCACATTAAACTCAAAGGAAGCAGACAGTAGGAAATAATAAAGATCAAAAGAGAAATCAATAAAATAGAAGACAAAAATAGAGAAAATCAACAAAAACAAAGTTGGTTTCTTGACAAGAAAAATAAAATGGAGTTGGGCACACTGGCTCATGCCTGAAATCCCAACACTTTGGAAGGCCAGGGCAGGTGGATCACCTGAGGTCAGGAGTTCTAAATGAGCCTGACCAATATGGTGAGACACCATCTCTACTGAAAAATGCAAAAATTAGCTGGGCTTGGTGGTGCACACCTGTAATCCCAACTACTCAGGATGTTGACGCAGGAGAATTGCCTGAACCCAGGAGGCGGAGGTTGCCCCATTGAGCCGAGATCAACCCATTGCACTGCAGCCTGGGCAACAAGACTGAATCTCCATCTCAGAGAGGAAAAAAAAAAAAAAACAAAGCAAAAGAAAATGGATAAATCTCAAGATAGATTGATTAGGAAAAAGGAGAGATCAAAATTTTTCACATTAGGAATGAGAGAATGGGTATCAGTGGTTTCTAAGATATTAAAAAGTATAAAAAGGGAATATCACTTGTAAAATTTTATGCCCATAAATTTTACAATGGAAATGAAATTAACAAATGTCCTAAAACATATAAAATATCAAAGCTCAGTCACAAAGAAACAGATAATAGCCTTATATTTAAAAAAAAAAATCAATATAGGGTGTGCACGGTGGCTCACGCCTGTAATCCCAACACACTGGGAGGCTGAGACAGGTGGATCATCTGAGGTCAGAAGTTCAAGACCAGCCTGACTAACATGGCAAAACCCTGTCTCTATTAAAAATTCAAACAAATTAGCTGGGCATGGTGGCACACACCTGTAATCCCAGCTGCAAGGGAGACTGGGGCAGAAGAATTGCTTGAACCCAGGAGACAGAGGTTGCAGTGAGCTGAGATCGCACCACTGGGCTCCAGCCTAGGTGACAGAGAGACACTCCATCTCAGAAAATAAATAAATGTACAAATAAAAATAAATGTAAAAATTTTCAATTTGTAGTTAGAAATCTTCCCACAAAGGAGATTTGAGACCCAGATAGCTTTGCCAGTGAATTCTGCCAAACATTTAATGAAGAAATAATACCAATTCTATACAAACTATCCCAGAGAACTTATGAGGCAGGGAATATTTGTAAGAGACCAGAATTACCATGGCACAAAAACCTTACTAAGATGTTAACAAAAAAGCAAACTATAGGCCAAGATTCTTCATGAATATAGAAGAAAAAAATTAAAATTTTAGCAAGCTGAATTCAAAATCTATAAAAAGAATACAATATCATGATAAATTGGGATTTTACTTCCTAGGAATTCAGGATGATTTTACACTGAAAATAAATCAGTACAATTCTCCATGTTAGCAAAGAGATAAATCACATGATCATCTCAAAAGACACAGAAAAAGCAGGTAACAAAAATCTAACATGTATTATTAAATAAAAACTTTCAGCAAACTAAGCATAGAAAAGCATTTCCTCAAACTGATAAAGGGCATCTGTGATGGTTAATACTGAGTATTAACTTGACTAGCTTGAAGGATGCGAAGTAGTGTTCCTGGGTGTGTCTGTGAGGGTGTTGCCAAAGGAGATTAACATTTGAGTCAGTAGACTGGGAGAGGCAGACCCACCCTCATTCTGGGTGGCCACAATCTAATCAGCTGCCAGCACAGCTAGAATAAAGCAGGCAGAAGAACATGGAAGAACTAGACTTGCTGAGCCTTCCGGCTTTCATCTTTCTCCTGTGCTGGATGCTTCCTGCCCTCAAACATCGGAGTGCATGTTTTTCAGCTTTTGGAGTCTCAGGCTTGATGCCAGTGGTTTGCTAAGGGCTCTCAGGCCTTCGGCCACAGACTGAAGGCGGCACTGTTGGCTTCCCTATTTTTGAGGTTTTGGGGCTTGGACTGGGCTTTCTTGCTCGTCAGCTTGTAGACGGCCTATCATGGGATTTCACCTTGTGATCATGTGAGTCAATACTCCTTAATAAATTCCCTTTCATATACACATCTCTCCTATTAGTTCTGTTCCTCTGGAGACTCCTGAATAATACAGCATCTATGAAAAATCTATAGCTAAAAACTTACTTCATGATAAAAGACTGAATGCATTTCCTCTGTGATCAGGACTAAGACAAGGATGTCTGCTCTCACCACTTGTATTCAACCTTGTGCTGGAGATACTGGAACATATAATCAGACATGAAAAAAATGCATCCAGAATGGAAGAAATAAAACTGTCTTTATATATAGCCAACATGACTATCTATCTAGAAAATCTAATAGAAACACAAAAAAGTTAGAAGTAATAATTGATTTTAGCTAAGGTTTTAGGATAAAATATCAATAAAAAATCAACTGTATTTCTACAGACTAGCAAAGAACAATCACAAGTTGAAATTTTAAAAATACTTTGAATAACATAAAAATATGAAATACATAGGGATAAATCTGACATAAAATGTGAAAGATGTGTACACTATAAACTATAATACATTGCCAAAAGAAATTAAGGACCTATATAAATGGAGAGATAGACCATGTTTATGGATTAAAAGACTCATTATTATTAATATGCCAATTATCTCCAAATTATGGATTCAATGGAATCACAATCAAAACCCTAGCAGACATTTTATAGAAATTGACAAGCTGACTCTAAGATTAATGTGGAAATGAAAAGGAACCATACTAGACAAAACAATTTGGGAAAAGAAGAACTAGGCGGATTAACACTGTCTCACGTCAAGACTTATTACTAAGCTACAGTAACCAAAATAGTGGGTATTGACATCACAATAGACAAGGGATATCATTAAAAAATATAGAGAGCCCAGAAAGAGACCTAAATATATATGGGGTGTGTGTGTGTGTGTGTGTGTGTGTGTGTGTGTGTGTGTGTCTGTCTGTCTGTCTGTCTGTGTGTTTGTGTTTACAAATGTGCAAATGTAATTAAGTGGAGAAAGGACAGTCTTTTCAACAAATGGTGCTAGAATAATTGGTTACCATATGCAAAATCCATACTTCACACTATACCTAGAAATGAACTGAAAAATGGGTCACAGGCCTAAGTTAGAAACCAAAAACGATAACATTTCTAAAAGAAAATCTTTGTGACTTTGCACTGGGCAAAGATTTCTTAGCTGTAACACCAAAAGCATGATCCATAAAAGAACAAACTGATAAACTGGATTTCATCAAAATTCAAAACTTCTGTTCTTCAGATGATGCTACTAAGAGAATGAGAAAACAAGCCAGACTGGGAGAAAATATTTGCACAGAATATGTCTGATAACAACCTTCATCCAGAATGTATAAAGTACTCTCAAAATCGAGTTAGAAAAACAATAAAACAATGGGCAAAATACTTGAACAGATACTTCCACAAAGAAGATACAGGGATGGGAAATAAGCATATGAAAAGATGTTCAAAATCATTAGTAGTTAGGAAAATACAAGTTAAAAGCATTATATGCCTACCACAATAGCTAAATTTAAAAAGATTGACAATACCAAATGTTGTCAAGGAGGTGGAGGAATTAGAACTGATATACTGTTGGAAACGAAAAATGGAAAACCTGCAGTTTCTTAAAAAGTCAGACGTATTCCTGCTATGTGATCCAGCACTTGTATATCCAAGAGAACTAAAAGCGTATCATAAAGTGACTCATATATAAATGTTTATAGCAGCTTTATTTGTAAAAGTCTCACACTGAAAACAACCCAAATGTCCATAACAGGTAACTAGATAAAGAAATGTTGGTGTATTCATACAATGAAATACTATTCAGCAAAAAAAAAAAAAAAAAAAAAAAAAAGGTCTATGGATACATACAACAATATGAATGAATGTTAAAGTAATTATGCTGAATAAAAGAAGCCACACCAAAATAAACTACTTATTGTATTATTACATTGGTATATGCCTCTAGACAATTAAAACCAATCTGTATGACAGAAAGGAGATCAGTGGTTGCCTGAGAAGAGGGTACATGGAGAGAGACAGGAAGGAGAGATTACAAAGGAGCACAAGGATACCTTTTGGGATGATGTTTATGTTCACTATATTGATCGGCTTCATGGGTATATACGTATGTCAAAACTTATCAAATTGTACACTAGATACATATGCTGTTTATTTTATGTCACTTATACTTCAAAATGCTGTTAAAACTCTCACCAAATTAGGTATGCAAGGAATGTTCCTCAACAGAATAAATGCCATATTGGACAAGCCCACAGCCAACATCATACCCAATGGTAAAAAGCAGAAAGCTTTTCTTCTATGATCAGGAACAAGGGTGCCCACACTCACCACTTCTATTGTGCATAGTACCACAAGTGCTACCTAGAGCAGTTAGGCAAGAAAAAGAAATAAAAAATATCCAAATCAGAAAGGAAGAAGCAAAATTGTCTCCGTAGATGACATGACCTTGTATACAGAAACTCCACCAAAAAACTGTTAGACCTAAAAAGAGAATTCAGTAAAGTTCCAGAATACCAAAATCAACATTAAAATTGAATTGCAATTCTTTCATTATTATTATTATTATTATTATTATTATTATTATTATTATACTTTAAGTTTTAGGGTACATGTGCACAACGTGCAGGTTTGTTACATATGTATACATGTGCCATGTTGGTGTGCTGCACCCATTAACTCCAACAATGATAGACTGGATTAAGAAAATGTGGCACATATACACCATGGAATACTATGCTGCCATAAAAAATGATGAGTTCATGTCCTTTGTAGAGACATGGATGAAGCTGGAAACCATCATTCTCAGCAAACTATCGCAAGGACAAAAAACCAAACACCGCACGTTCTCAATCACTGGTGGGAATTGAACAATGAATTGCACTTCTATACAGCACCAACAAATTATCTGAAAAAGAAAGAAAGAAAACAATCCTACTTACAATAGCAACAAGCACAATAAAATTACTTAGGAATACATTTAACCAAGAAGTTTAAATATCAGCATATAAAACACTGAGAAAATAAATTGAAGATGACACAAATAAAAAGAAAGACATCACATGTTCATGTATCAGAATTAATATTATTAAAATATCCATACTACCCAAGGTGATCTATAGGTTCATTGCAAACTCTATCAAAATTCCAATGGCAGCATTCTTCACAGATAGAGAAAAAATAATTCTAAGATTCATATGGAACCACAAAAAAACCTGACCAAAGCAATCTTGAGAAAGAAGAGCGAAGCTGGAGGCATCACATTTCCTGATTTCAAACTATGTTACAAAGCTATGTTAATCTAAAGAGTATGGTACTGGCATAAAAACAAACACATAGACTAATAGAACATCATGAGTTTGAATGGTACAGGTCCACTTATATGTGAATTTTCTTCTGTTTCTGTCACATCTGAGACAGCAAGACCAATCCTCCTCTTCCTTCTCTTCCTCAGTCTACCCAATAGGAACACAAGGAGTATGAAGACCTCTCCGCTTTGACTTAAGGAATAGTAAATATATTTTCTTTTCCTTATGATTTTCTTAATAACACCATCTTTTCTATAGTTTACTTTAGCGTACAAATACAGTATATAATACATATACAAAATACATGTTAATCAAGTGTTTACGTTATTGGTAAGGCTATTGGTCAATAGTAGGCTATTAGTAGTTAAGCTTTTGGAGAATCAAGTTTTAAGGCCAAGGTAATTCAAGGCCCAGTCTGGGAAACATAGTGAGACCCCATGCCTTAAGAAAAAGTTATATGCTGATTTCCGACTATGCAGGGGTCAGTGCTCAAACTCCACGCTGTTCAAGGGTCAACAGTGTATTATATGCAGAATATAAGAGAGTTGAACTCATCAAAACATAGAGTACCATGGCAGTTGCCAGGGAATGGCGGTGGGGGAAATGGGTAGATTTTGACCAAAGGGGACAAACTTTCAGTTATAAGATGAGCAATTTCTGAGAATCTAATGTATAGCATGGGTGATAATGTATGTATTAATTAATTTGATTGTAGTAATTATACAATGTATTAGGTTGGTGCAAACTAATTGCACCAACCTAATTTAGGCATATCAAATAATTGCATTGTACACCTTGAGTATATACGCTCTTTGTCAATTAAATAAATAAAAATAAAAATGGTCAGATGAGTTTAATAATTAAGAATCTGAAAGAGGGAAAAGTCAGTTAGAATTTTGCTTGTAGTTACAGAATAGAGCCAAATATGTAAAATTTCCCTGTTCAATTAAAAATCACTAAAAAACTAACACTAATATGAATGTATGCTAATTCTGCAATGGTTTTGTACAGTGTGGTCATCTACAAGTTCAAATGCTACACAAGTATTCAAAAAATCATTGGGAAAGTGTTTCTAGTCTAATGCTAAGTGAGTAAAGGAGACTGAAAAATTGTGCCTAAACCTATGGGTGACAACTTTCCTTCTCACTATTAAAACTTGTTTCGAGCAATACTTTGTAATAAAATAGGAATGGAAACATTTTAAGGCTATTAACTTTTAATCAATGACTTAAAGACAGTCACTTATTTTTTTTTCTAAACTATTCAAAACCTAAACAGGTGGTATGGAGGAAAGACCTGCACTTTTTGAGGAGTTTGAATAATCAGGCAATTGACCACATCAAACAAATTAATCTCTAGGGAGAGGCTGAAAATCCCTTCTCCAAAATGCTTGAAACCAGAAGTGTTTCGGATTTGGCGGTTTTTTTGTTTGTTTGTTTTTGATTTTGATTTTGGAATATTTGCATATATATAATGAGATATCTGGGAGTGAGACCCAAATCTAAACATGGAATTCATTTATGTTTCATATATACCTTAGGCACATAGTCTGAAAGTAATTTTATACAACACCTTAAATAATTTTGTCTATGAAACAATGTTTTTGTACACTGAACCATCTGAAAGCAAAGGTTTCACTATCTCATATTAGCACTGAAAAACTTTCAGATTCAGGGGCATTTCTGGATTTGGGATTTTTGTATTAGGATGCACACATCCTGTACTGATTTTAAAAGAAGGCTTTCCTGGGAATGATGCAGCCCAATAGAAATGGCAACTACCATTAAAAGCAAAAAGCTAGATTGAAATATTATCAGAATAAGTTGCCACATCACTCATTATTCACTAAAACACTTCTATTCAAAAGGCCCAATTTTTGTAGATTCCTGAAGTAGGACTTGACACCAGGTATCACAAATTTACAAACTTACCACTTCAGCGTTTTAAAACTTTCTTACCAGGATCCCTGGTCTTCTGGGTGCCATGGAAACTCCAACTAGAAAAGAAAATGAAATTCCCTTCGGCTGGAAACTGTTCGTGTCATTCCTGAGCCCCCCTAGGTGTCTATTGTAGATTATATAAGCTGCAGTTCGCAAATGCACTTTGCATTTGTTCCACAAACCCTGTTGAATGCTTGTTTTGTAGGAGGTTCCACATGCTGGGCAAAGAAGAATGAATAAAACACAGTCTCTGCCCTGGAAGAATTTACAAAGAAATAGTGGTACTACAGGTGCTGTGGAACAGCACAGAGTGTGTAAATGTTAGCTTAATGGTATCTTTCTAACATCAAACTTTTTTATTTCTTCTGTTTTCACACTCTCATTGCAAAAAACTCAAACAATTCAGAAAAGAATAAAGAAGAAAATTTAAAACTCTTTGAAATCCTACCATCAAGTAATAAGCATTGCTAACATTTGATGAACATCTTTCTTAAGCATTCATGTACTAAAAAAATGAGAATTACACCCTAAACGCTATTTTTATAAACTCAGTGCTATTTTTCAACATTCCTTTTCCTAATCAGGAGCATGTAGTAGATCTCATGAGATGCTGCATCTTTTTCTTAATGTGATGTCAGCTATTATCATTTATATGCATTGGCCTGTCATAAAAGTCTGCAGAATCTAACTAAAGCCACCTAGGTTCATTCACCTCTACCTTATCTTGCAGGTGCTGCCTCTTGTCCCAGTGTGGAAGGAACCCTGACCTTGCAATTGAAAGGCCTTGCTTCTGGTGCTGACCACGTTCTGACCCTCAGCCATCCCTTAAACCTCCCTAAGTTCCAATGTTCTCTTCTGTAAAACGAGGGTTGTAAATATTTGCCCTGCCTGCCTTCTTCCCACTGGCTATTCCCTCTGCCAAAAACTGGGCTACTTGACCTCCAGGAAGCTTGCATATGTGTCACTCTTTATTCTCCTTATCATCTTTCTCCTTCACTAGAACATAAAGCACTACAAGGGCAAACATTTTTGTATGCTTTGTTTCCCGATATTTCTGTCTAGAACAATGTCTAGTGTAGTAGATGACAAACAAATGCTTGCTGAATTAATTGGACAGAGCTGAACAGAGAATGGGAGGTGGGAAGACTGCCTCGCCACACAACTCTGGGGGAATCCTTCACATTGTAGTCCATGTGATGGCATCTCCTGGAAGTGTGCAACTGCACAGGCTTCACAGCTGTGCGGCAACCCCAACAACAACCGTGGAAGTACTCTGTCAAAGAGTATGAATTATTAAATAAAAATATTTTTTCTAGTAATGAAAAAATGTGAAAACAAATAAAGGAAAAAAATCATCTCAAATTCTTCAACCTAGTGATAATATCTTCATTAGTATTTGCTGAACATCCTTCTAGACACTTCTCTACTGATATATATATATATATATATATATATATATATATATATATATCAATCTTCATTTTGCATAAGTGACATCATACCATAAATGCTATACTAGTATCTGCTTTTGTTTTTGCCCAATAGTATATTATAATCAGCTCTCTTTGTCAGTAAATACAAATCCATATCATCTCTGTAAACCAGGGGTCTGCAAATTAAGGCTCATAAGCCAATTCCACCTGGGTTTTGTGTTTTTTTTTTTTTTTGGTAAATTAACAAAGTTTTATTGGAACATGAATGTGCTGATTCCTTTATGTACTATCTATGCCCATTGCTGTGCTACAATAGCAGAATCGATTATTTCTGACAGACACCATATGGCCCACAAATCTACAATACTTACTATCTATTCTTTTCCAGAAAAGTTTACCAGCCCTGCTTCGTAGCTGAGTATTAAATGGTATGAAAATACTCTATTTGAATTATTCCTCTATCAGAACATATTTACCTTGTTCCAATTTTTGTTGATAAATACGTCGTATACACATCTTTCAACTCATATCCAGTACATCACCTTGAGATAACTTCCTAGAAGTGGATTGGCTGGGCCAGACATGAACTCTATAAAGGTTCTTGATACACATGATTAAAATGCCCATGGCATGGAACCCTCATCTATTTCTGTGCTTTTGTATTTTCTGTGTGTATTTCAGTTTTGTTTAGTTGGCTCAAGTAAAATTAGTTCCTTTTGAAAACGTTCAGCTTGTATGAACTCAACTAAGGGTACCAGGAATTTCCATCCGCAACCCAGCCAGGAGTTTGCCAGAGGCCAGGAGAGCTCCTGTCCAGGCAGCTCCAAAGAGGCCAGGGGTCTGGTGAGGAATGGAGAAGAGCACGACTGAAAACTTAGAAGAGAGCAGCCAGGGACTGATGCCAGATCCGTTGACCCTGTCAAAAGATCTGAACTCTGCCCCACATTTGTCCTTTTGACCCCATCGAGTTAACCAGGAGTTTAGCCATCCATGCTCCACACAACTGTAGCTTTTCTTCTTCTTCTGTGCACCTATAACTCTGTCTCATTAGATTGCTCTGAAGTTTGTTATTGATTATCTAGGAAATAAATACAACCAACTTTTTGCCTATTTCCCAATTGTTACGGCTGGTAGAAATAATCAGCATAAAATAAAACTGACAACAGATGATACCACACATGGCAACAATGCTATTGATTAAAAATGGAAAGAAGGCTCGCATCCTTTTGATAAAATGCATTCAAATTTTATTTTTTGTTTTTGTTTTTATTTTTTATTTCGATAGCTTTAGGGGTGCACGTGGTTTTTTGTTACATGGATGAATTGTATAGTGGTGAAGTCTGAAATTTTAGTGCACCCATCACCTGAGTAGTGTATATCGTACCCAATATGCAGCTTTTAGCCCTCATGCCTCACCCACCTTCTCCCCCTTTTGATTCTCTGATGTCCATTGTATAACTCTGAATGTCTTTGTGTCCTTATAGCTTAGCTCTCACTTATAACTGAGAACACATGGTTTCTGCATCTCCATTCTTAAGTTACTTCATTTGGAATAATGGCCTCCAGTTACACCCAAGTTGCTGCAAAAGACATTTTCTTTACATTTAGACTTGCAAAATTTGATGTCAGAGAGATTTGGATTTGGAAAACAAAAGCAAAAATTGCAGTGGTTGAAACTAAATAAGGAAAAATTAATGTGATACAAAAAAACTGATCAATGAATCTAATTTGTGTAAAAACAATGAAAATAAGGAAAGAATTGCAGTGAAAAGAAAGTTCAGTGAAATAAAATTAAACACAGCAAACATGGAAACTGGCTTTGCTGCATGGTACAGAATACAATCAAGGGATTAAATTGGCTTGAGATTGTGCTGGAAAATATTTTCTTGATGGAAAGCCACCTATGTTGGGGATGAAATTTCTTTAAACCGACAGCTAGACAAATAACTTTCTACTCATTATTGGACTTCTATAGTCAATTTTTCACAAGAATGTTGGAGTCTCTGAAATCACTAAAGCCCCAGTAAAAAGGAAAATGGAATCTCCTATCAGTTGCTGTATGTAGAACCTCTTTTGTAAGCAAGTGGCAGCCAATGTTAACACTTCTCACACTGACCTTAACAATTCTTAGAATATTAAAAAAATTCTGCACAGAAATTAAGTATTATGTACTTATTTCTAACAATTCCAAGGAGGTAAACATTATTGTACAATTTCAAAGTCTTTTTTATAGTGTACATTTAATAGCAAATAAGAGAATATTTTACAATTTGATTACATAATTTTACTTGTGAGTTTTGTAGGGTTTATGGGCCATATTATTTTTTACCCATCTACTATACTTATTTAATAGGCTTCTGGAGAGGATTTTATAATGTTACACTAGTTAGTCTTATTTTTATTAGAATATGCTTTTTACTGAAGATTTCCTATATCAAAGAAACAAAGGAGAAAAATAAAATACAAAAATTAGAAATCAGCCATAGCCTCTATGGAGTGCAGTCACCAAAGTGCCAATTCCAGAGGCAAAGTATTTTTGTTTTATTTATATTGTTATGGCTCATGTGGTGACTTCATTTAAAGACACTGTTCCCAAAGCTGAATTATGTATGAAAGCAAATACGGGAGACAGGAAGCAGGGAAGGAAAAGAGTAAAATCAAGAAAGCAACATCTCAAATACCATGAATGATCCCGTTACTTTTTCCCCCTCATCAAGATCGACTCAAGGCCTGGGCTGCACAATACTGAGAAAGACCAATTAAAAACTAAATTGTCTGAAATGACTGTGGTCACACAGGTGAAATTTTGTTTTCTTAAGAGAAAAAAGAAATTTGTCAGCTTCTTGAGGGCAGAAAAATATTGTTGTAGATCTCTATGTTGCCAACACTTAGTATAGAGCTAGTATAGTTATTTTTGAATAAATGAATGGGTAAGAAAAAAATAACGCACAAATGAAAATATGTCATTATTTAAATACTTGGGACTTGTCGGTCTAGTCTTGCTCAGTGGTTCTCAGTGGTTCTCAATATTGACTGCACATTACAATCATTTCGAGAGTTATTTTTTCTTCACTTTTTACTATGTATTATATACAGAGAAGTACACATTTCTAGGGGAGCTTTTAGAAACTGCTAATGACCCCTATAATGGTTTAAATTTAAGATACTGACAATATTGGTGGTGTGGCAAAAATGTAGGACAACTGAACACTCACACATCACTGGTGGATGTGTGAAATAGTACAACTACTTTGAAAAATGGTTTGGAGGTTAGGCACAGTGGCTCATGGCTGTAATCCCAGCACTTTGGTAGGCCGAGGAGGGTAGATCACGAGGTTAGGAGTTGGAGACCAGCCTGGCCAACATGGTGAAAACAACGCCTCTACTAAAAACACAAAAATTACCCGGGCATGGTGGCACGTGCCTGTAATCCCAGCTATTCAGAAGACTGAGGCAGGAGAATTGCTTGAACCTGGGAGGCCGAGGTTGCAGTGAGTCGAGATCGTGCCATTGCACTCAAGTCTGGGAGGCAGAACAAGATTCTGTCTTGGAAAAAAAAGAAAAAAAGAAAAATGATTTGTAAATTTCTTATAAAGTTAAACAGACACTTACCATAAGACCCAGCAATTCTACTCCTACACATTTACCCAAGAGAAATGAAAACATATCTCCACACAAAGACTTATAAGAACGCACATAGAAGCTCTATTCCTAACAGTCAATACGTGCAAACAGCCCAGATGTCCATCAAGAGGTGAATGGATAAACAAAATGTGGTACCTCCATACAATGAAATACTAATCAGTAGTGAAAAAGAATAAACTATGGATATATGTAACAATATGATGACTCTGATAAACATGCTGAGTGAAAGAAGCCAGACTGTTAGGTTCTGTTTATATGAAATTCTTGAATAATCACCATTAATCTATAGTAACAAGCCAGATCAGGGGTTGCCTGGGATGAAATGTGGGGTATTTGAAGATGATGGAAATATTGTATACTTGATTAGAGCAGTGTTTATAGGGAGGATACATACTTGTCAAAACTCATTGAACTGTACACTTAAAATAAATGCATTTTGTTGTATGTAAATCACTACCTTTGAAAGATTGATTAAAAAAAAAAAAACTATTGACACCCAGATTCCACCTCAGACCAATTAAAATTAGAATCTCTAATGGAATCCAGACATTGGACCTATTTAAAAGAGCTTCCTGAGTAGTCTGATGTGTAGGAAGAGTTGAGAACTAGTGGCCTTAACTTTAAGAGAATATTGGGGAGAAAATAAAACAACAAAATAATTTTTTAAAGAGTGACTATGAAGGATCATGGATGATTTTTATTTTCTTCTTTAAGCTACTCTTTATTTTTGGATCTTTTTCCATCATGAATTATGTGCATAATTTTAAAAGACAGTGTTATTTTATTTATTTACCTATTCTACTCCTCTCATCCTCTCCAATTTTGCCCTCTCATTCATTTTGGTTCAGATAAGCCATTATCTGACATTCGTTCATCCAAAGCTGATTAACCATCCTTTTATGCAAAGGACTGTCTTAGGAATTGAAGGTGCAAAAAAGAACAAACAAATCTGCTCCAGGCAATCAAAGGCATAGGAGACAAAGATGTACACATTTATTTTTAAAAGAACCTCCAAATATTATAGTAGCACAAAGATGACAAGAGATAAGAATATGTTAATTTATTCTTGTGTGTTTCCAGAAAATGCGTGGAAATTTCTTTAAAAACTTAAAATGCACCTAACATAGGACCTTGCTGTTCAATTCCTGGGTCTTTGCCCAAAAGAAATAAAAGCATACATCTACACAAAGACTTACACACTAATGTTAGTAGCACCTTTGTTTGCAATAGCCCCAAACGTGAAATAGCCCAAATGACCATCAGTATAAGAACGGATACACAAATTGTGTAAAATCTTTATTATGAAATACTACTCAGCAATAAAAAGGAAGAAACTATTGATACATGCAACAACACAGACGAATCTAAAAATCATTATGAGAAATGAGAGAATTCACAGACTAAAGGGTATATACTGTATGATTCCATTTATATAAACTTCTAGAAAGCTTGAAGTAATTCATAGTGACAGAAAACAGATTATTAGTTGAGGGTGGGTTGGGGAATGAATTACAATGAGATGATGGGAATGTTTCTTATCTTCACTGTTGTGATGGTTTCACAGTTGTATACATATGTCAAAACTCAGCAAGGTGTACAATTTTAATATGTGCAGTTTATGTACAGTAATTATATTGCAATGAACCTGTTAAAATTAAAAGGAGGAAGGAAAAAATAGTGAAACCAACAAGGCTGTGAATGGGCCTGAATGAGACCCATGGCATCCAGTTGGTATCCTTGCTAACAACAAGGAACCATCTTGTGGGTCTGGACTAGGGAGAAGAATCTGGTGACTTCCTCAACTTTAGAGTCTGTTACTAATAGGAGAAGCAGCCAGTGGAGAGGAGGACACTTGGGATGGGGCTTTGAACCTTGGGTTCAAAGAAGAACTTGGGTTCTTCTTTGAACCTTGAGAAGAACCTGCATGGATGACAGACATATCAAGAAAACATGGGGCAGAGTCCCAGCACTTCCTTGTCTCACTGATTGTTTGGATTAAGCTAAAGTGATTTCAATCACTATTCAACAAACAAAAAGGTACCAAGACCTTTCAGTGGGGGAAAGAATTGTCTTTAATGATGCTGGGACAACTGAATATCCAAATGCAAAAGAAGAAAGTCGAGACCCTACTTCATACTATATAAAATGTTAACTCAAGATGAATCAATAACCTAAATATAAAAGCTAAAACTGTACCCCTTCGAAGAAAACACAGGTGTAAATCTTCTTCAAAGTGGATTCAGCAATAGATTATTACATATGACACCAAAAGCATGAAAAACAAAAATAGATAAATTATATTTTGTCAAAATTTTAAAATTTTATGCATCAAAGGAAGGACATTACCAAGAAAGTAAAAATCCAGCCTACAAAATGGGTGAAAATAATTGTGAATCATATTTTAATAAAGATCTAGTATTGAGAACATACATATAAACAACTTTTAACAACTCAACTACAAAAAACCTAACAATCCAATTTAAAAAGGAGCAAAGGACTGAATAGATATTTCTATAAAGAATATATACAAATGGCAAACAAACATGTTTTACAAATGTTCAATACCATTAGTCAGTAGGGAAATGCAAATAAAGGCCACAATAAAGTATCACTTCACAGCCTCTAGGATAGCTATACTTTTTTTAAATGGAAAATTAACAAGTGCTGGTGAGAAATCAGAACTTGTACATTGCTGGTTATAACGTAATATGGTTCAGCTGCTGTGGAAAACAGTTTGGCAATCTCTCAAATGATTAAACACACAATTACCATACGACCCTTAAGTTCATTGCTGTGTATACACCCCAGAGAATTAAAAATCGGAACTCAACAAAAAATAACAGATGCTAGTGAGGTTGCAGAGAAAAGGGAACCCTTATACACCATTGGTGGAGTGTAAATTCATTCAACCCTTATGAAAAGCGGTACGGCAATCCCTCAAACAGCTAAAAGCAGAACTGCCATTCGACCCAACAATCCAATTACTGGGAATATACCCAGAGGAATATAAATCATTCTGCCTTAAAGACAAATGCACACAAATGTTCATTGCAGCACTATTCACAATAGCAAAAACAAGGAATCAACCTAAATGCCCATCAATGACAAATTGGATAAAGCAAATGTGGTACGTATACACTATCAAATACTACGTAGCCATACAGAAAGAACAAGATCATGTCTTTTGCAGGAAGTGGATGGAGCTGGAGGCCATTATCCTCAGCAAACTAGTGCAGGAACAGAAAACCAAATACTGCATGTTCTCACTTATAAGTGGGAGCTAAATGATGAGAACTTGTGAATACAAAGAAGGAAACAACAGGCACTGAGGCGCACTTCAGGCAGGAGGGTGGGAGGAGAGAGAGGAGCAGAAAAGGTAACTGTTGGGTACTGGGTTTAATTCCTGGGTGATGAAATAATCTGTACAACAAACACTCCCATGACATGAGTTTATCTGTGTAACACGCCTTCACATGTACCCCCAAACCTAAAATAAAAGTATTAAAAAAGAAGAAAATAGGGACTCATAAATAAGTACATGTGCACACATGTTCATAGCAGCACTATTTACAATAATCAAAAGGTAGAAACAGCCCAAAAGTCCAGCAGGGGGAATGGATAAACATAATGTGGTATATTCACGGAACGGAATATTATTCAACCATGAAAAGGAATGAAGTATTGGATACCTGCTGCAATGTATGCTAAGTGAAGAAAACATGCTAAGTGAAAGCAGATAAAACATCACATACTGCATGATTCAATTTATACGAAATATCCAGAAAAGGTAAGAGTGCACCTAGGTGGTTTCCAGCGATTGCAGTTGCAGAGGGATGGGGGAAAACGGCTTAAAGGTATTTTTACTTCGGCATGATGAAAACATTTTAGAACTAAGATAGAGGTGCTGTTTGTAAGACATTATGAATCTACTTAGTGCTACTTTAAAATGGTTAATTTCATTATTTTAATTTCACCTCAACAAATTATTTTTTTAAAAGATTCTCCATATTCTAAACAAATCAGATCTGTTCTGTGTAAACCACTGCCTTCTAAGAAAAGGGCATGGAGTGAGATGGGATTGAAGTTTAAGTGACAGAGGAATTTAGGGTGGTAAACTGCGGGGCTCTGCAGTCAGACCCCTGACTCTGTAGCTAACTAGCTCTGTGACATTAGGTAAGATATTTTATAGTGTAAGTATTTGTGTTCCCATATATAAAAAATAAGAACAATATCTAACTTCACTAGGGTGTTGTAAGGATTAAATGAGGGGAGTTACTTAATGCAATTTTGTACAGAGCCTGCTGACACATGGTAAATTTTAGCTCAACCTATTCTAACTGAATTTTTTTCTCCCTCCAATTTTAAGTTGTCCATTTCGCATTATAGTCCTAGTTATAGCTTTCATAAAGCCCAGTCAAAAATATTTCTGTCTCTTGGATTAATTAAGAGCAAGGCTGACTAGAAGCCCCTAGAGCTTGTCTCCATCACAGATGCCAGAAAGACTAAAAAAACACTACGTTTTAATGAGAGTAACTGAAGGAGAGTTCCAGAGAAACTCAGAGGAATAGCAGGAACCCTGATGAGCACAGAAACAGAACAGCCACAAAGAGAATGGAAGGAAATGCCAGGCCTTCACCACTCCATCCCCAAATTGAGATAAGCTAGGAACAAAGAGGAACTTCTTCATACAGTGAGGAGGTAAGCAAGAGAACACCAGCAACCCCGATCAACACCTTGGACATCCACAGACCTCACCATGGCAGAGGTGCCCTACGGTCCTCACAGGCACTACCTAAGCCCACCTGAAGGAGCTGTCTAGAGTTCACAAAGCTGTGCTCCCTTCAGAGAAGTAGCTAACACTATGTTCTCCTCTGTGGCCCACATGTCTACTGTGCTATACCATCTTGCAGCTAGACCTACGGCTGGAGTGTGTCGTGCTCAGGGTTCAAGTAGGCACAGGTCCCCTTCATCCCTGAGGCTAAACTGCCACCAAAACACCCCCAGCCTAGTGACTGAACATCCCCAAGGTGAGCTATAAGCATCTCTTACACACTTCTCCTGGGGCCAAGTGGAGGTGGAGCTGATCCACCTACTCTTCCCCTAACTCCTCAGGCCAGATCTGAAACAGTACCCTGCCTCCAAGAAAACAATACCTTAGTCACTTTGAGCAGTCATGCCTCCCTGTGCCTAAGTTTTAGCAGTGCCCTGTATCCCAGAAAATGGTCTCTGGGCCACCTGGGGAATCAGTGCCCTGGCCAAGCTGAGCTAAACTGCTGTAGTACCTTGCATCACAGAGAGGCAAAACCGTGGCTGAACTGAGACAGTCTGCCCTACAGGCCAAACAACTCTAGTATCCTAATTCCCTGGAGAGCTGGACTAGCCACCAAGAGCGGGAGCTGCTGAGACACCCCTCTCCCTGGAAAGTAAAATCATCACAGTGCTGTTTCCTGCCTAACAGGGCCCAAAGGACAGCTGTGCTCCACTATTCAGGGTACTTGCTACTGCTACACCTGGCCTCACAGAATCTGGAATACTGCTGACTCCACCATCACAAGGTCTAGAGTCACTACTACTGCCACTACAACAACTATTACTACTACAACTACAACAACTACAACAACTACTACTACTACTACAGCTACAACAACTACTACTACTACTACTACTACTACTACCACCACTACTACTACTACAATGGGACCCACATTGCCACTGATACCTATTGGCTTGGGTTCCTGAATTGCAGCACTACCCTGCTCCCTAGGCCCAAACATCCAGAGCACCCCTTCTTCTCCAGAGTTGGTCCAGTGCTGCTCCCTGGCCACTAGGGATAGAATCACAGCTACAACCCAAATCCCTGTAACCAAGCTGCTAGGGGGTACCTCAGAGTCACAGATCCTGGCTCTTTGGGCAACCTGCATTCAACCTCACCACAGAGAATAAACAGGCACCCCAAGACCCAAGTGCCACACATAGTTCATGAAACCTTGAGCCTAGGACCCTAGCACCATAGCCATTTGGAGCACCTAAACCTGGAACCCAGCACTGCTATAGCTACTTATAGGCCATGTCAGACCTGAATCCAGAAAGGATACTCTTGTCTAAATCTCCCCAGTGTGTGGAAAATGAGAATGAAGAAAACCCCCAAAGCCTTTGATATGGAGGTTATTAACAACTTATGCCATCATCACTACCACAAACTTGTATGGCCTAGGCAACTGAGGTACTCACAGCTACTGCTGATATTGAATGCAGCCAAAGAAGCTGAATGAGGCCATACCACTTCAACTATCTTGAAAAAGAGTCACTGCACCCTTCTCAACTGGCACACTAAAACTCAGATGCACGTGAAAGTCTTTCTCTACAAAAGCAAGAGAAAAGCATCAAGTCACATATAAGGGCATCTCCATTAGACTAGTAGTGGATTTCTCTGCAGAAGTCTTACAGGCCAGGAGAAAATGAGATGATATAATTCAACGTGCTAAAAAAAAAAAAAAAAAAAAAGAAAATTCAGTCAAGAATGCTATTCCCAGCAAAGCAATCCTTCATAAATGAGGGAGAAATAAAGTCTGCCTAAAGCAAGCAAAAACTGAGGGAGTCCATCAGTGCTAGACTGGCCTTACAAGAAATGGTTAAGGAAGTCCTACATCTGGAAGTAAAAAGATGATGATCACTATTACAGAGACATATACAAGTATAAAGATCACTGGTAGAGCAGATATACAACAAAAGGAATAATAATCAAATCGTATCACTATAGAAATGACCAAACTGCAACGATAAACAATAAGGCAGAAATAAATGAACAAAGGATATACAAAACAACAAGAAAATAATTAACAAAATGACAGGAGTAAGTCCTCACCTATCAGTAATACCTTGAATGTAAACAGATTAAATTCCTCACATAAAAGACTTAGGCTAGCAGAATGGATTGAAAAAAAAAAAAAAAAATTACCCAACTGGATGCTGCCTACAAGTAACTGACTTCACCTGTAAAGACACTTGTGTGATTACATAGACTGAAAGTGAAGGAACAGAAAAAGATATTCCATGTGAACCAAAACCAAAAGTGAATTAGAGTAGCTATACATATCAAATGAAACAGACTTCAAGTCAAAAACTGTAAAAAGAGACCAAAAAGGTCATTATGTAATGATAAAGGGTCCAATTGAGCCAGAGGATATAACAATTGTGAATATATATTCACCCAACATCAGAGCACCCAGATATATAAAAACCAAATATTATTAAATCTAAAGGGTGAGATAGACTTCAATATAGTAATAGTTGGGGACTTCCAACACTCACTCTCTGCATTAGACAGATATCTATATATATACATATATATATATATATATATACAGAAACCAACAAAGAAACATTTAACAGGAAATGAATCTGAGACCAGACAGACCTAACAGACATTTCTAGAACATTTCATCCAATAGCTGCAGAATACACATGCTTTTCATCAGTAAATTCTGCACATGGACTGTTCTTGGGGACAGACCACATGTTCATCCACACAATTAAGTTTCAACAAATTTAAATGAACTGAAATCATGGTAAGTATCTTCTCTTAATCACAATGGAATAAAACTAGAAATCGATAACAAGAGTAACTTTTGAAATTACACAAATACATGGAAATTAAACAACATGCTCCTGAATGAGAAGTCAAATGAAAAAATTAAAACGATAATTTAAAAATTTCTGGAAACAAATGAAAACAGCAACATTTGAAAACCTATGCGATACAACAAAGCCATTTTAAGAGGAAAACTTACAGCAATAAATACCTGTATCCGAAAAGTGGAAATAAAATTAAAAACCTAACGATGCATATCAAGGAACTAGAAAAGTAAGCGCAAACCATGACCAAAATTAGTAGAAGAAAAACATAATGAAGATCAGAGCAGAAATAAAATGGGGACTATAAAAATACAGAAGATCAACAAAAGAAAAAGTTGGTTTTGTGAAAAGGTAAACAAAATTTGCAAACGGTTAGCTACACAAACCAAGAATAAAAGAGAAAAAGACTCAAATAAATAAAATCAGAAATGAAATAGGAGACTACCAGAGAAATATAAAGGATCATTACAGACTATTCTGAACAACTATACACCAAAAAATCAGAGAACCTAGCAGAAAGAAATAGACAAATTCCTGGACACATAAAACCTACCAAGATTGAACCAGTAAGAAATAGAAAACACGGGCCGGGCACGGTGGCTCACAGCTGTAATCCCAGCACTTTGAGAGGCAGAGGCGGGCGGATAATGAGGTCAGGAGATGGAGACCATCCTGGCTAACACGGTGAAACCCCATCTCTACTAAAAATACAAAAAAGTTAGCTGGGCATCATGACAGGTGCCCGTAGTCCCAGCTACTCAGGAGTCTGAGGCAGGAGACTGGCATGAACCCGGAAGGAGGAGTTTGCAGTGAGCCGAGATTGCACCACTGCACTCCAGCCTGGGTGACAGAGAGAGACTCCCTCTCAAAAAAAAAAAAAAAAAAAAAAAAAAAAAAAGAAATAGAAAACCTGAACAGACCAATTATGAGTAAGAAGATTGAATCTGTAATAAACAGCCTCCCATCAAATAACTGAGGAACTGAGGGCTTCAATGCTGAATTACACCACAAATTTAAATAAATAATAGCAATTCTTCTCAAACCCTTCCAGAAAGTTGAAGAGAATTCTTCAAAGTTCATTATTTGAGGTCAGCATTACTCTGATACCAAATCCAGACAAGGACACAACAAAAAAAGAAAACTATAGACCAGTATCTCTGATTAACAGAAACGCAAAAAACCTCAACCAAATACTAAGAAACTGAAACCAACAGCACATTAAAAAGATCATTCCCCATGACCAAGTGGGATTTATCCCAGGGATGCAAGGGATTCATCCCAGTAGAGCAGATATACAAGGGAGAAAGGAAAAACAATCAAACTTTATCACTACAGGAAAATACTAAACTGCAATGATAAACAATAAGAAAGAAATCAACAAAGGTTATAGAAACCAACCAGAAAATAATTAACAAAATGACAGGATGTTTCCACATATGCAAACCAACTTAAATATGATACATCGCATTGACAGAGTGAAGAACAAAAACCATGTGATCATCTCAATAGATGCAGAAAAAACATTTGATAAAATTCAACAGGGCTTCATGATAAAAACTCTCCACAAGTCAGACGTAAAAGGAATATATCTGAACACAATAAAGGCCATATATAATAAACCCACAACCAACATCATACTGAACAGGGAAAAATTCAAAGGATTTCCTCTAACATACGGAAGAGACAAAAATATCCACTTCACAACTTTTATTCAGCATAGTACCAGAAGTTCTAGCCACAGCAATTAGGCAAGGGAAAAAAAAGAGCATCCAGATTGGAAAGGAAGAAGTCAAATTGTCCCTGTTTGCAGATATAAAACCTTTAAAACTCCACCAAAAAACTTTCAGTAGTCATAAATGAATTCAGTAAATTTGTTTGCAGACACAAAACCCTTAAAACTCCACCAAAAAAACTTTCAGAAGTGATAAGTGAATTCAGTAAATTTGCAGTACACAAAATTAATATACAAAAACCACTAGACTTTCTGTGTACCAACAAGCAGCCAGCAGGAAAAAATAATCAAGAAAGCAATCCCGTTTATAATAGGTATAAAAAATAAAATAAAGTATCTAGGAATAAATTTAACCAATGAGATAAAAACCTCTACAAGGAAAACTATTAAAAAACTTACAAAATAAATTAAAGATTACACAAAAAAGTAGAAAGACACCCCAACCCCATGTTCACAGGTTGGAAGAATTAATATTGTTAAAATAACCAATTCTGCCAAAAGTGATCTACAGATTTCATGCAATCCCCGTGAAAATGCCAAATACTTCTTCATAGAAATTAGAAAAAAAAATCATAAAATTCTATGGAACCACAAAAGACTCCAAGTAGCGAAAGCAATACTGAGTCAAAAGAATAAAGCTGAAGGCATCACGCTAGCGAATTTCAAAATGTACTGCAAAACTGTAGTAGTAACAAAAACAGCATGGCATGTTGAAGAGATCTCTGCACTCTCACGTTTATTGCAGTACTGTTCACAATATCCAAGATTTGGAACCAGCCTAAGTATCCGTCAACAGATGAATGCATAAAGAAAATGTGGTACATCTACACAATGGAGTACTATTGAGCCGTTAAAAAGGATGAGGTCCGGTCATTTGCAGCAACACGGATGGAACCAAGGACATTATTTTAAGTGAAATAAACCAGGCACAGAAAGACAAATGTCTTTATTCTCACTCATATGTGGGAGCCAAAATAATTGATCTCATGGAGGTAAAGTGTAGAACAGTAGTTAACAGAGGCTATAGAGAGTGAGTGTTGGGGTTGGGGGACGGGAATTAAGGGAGGTTGTTTACTGGATACAAAAATACAGTTAGAAGGAATAAGTTCTAGTGTTTGACAGCACAGGAGGGTGACTATAGTTAACAATAATTTATTGTGTAGTTCCAAATAGGTAGAAAATGCTCCCCACACAAAGAAATGATAAATGTTTGAGGTGATGGATATCCCAGTTACCCTGTTTTGATCACCACACATTGCATGGAAGCATGAAATTGTCACAGATATCCCATAAATGTGTATAATTATTATGTATTAGTAAAAATATTTCTGTATTTTGATTTGGAGAGTCTGCTATCTATGAGATAGTATAAAAAGCAATGGCCCAGATGTCAAGTCTCAGTTTCTTATTTATCTGAATCCCAGGGTGTGTAAATTTAAGAAAATCACACCTAAAACCTAGACATGTCTAGCACTTCAAAGGAGTTGACGAAGACCAAACGAAATCATATATACGAAGTAGCTCTGAAAACCCTAAAATCCTATACAAATTTCAGGGAGTATGCATGTGATGAGAAGAATGGGATATGAAATCCTGCCTGCCACCTCCAGCATTTCATGAAGGAAAAACAGAAATTGTGCTTAGGGAATGCTGGCCTATGTACCATTATTTCACTCATTTGTTAGTGTTCTACTCATTCAAGGCCCTCTCAGAAAAAAGGGAACTATTCTAGAAAATATCCTGAAGAGCCTAGCATAATGAGCTGTTTCCTACTACCAAAGAAGATACGCAAAAGACTACATTTCAGGACACAGTCATTCACCAAACCATGGCTGCTCTATACACAGACCACGTGGGAAGTTCTAGTTACTGAAATGTAAAGGCTGCAGAAAACTTAGGTGGGTTTGAGTGGGATGCAGGTGGGTAGATCTGTGGATGGGAAGCTAACCACATTGATGTGTTGCCCCAAATAATCTCATAGTAACACTATAAAGTAGATACTAGTATTGTTGTTTTACAGAGGAGGAAACCAAGACTCAGTGAGAAGCTCGTCCAAGCTTACTCAGGAAGTATTTGGGGCTGGGATTTAAAGTTCACTCTTTTTTATGACATTCTAGTACCTAAGTGATCAGAGGCATTTAACAATGTTCGTAGGAGCATAGTTTGTAACAGCAATCAACGAATCAACACAATTTACATTTAAAATTTTAAAACAAAAAATAAAAGTCAATTGTCCCCCAGCAAGGGAAATAACAAACCGTAAAATATTCAACTGATACAACTAAAAAGCAGTGAAAATAAATAGAATCTCCCAGTCAACACGGATGAGTCTAACAATGTGCCAAAAAAAAAAAAAAAAAAAAAATAGTTTCAGTATATGTTCTCTTAAAGTTCAAAATATTGTGAAAAGAAACATTTTATTCAGCAGATGATTAAACCAAAATTCAATTTAGGTGGTTTCTTCTTCTTGGGGAGGAAGAGGGTGTGATCAGGGAGGGCATATTTTTTAATTAATGAAATGTTCTATTTCTCAAGCCAACTTGGGTATTTATTATTCTTTAAATAAATATTTTTATACTTTTGAGTGAACTAAATGTGAAATTTTAAAACACAGACATATACAAAAAGAATATGGATATCAAATGCCTAAGGCTGTCTCTGGAACTTGATCTCAACATATTTTTTTGATATTGATCTGTTATTATCATTCTTGCTTAAAGGTGTTAAGAGGTATTAGTTAATTCCACAGCAGGAAAAGGAGCAATGACAGGCCATACTTTTCTAAAAACCATGGGTAATACTATTTGTAAAGTGTGTCAAGTGAGTCAAAGGCATAGTTCTTCACTCCAGGAGGCAAACACAGTGTCTCTGTCCCCAGGATATCCACTCTGCCCTTTCCCACTCGAGCCTAGTCCCTCACCCTTGGCTTGCCTGCTCTTGGCCTTGGAATCCAGCTTTGCCTCTGTAGTCACTCCCTCCTGTCACTGATTTCTGGCCACAAGTCTTGGTTTTCAAACTTTCTATTCAATCTATTTCAGCCCATTCATGAGTCACTCTTGCCTGTGGACAGCTGGCATTCCCAGGCACGGGCTTGGCAGGGAAAGATGAATTCGGTGAATTAAGCCAACGGAATCCTTTATGAAAGTCATAGTTGACCTGACAGGGCTGTTTCTATCCTAAATCCAGGGGTAGCTTGAGATGATCTAATGAGAGCTCCCCAGCTGAGGCCATATTTCTCAAAGTATGTTACGGTGGTCAGAATCACCTGGGGCACATGTTAAAAATGCAGATTACTGGGCCCATCCAGAGCATTAGAATAAGAGCATCTGAGAATGGGGCCCAGGATTTGGCTTCTGAAAAACACCCCTTATGATAGCTCTGATGCTCTTTGACTTCCCTGTAAAATTGGTATCTTGAGGAAACGTGCCCTATCGAATACTGCGCTGATCTAAACATGGACACAACTTTGGATGGTGAGCATATCGGTTTGTCAAAGACCCATCACCAACCAAAATGATGAGCAACAACCAAGTCATGTTCAGGAAAAAAAAAAAAAAAAAAAGTGCAGGTCACGCTTTCCTCAATATAGTGGGTTTACTGCTTAAACACTGTTCAGATTTTACTCACAGTGAAGCTGCTCCAACACCAGGTAGGGGATCAGCATAGGTAAAAACAAGGAGAAAAATGTCCTCTGCCTTTTAAATTACCTCTCTCCATTCTTATGGGCCTAGTCAGATTTATGGAGGGTGTGAAGGAGGCGGGAAGAGTCCTATCAAAATTTTTAAACAAATGTACAAGGGCAGAGGGGACACGTCCACTTAAACAGCTGGCCTGGCTGTATCATTATCAACTGCCTTTCTTCTGGAGTTTCATCTAAGATTGAGCCAGAATGGAGTGTGTCTCTATCCATGTTATTTTGGGCAAAGACAATAGATGTGATTAGAACCTTAGTGTATTTTTGTTATTCTATAAAAAGATCTGATTGAGGGTTATGAAACCTCCAATTTTCCAAAGTGCTTAAAATGTTACTATTGCTTCAAATTTATAAGGAGTGTTCATGACCTGAATATCCCAGTCATGCAAGTATTTGTTCTATTGTTAAAGACCTAGTGAACCGGTATCTTGAAGTTTCATGTGGAAAAGACCTAGTGAACCGGCATCTTGAAGTTTCATGTGGAATTCCTGGCATGCAGCATTAATGAAGGTGCACGTAAGATACAAAGCCTTGTCTTGGGAAAACGAACTACAGACTTAACTAGAGAACTGTTTCAGACCAGTTAAAAACGTAAAATACAGCGACCATAGAGTTTAATTGTACAGTGGTAGAGTGGTAGTTTCAACTTCTGTACCAAGAGACAATTTTTTTTTTTTTTTTTTTTTGCGTTTACTTAGGATTGGCCCACAGCTACATCCATACTGGACAGATGTTTTTAACTCTAAATGCAATGTTGAATTGTCTATTATTTCTTTGCTATGCAGATTATCTTTCATGAGCATTCAAAAACATGTTTATAGTTTGAACTTCTTATGTCTATTGTTTTCTACTACAAAATGTACTGTCTACAGATGGAAAGTTCTGTCTTTGGTGAGTGGCAAGGAATTGCTCACAACAATCAGTTACATACAGAGACATACTACACATGTTGGGAAGGGATAGATTACACTTATCAAAATATGTACAGGAGCAATCCTTATCTAGGGATTCCAAATGATCATACTCAATAGCTGGCCCATTCACAAGACTTGGTCAATGTAAAATACTGCTACTTTTTTCTCCCTTATGTTTCCCCACTTTCTCTATTGGCATCTTTGTGAAAGCAAGGTGGCACGCTGCCTTATCGTTGCTGCTCCTCATTACCCTCAACTGACAGCAAGGAAAGCAGGCAAGGCGATTAAGCAATGTGGCAGCCCATTTTTATCAGTTTACCTTTAAAAAAAAGCCAAGAAAAATTTAGTGAAGAGGGGGCTAGAGGTGCTTTATAACGAGAGGGAAATGCTGTGGAGTATTTATTTTTAAGAGTCAATGACTTCCTTGCCAGACAGGTACTACCAATTCTGAAGTTATTTTGAATTAAAGGTAATCTGATTTTAGAAAAAGAAAAAAACCAACATGCAGAATACACTTAAGGAGGTGACCAACCTTTTTAGAGCTGCTTGATTTCACCATAACTTGAACTTTTTACAAAAAAGTGCTTAACTGTTATTTTTCAATTCCAAAGATTTTTGTGGTAATAATTTAATAGGAAACTAGAAACAAGCTGGTGTAAAGCAACTATCTTAAACCATATGTAGTCTAGTTTTGGGGTCTGAAAATACTGAAAACCTACTAGCTTGATCAGCTAGAACCAAATATTCTGGATAATCGTTAGTATGTACATAACCATAAATATATGCATATATAGACACATATGTACACATATATACACATAGGCACATAAAAGAATTACTAATTTTTTGCCTATTATTGGACACTAAACATCACAATTTAATCTTTGGTGATGCAGAAAGCACTGTTTGCTATCCTGCGTATCCTTGGAGTCAACTTTCTGGTTATGAATCAGCAAGCTTACTAACTAATGAAATACAGGAGTGTCTGAGGAGTTTCCTCTCCACTGGACTCAGCTTATAGAACTGAGTACTAACACTAAAGCTAGAAGAAGCGGTACTGATTTTTTTTTTTTATGGTATCCACAGGAAGTACCTGCAATATAAAAAAATTAAGCTCCCTTAGGCAACTGCAATACCCCGAAATAAATGATCTAGAGACTAGGCCCAAAGTGTACAGTAGACAAAATGCTTCATAGGGTCCAAAATGTGAGGGACCTTAGCCGTGAGATAGCAGAGTCGGATGTGTTCATCAGCATTCCTAGTCTGCACTGCTGTTGATGCACCTCTTAAACTTATCTTTGTACCTACATTTGCTTTTATGGGCTAACTCAGACAGATTAGTATACTGAACTTTATACTTCTGCATTTTAAGAATCTAAAGCTTGTTATACGAATTTAAACCTTGTTACACAGTTCCCACGCAACTCCCCACCATTTTACATTATTACATCGGAAAGCCAAAAACACATTTGAAGAAAAAAAGTTTATTTTTATTCATTTATGCAAAGACAGTATCAGCAATAGGTAGTAGGAACATTTTTCTCAGTTTAGAATTAATTTTCCATTTTGAAAGGGACTTAATATCTTCTTTACCTTACTCTATTAAATACTTCAACAAAGACAAAAATTTATTCCTTTACTTTTCCTTAAGGTCATATCGGAATAATTAGAATTAACTCTTTAGAATGTAGGTATCATTTACAGAAATCTGGAGATTTAATCACAGAATGATGTATGTCGGAATGTTAAAAGCACTAAAAAAACTATGGATAATTTTTTAATGGACAAAGTCATGGTGCTTTCAATTTCTGAGGTGTAATAAAGCCTTCTTGGGAATTCTAAAGTTTAAAGACTGTATCCTTCGGATTCCGAATGAAAATTTTGAGAAATCATAGACCCCAGTGGGCATTAGTAATATGGCCCATAGTAACGACATTAACTTAGAGTCTCCACGTTTTAGGGAAGAAGCCATTGAAAGAAGGGCCAGAAAGCCACTTTAAACACATGTCCATGGCAGATCAAATGATACTGATACAAATGTTTCCCTTAGAAAGGTATTATATCCCATTGCTACCATTCCACGGCTTGGCCTTTGAACTGCTCATACAGCTACTTCCATTCTTTACATCACCAGTTCTAAGAGCAAACCTCCTGAAAGACTAGTAAAAGAGGCTGGGAAAACAAGACTGTGAGTATAGCAAAAGGGCTCTGGTGCTCTAGCTGTGTGGTCACAATATAAAATGAGGACACTACCTAATCTAGAAACAACATGCCTCTTCTGGACATATTTTATTTTACAGAAGGAAATATAACAGGCTAAAAAACAAAAATAAAAATCTATTTATAGCAAGTAACTAATACTTCAATGTTTTTATAAAAACAATTCCTTTCAGATACTCCGATTAACCTTTGAGTGACATAAAAAAGCTGCAGCGTTCTTTAATACCAGTATTTTGCAAATTTCACATACAGCCATTAAGTTTAGCATTTCAAGGAACAATTTTTTTTATAAAAAAGAATGGTAACTCATTGAGAAGGTTATATACCCAGTAAAGTTTAGTTTGTCTTGGATTCTTTAAAAAATTAGGCCCAGAATTTTAGTTATCCTAACTACTATCCCAATCAAATTGGACATACATATGTGGATTCTAGATAAAAGATAAAATACTTTGAATAAACATTATGACTCACTGATTGGACTGTTTGCTTAGAATCTGTTTTACTGGGTTTGGATAAGACTTCAATAAAGCTAACTATACATTGAGTTCCACTGATTAAAAATGCAGTTTTAAAAATTCTGCTTTTGAGGTAAATTTCTAGATAAATCATAAATGCAAAGCTCAATACTGAAATATTGTACTGTTCACAGGTACTTCTTGGAGAAGTGAAATGCTTGTGTTCAGACTATCAAAATTGTTAGCTTTCAAATCAGGTTTTAAAAACTTTTTTGAAAGTCAGTATTTGCTTTTAAACACTTAAAATGCAAGTTTCAATTTTTTAAAAATCCTTGCAGATAAATCTTAACATTCTTTCAGTCTCGATTATTTGTTACTTTAAACTATATATTAAACACAGAACCAGGTTCTAAATAAACATCTAATGAAGAACAGTTTCAGTGTTAAGATAAAACTAGAGAGTCTAATAATACAAGTTATACAGAAAGTTTCAGTGTGATTTACCAAAATTCAGAATTTCTGTAATAGTGGAAAACTTTTAGCTTAATATTCAAAACCAGCAACTTCCCATGAAACTAGATAGCTGAGAGGATCCAACAGATTTAAATACTGCCAAACTTCTTCTAAAGCGATGCACTCTTTTACCCTGGAAAAGACAGAAATAGTCCTTTTATTTTACTGAAAATTTCTGATGACTACTATGGATCTGAAAGTTGTCAAAACTTAAACCATTTGTTTTGGGTTTAAACATTATAAATAATGAGAAAAAAAGATGATTCTTTTCAGGAAGCATATTTGAACACTGGGATAACAAATGTACCAAGATGGCTAGTTTTATTAAACAGTTAAAAAAAGAAATCAATAATTAAATAAAACAAATTCCAGTAAACTGAGAAATAAAAGGACTTAAACTCAGTATCATTTTATGTACTTCTTAGTTAATAATTTTGCAGTAATGTCCCAAAGACAGCTGGTAGAAAATGTAATTGTAAAGAATACTTTTTTCACTAATTGAACTGCATTTAATACCAACTACAGCTTGCGAACTGCTCTCCAATCTGAAATTTCGTGTTTTTAGATTAAAATATGTAAGTTTTGGCATTTGAAGAACATATCATTAACCTGTGAAGACATATCATTCTTTAGAAAGGAAGATAAAACTTTAAAATACATGCAAAACTTTCTTTTCACTCTATGTTGCCTGCAGACGTGCAGAGAGAAGTGAGAGGTCTTACAAGGAGGAATGGGAATGAGTGAACGAGTAATAACATTTCCTTTTCTACAAAGCTGTGCCCTTTTTTTAAGACTTCAGTTTCATTTTCATATAAATAAAAGTGGCTTCTGGAAGTTACCTCATCTGTCAAAAGAGTGATAATCAATTTAGGTTAAAATCTAGAAAACTGGTCACCAACATGTATATTCAGAGGTCATGTAGGAAACAAGATTGTGAAAGGGCTAGATAACTAAGACAATGAAGAGAAATCGGCTATGGAAATTGTAAATACATTCAAAAATATCTCAGGCATTCTAATTCAATATAACAACGTGCAGTCAATTAAAATAGGTCTAAATGTCAGACAACTGCAGGATGCCAACTTCTGATTCCTCTCCCAAATAAGCAGAAAACTCTGGAAGTTTCAAAGCGAGTCTTTTGTCTACCACCAGGTGAGAACTCAAGTTTAAAAAAATATTTTCTGGGCTGGACATGGTGGCATACGCCTGTAATCCCAGCACTTTGGGAGGCTGAGGCAGGAGGATCACTTGAGCCCAGGAGTTCAAGACGAGCCAGGGCAATATAGTAAGATTCTCTCTTAAAAAAAAATCTTTTGGCTGGGCACGGTGGCTCACACCTGTAATCCCAGCAATTTGGGAGGCCGAGGCGGGCAGATCACAAGGTCAGGAGATCGAGACCATCCTGGCTAACACGATGAAACCCCATCTCTACTAAAAACACAAAAAATTAGCTGGGCGTGGTGGCAGGCACCTGTAGTCCCAGCCACTCGGGAGGCTGAGGCAGGAGAATGGCATGAACCTGGGAGGCAGAACTTGCAGTGAGCCAAGATCGCACCACTGCACTCCAACCTGGGTGACACAGTGGGACTCTGTCTCAAAAAAAAAAAAAAAAAATTTCTTTTTAACTAGCTAAGTGTGGTGGTGCACGTCTGTCGTCCTATTTGGGACGCTGAGGCAGAAGGATCCCTTGAGTGCAGGAGTTTGAGGTTGTAGTAAGCTGTGATTGCGACACTGCACTCCAGCCTGGATGACCAAATGAGGTCACCTCAAAAAAAAAAAAAAGAAAGAAAGAAAGAAACACAAAAAACTATCTTCTGCTTTGAAAATCACTTAAGTACTACTGTAGACACCAATGTAATCAGAATTTTCGGCAAGATAAGCTGATGTACAATTCCAGTTCTTTCTTTTCTAAATTGTACTATCTATATAGAACGAAGCAACAAGAGAACAAATGTCAAATTTAAATATATTTACTCCATGTTGCAAAGATGTTAAGAACTTAATTCTGCTATCTGGCTCTACTCTTCTACATTATACAGAAGATTCATAATATAACCCTTTAAAAAGGCTTAGGCTTCATCCCATATCCATTCACAGACAAAAATAAGCTAGTTCTGTTGTAAGACACAAAGTGATGGTTAAACATTTTCTTTTGAATGTAAAGTGTGTAGCCAGTTTTGACAAATCTGGCAGTTCCACTAAAGGTTAAATATGACTTAGCAATTCCATTCCCAAGTATATACGCAAGAGAGGTAAGCACGTATGTCCCCACAGTAACTTGTACATGAATGTTCACAGCATTAGTTATAACAGCTAAAAAGTGGAAATAATCCAAATGTCTTTAACAGATGAATGCATAAACAGAATAAGGTAATATCTACAAATAAAAAGAAATGATTAAGTTCTGATACGTGCTAGAATATTGATGAACCTTACAAACATTATGCTGAGTGAAAAAATCCAGTCACAAAATGCCACATCATTATGTATGATTCCATATACAAGAAATCTCCAGGACAGGAAAATCCTTAGAGGAAAAAAGTAAATTAGTGTTTGCCTAGGGATACACACAAGTTCCAGGAAAATAGCAGGTGACTGCTAAGGTACGGGGGTGATTTTTGAGGTGATTTAAATATTCTAAAATTGATTGTGGACATGGTTGCACAACTTTGAATATATGAAAAAACAGTGAAGTGCACATTTTAAATACATAAATTGTATTACTGGTATTATTTTAATAAAATTGTTATTTAAAAAACACCTTCCCTTTATTAACCATAATATTTTTCTCCCACCGGACTGACCAAGTTAGTTCTTTTTCGTATTTATAGACTTAGAACCACAGGGACCCAGAAACCTTTAGTCCTGTACCTTCTCATTTTAGACTTGTAAGAATTAGAGCCTTAATAAAAGATTTATCTATCCAACATGGATAGAAAGTGGGATCAGAAGTCAGATCTTTCTGGAATTCAACTAGCCACATTCTCTTCCGCTTCACCAACTCTGAATCAACCTCTCTTTCTACTCAACTTTTTACTGCTTCATTTTACCCCTTTTCTCCCTTCACACTGTTCAGGTGTATCATCTGAGTAAATCATTTCTTTTCTTCTCTTTAGTCCAATATGCATGTATTAAGTTCTACTTTTTTTTTTTTTTTTTTTTTTTTTTGAGACAAGGTCTCTCACTCTGTTGCCCAGGCTGGACTACAACGGCACAATCATGGCTCAGTGCAGCCTCAACTTCCCAGGCTCAAGCGATCCTCCTGCCTCAGACTCCTCTGGAGTAGTTGGCACTACAGGCATGTACCATCACAACTGGCTGATTTTTGTATTTTTTTGTAGAGATGGTGTTTTGCCTTGTTACCCAGGGTGGCCTCGAACTCCTGAGCTCAAGCAATCCACCCACCTCAGCCCCCCAAAGTGTTGGGATTACAGGCGTGAGCCTCTGCACCCAGCCAAGATCTCCTTTCTGTATCTAAAATTTTATTTTACTATTTGGTCAAGGTAGTCAACTAACTCTCTTCTCTAGTAAACCCTTTCAATTACAAATTTCTGCTGCAGGATTCTTCCCTAAATTTGACTACATTATATCAAGGCTCGGCAGCAGAAAATATACTGCCAGGTAAAACCCACACTGGTTTACTGGGTTACAGTCAAATGCCAACAGTTCAATTAAATGTTCTAGGCCGGGCACGGTGGCTCATGCCTGTAATCCCAGCACTTTGGGAGGCTGAGGCAGGTGGATCACGAGGTCAGGAGATCGAGACCATCCTGGCTAACACGGTGAAACCCCGTCTCTACTAAAAATACAAAAAATTAGCTGGGCGTGGTGGTGGGCGCCTGTAGTCCCAGCTACTCGGAAGGCTGAGGCAGGAGAATGGCGTTAAGTAAACCTGGGAGGTGGAGCTTGCAGTGAGCCTAGATGGGGCCACTCACTGCACTCCAGCCTGGGCGACAGAGGAGACTCCGTCTCAAAACAAAAAAAAAAGAAAAAAAATTCCTCTAAGAAAGCCCAAAATACATGTGCCACAAGGAAAACAGCTAACTTGAGAGGGAACAAGTGTGCTTTTTAATTATGCATGCCATTCCTTTCATACCTTGAAGCAGTCATCTTGAGTAACAACGGAATTTATCAGTCTCTTCTCTGGATTAAACAGACAAGATACCACCATTTGTATGCTTCGGTCCACAGATTTCTGAAACACAGAAGTTTTCAGTAATGTAAAGACAACTCTTTCTTTCACTCACTCTTAATAAGGGTGTGTTTTGGTTTTTCTTTTGATGGTTTAATGAACATATCAGTTTATTTCCAAAGAAATGCAAAAATGCTAAAAGAGGCTGGGAGCAGTGGCTCACACCTCTAATCCCAGCACTTTGGGAGGCCGAGGAGGACGCATCACCTGATATCAGGAGTTCAAGACTATCCTGGCCAACATGGCGAAACCCCTTCTCCACTAAAAAATACAAAAATTAGCTGGGTGACGGGTGCCTGTAATTCCACCTATTGGGGAGGCTGAGGCAGGGAGAATTACTGGAACCTAGGAGACAGAAGTTGCAGTGAGCCGAGATCACACCACTGCACTTCCAGCCTGGGCGACACCGCAAGACCCTGTCTCAAAAAAAAAAAGAAATTCATAAAAATGTGATTCATAATTCCTGCCACATATCCTCAGTATGTACGTTTTCTGACAAATCGAAGAATTATTTTAGAACCTTAGCGATAGAATACTGGTTTAAAAAGCTGAATTTGTTAAATCCCTAAGTGAATTCCAATGTTTCAAGAAAACATACTCAGAACAAAACCAGACAATTATACTGTAAGAGTTATGTTTTCATATTTATTCACATTTTAAAATCCAATATCAAATCAAGGAATTTACACTGCAATGGGACTTCTTGGGTATTATACATATTACCAGCACATCAACTACTTCCACACGCCCACCTATCTAACAGAACATATGTGACGCCAGGAGTGACAGTACTGTTATTACAGAAATTTGCACTAATGATAAAAAAAAGAAACAACCCTGTCTATTTCAGTGTTTGAATAATTACTACTGACTTCACCACTGTTGGAAACTTCTGCCACATATAATGTTATGGAGAGAATGCTTATTTAAATGGTATTTTTCACTGCTTAAGATCAAAACTGTTGTAAAAGAAAAGGGACATACAATTCGTACTAATTCTTCTTTTGAGTAGAATTCTAGAGGAAACCCTCCCATAGCATTCTGCCAAATCATATTAATACAGTATTTATTAAAGAATGGCTTTTTAAAATTAGTGAAACTGAAATACAGGAAAGGACTTGCTGAATCAGAAACTTTAGGTATATACTGAAAATTTGGGGTATCTGAAATTTCAACAACCTTTACATTAACTGCTGACTATCAGTCCATTATTTAAGCTCCATGATTTATGGCTAACATTTTTAAATTTGGGCAAAAATGTTTGCTTCTCAAAAAAAGTCATTCAAATTAGAAAAAAATATGAAATATATATTGTAAAAAAAATTCAAAATTAGATGTTTGCCTTTTGTGGGCCATTTCCAGAGGGTGGGGTAGCTTCATGAATTGAGCATTCATTTAGCACAACATCACCTCCTGTATCAACTTCACTACAGTGACAGTTAAGAGCTGAATAAGCCTATATTTAAAATAATGAAAGTGTAATTAAACAGATAATACAGATACGTTTAAAAGCTACTTATTTATTCCTCAAAAAGGTGAGCTGGTATCAAAAGTTTCAATGTAGGTTGTGTTGAAATTCAATTGTGTTACTTCAGAAACCTTGTTTTAAACGAAAAGTTGAAATGCATTAAGGCAGCCTTTTGTTTTAAAACGTCTTCCAGGTATCAACATAATCAGAGGTAGAAGGATTCTAAGAAACAAATGTAGTTAAGGGAGTGTTTGAGAATTTTAACACTTACTATATCCTTCAAATATCCAATCGTGATGTAAGACAGCAGCTCTGTTGTATTAGAGGTAATACTCTTGTTTTATTCCTATTCCTCTTTAAGAGTAATTAATAGCAAAACATTTCGGTTTCTCCTCAACAAATGTTTTATGGCTAGTAAAGCCAGAGGCATATTCTAGGCAGATACATGCTAATTCTAAAGCCAGTTAATACCGCCATTCCTGGATTATATAATCTATCAACAAGTAACTGAACACTTATCATTATGTGGACCAGCCACTGTTTCAGCACACAAAAATGTGAGAGACAAAAAGGCACTGTTGCTCCCATGGGAGTTTATAATTGGGTTAAAAATAAAGTAACAAAACATAAAACATTAATATAAAGAACCATTTAAAAATATCTACAGGCATATATGGCATAGAAAAAAGTCAAGAAAGATGAGGAAGTATACGTTTCACTAATTCACTTTACTCCATAACCCCTTTTGCTCCCCAACAGGCCACTGCGGTAGCACCTTAAAAAAATAAAAAGAAGGAAACCAAAACTATTAAAATATTCCTACACATTTTCAAAAACTCATGAGATACACAATATTGAAGCACTTATCATGCTGGCTCATTTGTTATTAAAGTGAAAGAAACAGAGTAAAAAAAAAAAAAGAAGTACTTTATGTTTCTAATCCCTGATGTTCTTGTTACTTTTATACATAAAACCTCGCCATTTTCCCAATTTTCTGGAGTTGGCATTGTGGAAATCTCAAGGATACTAGTTTTTTCAATTTATTACTTATCACCATAGATATGATTATGGGTCACAGATGTAGTCATATCTATGAAAAGAGGCCCAGAGAACTACTATCATGAAGCAGCAAGCTTAAAATAAAAATATAATTGGAATTCTGTGCTCTAAGAATGGGATGATAAAAAGATGAAAAAGATGAAAAAATACACGCTGAAATATAGAAGGGGACAACGAATCTCAGAAAACTGTTTTACAGAAAAGTTATTGCTAAGTATATCCCTGTCAAAATGTTAATTCATTACTTCTAAATAATACAGAGGGCTTCATTCTAGACCATTGCAAGTGTTTTCCTAAATTTTAGGTACATTTCACTAGTTTAAAATGACACACTATTTGGGAAATTCATATAAACAAGTTAAAGGCTTCAATAATATCTGAAAACAAATCATTTTACTCCCTCTTCAATTACCTGATAATTACATACAGGCAACTGACACCCAGTGGTGACCTGACCTGGTGAATTTGGATAAGTAGGATATGTCTGAAAGTAAGTTTACAGAAAGAATGAATATGGTAAAACATCTTTTTAAATTAGAAAAAAATATTATTCCCAAAATAAAAAAAATGAAAAACTTTAAAATATTTATTAATTTTCTATATAAAACAATGCAGAATTCTAAATGAATGAATGACTTCAGGAAGAAATAAATATTCTCTGTCAAGTGCTAAGCCCCTTTGGGTGGGGCGGGGGAACACACAAATGACAAAGTAGTGACTATTTCACCAGGCAAAGTTCACCTTACTGACACTGTGTACTTATGCCCACCCAGAAGTTGTTTCTTACACTGCTGGTAAGGCTCCATTAAGACAGATCTCAATGTAAGTTAAGTTAATACATTTGCTATTTCTTTGTCAATATACTTCCAGATAGTTTTGTGTTTGACAATATTACAGGGTAATATGTAGTTCTCCTACAGATGTTATGTTTTTTTTCTGTACTTCATTTCGAAAAACTAAGGGCAGTGTACAATCCAAAACTGGAGAAGGACAGTACGATGTCTTATATGTTTCGATAAATACTTATTGTTTGAAAACATATAGGAAGCAGCATACATGAATACACCCAAATTCAGTAATGGCTCACCGTAAATGTTAGAAACAAGTAGGGCTTTGTCTCTAGCCATTGTTCAGAGAAGAAAAAAGAAGAAGAGGTATATCCTACACATTTCAAGTACACAGAAAATGTCAATAAATGAGAGACACTGAAGAACTATTTCACTACTATTTTGTTACTTTATTTTCCATCAAAGAAAATGTCTTTTAAACTAACACATAAATAAAATGGACTAAGAAGAAAACAGACGTTATTTATCACCAATAAGTGATAGAGTATGTCAAATCCTACTTTAAATATCAAAGTAATCAGGATCAGAGAAATTACATGCCAGAAATTCACAGGATTTATAGGTACAGTAAAATAGGTCAGAAATCTATACATTCCAGACCGAGAATATATCCCGAAGTCAGCAGTTTATATGAGGAGTCAACTGGAAATCATTGCAAGTAAAGAAGAGCTAGATTAATCGCTATCCTTAAAGAATAAACTAGGCAGAAACATTAGAACAGCTGCTTTCAAATGTTTTCAGAACTAGGTATAATGGGGGAAAGAAGTTCAGGTATTTTAGAGGTAATACTCTTTTTTTATTCCTATTCTTATTTAAGAGTAATTAACAGCAAAACATTTCTGTTTCTCTTCAACAAATTTTTTGTGGCTGGTAAAACCAGAGGCAGACCCTACGCAGATACATGCTAATTCTAAAGTGACATTAATACTATCTTTCTTAGATTACACAGTCTATCAACAAGTAACTGAACACTTATTATGTGGACCAGCCACTCCTTAAGCACACAAAAACCTGAGAGAGAAAAAGGCACTGTTGCACCCATGGGAGATTGTAACTGGGTTAAAAAGAAAGTAACAAAATGTAACACATTAATATAAAGAATCATTTAAAATATTTATAAGGCATAAATGATATGGAAAATAATCCAGAAAGAACAGAAGTACATGGTAGGCTAATTCACTTTACCAGAGGTACAACCTACCTCCTTTGCTCCCCAACAGGGCACTGCGGTGGCATCTTAAAAAAAAAATAGGAAAACAAAATTATTCAAATATTCATAAACATTTTCAAAAACAAATGATATATAAAATATTGAAGTACCTATGCTGGCTCCTTTGTTATTATAATAAAAGAAAGACAATGGAAAAAAGAAGTACTTTATGGTTCTAATTCCTGACATTCTTGTTGTTACTTCCACATACAAATACGAAACCACACCTTTTCCCCAATTTTTGGATTTGGCATTGTGGAAATCTCAAAGATGTTACTACTTTGAACTTATTATGCTACATATGATTATTGGTCATAGATAGAGTCCTCTCTACTATGAAAAGAGAACCAGACAACAATTGTCGGGAAACAGCCTACTAAATGAAACTATAATTTGAATTATGTGCTCTAAGAATTGGGTAATAATTTTATTTACTCTATATCCCTAAAAAATTCATGAAAGTCATCCTGGAGGTTTCATTCAGCTATTTGACAGCAAAGATGAAAACTATATCCTGAAATATAGAAGGGTCAAATCTCAGAAAACTGTTCTACAGAAAAGTTATTGCCAAGTACATTCCTGTCAAAATATTACCTCATTACTTCTAAATCAGACAGAGGTCTTCATTCTACACTAATTCTAAGTGTTTCCTTAAATATTAGGTACACTTCACTAGTTTAAAATGACCAACTATTCAGGAAATTTGTATAAACAAGTTAAAGGCCTCAATAATACCTGAAAGCAAATCATTTCATTCCTTCTTACATTACCTGGTAATTGTATACATGGAACTGATATCCAGTGGTGACCTGAACTGCTGAATTTGGATAAGCAGGAAATGCCTGAAAAGAAAGGTGGCAGAAAAAAAAGAATATGGTAAACCATTTTTTAAAATTAGAAAGAAATATCATTCCCAATGTAACAAAAATATTAAAAACGTTAAAATATCATTTTTCTACATACAACAATGCAGAATTCTAAATGAATGACTGACTTTATGAAGAAAGAAATAGTCTATGTCATGTGCCACACTTTGGGTGTGAAGGGGGAACAAATGACAAAAGAATTGACTATTTCACCAAAGTTTACCTTATACTGTGTACTTATTCACACCCAGAAATTCTTTCTTACACCGGTGATAAGGCTCCATTAAGACAGATTGCAATGTAAGTTAAATTTATACATTTGCTATTTCAATGTCAGAATATTTCTAGACTGTTTTGTATCAGACAATATTAAAGGGTAATATGTAGTTCTATAGATATTAGTGCTATGTTTGTACTTCATTCCAAAAAACTAAGTGCAGTCTATAATCCAATACTGGAGAAGAGAAAGTATAATGTCTTATATGTTTCAATGAATTCTTATTGTTTGAAAACATACAGGTAGCAGCACACATGAATATGCCCTGATTCAGTAATGCCGCACAGTAAATGACAGAAACAAGTAGGGCTTTTTTTCCAGCCATTGTTCAGAGAAGGAAAAAGAAGAGGTATACCACACATGTTTCAAGTACATGGAAAACATCAACAAATTAGAGACACTGCAGAACTATTGGACTATTATTTTGTTACTTCATTTTCCGTCAAAGAAAATGTCTTTAAAGCTAACACATAAATAAAACGAACTAAGAAGAATATAAACGTCCTTTATCAACATTAAGTGATGGAGTATGTCAAAACCTACTTTAAATATCAGTGTAAGCAGGATCAGAGAAATTAGATGCAAGAAGCTCACGGGATTTATATACCTACTAAACCACATCAGAAATCTACCCATTCCCGAACCAGAATATATCCAGAAGTCAGCAATTTATATGAGGAGGCATCTGGAAATCATTTCAAATAAAGGGTAGCTAGATGAACTGTTAAACTTACCGAAGAATGAAGTAGGCAGACACATAAGGAGAGCTGCTTTCATTCACTTTAGGAACTGGTTATAAGGAGGAAAGCAGCTCTGGTGCTTTGGAGGTAATACTCTCGTTTACTCCTATTCTTATTTAAGCGCAATTAACAGCAAAGCATTTCTGTCTCTGTTCTACAAATTTTCTGTTGCTGGTAAAGCCAGAGGCAGAATCTACGCAGATGCATGCTAATTCAAAAGCCACATGAATACTACCTTTCTTTGATGATATGGTCTATCATTAAGTGGACCTGCCATTGCTTAAGCAAATAAAAACCTCAGGGCAAAAAAGGCACTGTTGCTCCCATGGGAGTTTATAATCGGGTTAACAAGAAAGTAAAAAAATAAACTAAAACATTGATATAAAAATCACTTAAAAATAGTAATAGGCATATACGACGTGGAAAAAAACCAAGAATGAACAGGAAGTCTATGTTTGGCTAATTCACTTAACATCAAGGAAAACATAATCCCTTTGCTCCCCAACAGGCCCCTATGGTGGCATCTTAAAAAAAAAAAAAAAAAGGAAACCAAAACTATTAAAATATTCCTACACATTTTCAAAAACACATGAGAAACACAATATTGAAGCACTTATCCTGCTGTCTCCTTTTTTATTATAATACAAGTAACAGAAAGGAAAACTTGAGTACTTTATGTTTCTAGTCCATGACATTCTTGTTACTTTTATATTAGAAACTTCACCCTTCTCCACATTTTCGGGAGTTGGCAATGTGGAAACCTCAAAGATACTAGCTCTTTCAGTTTATTACCATAGATATAATTATTGGGCATAGATGTACTTGTATCTGTGAAAAGAGACCCAGAGAATTGCTATCGTGAAACAGCCAGCTAAAATGAAAATATAGTTGGAATTCTGTGCTCTGCAAAGTGGGTCATAATTTTATTTCACTCTATCTCCCTAAGAAAATTCATGAAAGTCAGTTTGGATGTTTCATTCAGTTATTTGACAGTAAAGATGAAAACTACATCCAGAAATGAAGAATGGGACACCAAATCTCAGAAATCTGTTCTACAGGAAAGTTATTCCCAAGTATATTCCTGTCAAAATTCGACTTCATTACTTCTCAATAAGACAGAGGTCTTCATTCTACACTAATTCTAAGTGTTTCCTTAAATTTTAGGTACACTTCACTAGTTTAAAATGACCAACTATTCCGGAAATTTGTATAAACAAGTTAAAGGCCTCAATAATACCTGAAAGCAAATAATTTTACTCCTTCTTACATTACCTGATAATTATATACAGGCAACTGATATCCAGTGGTGACCTGAAATGGTGAACTTGGATAAGCAGGAAATGCCTGAAAAGAAAGGTTGGCAGAAAAAAATGAATATGGTAAACCACTTTTTAAAATTACAAAGAAATATAATTCCCAATATAACAACAATATTACAGAAGGGAAAATATCGTTTTTCTACATACAACAATGCAGAATTCCAAATGAATGACTGATTTATGAAGAAAGAAAGATTCCATGTCAAGTGCTACACTTTGGCTGTGAAGGGGGAAGAAATGACAAAAGAATTGACGACTTCACCAAAGTTTACCTTATACTGTGTACGTATTCACACCCAGACGTTATTTCTTACACTGGTGATAAGGCTCCATTAAGAGAGATTGCAAGGTAAGTTAAATTAATACATTTGCTATTTCCCTGTCAGAATATTTCTACACTGTTTTTTATCAGACAATATTATAGGACAATGTGTAGTTGTACACGCGTTATGGCTTTGTCTGTACTTCATTCCGGAAAACTAAGTGCAGTCTATAATCCAATACTGGAGAAGAGAAAGTATAATGTCTTATATGTTTCAATGAATTCTTATTGTTTGAAAACATACAGGTAGCAGCATACATGAATACACCCAGATTCAGTAATGCCTCACAGTAAATGACAGAAAGAAGTAGGGTTTTTTTTCTAGCCATTGTTCAGAGAAGGAAAAAGAAGAGGTGTACCATACATGTTTCAAGTACATGGAAAATATCAACAAATTAGAGACACGGCAGAACTATTCGACTATTATTTTGTTACTTCACTTTCCGTCAAAGAAAATGTCTTTAAAGCTAACACATAAATAAAACGAACTAAGAAGAATATAAACGTCCTTTATCAACATTAAGTGATGGAGTATGTCAAAACCTACTTTAAATATCAGTGTAAGCAGGATCAGAGAAATTAGATGCAAGAAGCTCACGGGATTTATATACCTACTAAACCACATCAGAAATCTACCCATTCCCGAACCAGAATATATCCAGAAGTCAGCAATTTATATGAGGAGGCATCTGGAAATCATTTCAAATAAAGGGTAGCTAGATGAACTGTTAAACTTACCGAAGAATGAAGTAGGCAGACACATAAGGAGAGCTGCTTTCATTCACTTTAGGAACTGGTTATAAGGAGGAAAGCAGCTCTGGTGCTTTGGAGGTAATACTCTCGTTTACTCCTATTCTTATTTAAGCGCAATTAACAGCAAAGCATTTCTGTCTCTGTTCTACAAATTTTCTGTTGCTGGTAAAGCCAGAGGCAGAATCTACGCAGATGCATGCTAATTCAAAAGCCACATGAATACTACCTTTCTTTGATGATATGGTCTATCATTAAGTGGACCTGCCATTGCTTAAGCAAATAAAAACCTCAGGGCAAAAAAGGCACTGTTGCTCCCATGGGAGTTTATAATCGGGTTAACAAGAAAGTAAAAAAATAAACTAAAACATTGATATAAAAATCACTTAAAAATAGTAATAGGCATATACGACGTGGAAAAAAACCAAGAATGAACAGGAAGTCTATGTTTGGCTAATTCACTTAACATCAAGGAAAACATAATCCCTTTGCTCCCCAACAGGCCCCTATGGTGGCATCTTGAAAAAAAAAGGGGGGTGGGGGAGGAGCCAAGATGGCCGAATAGGAACAGCTCCAGTCTACAGCTCCCAGCGTGAGCGACGCCGAAGACGGGTGATTTCTGCATTTCCATCTGAGGTACCGGGTTCATCTCACTAGGGAGTGCCAGACAGTGGGCGCAGGTCAGTGGGTGGGCTCACCGCGTGCGAGCGGAAGCAGGGCGAGGCATTGCCTCACTTGGGACGCGCAAGCGGTCAGGGAGTTCCCTTCTGAGTCAAAGAAAGGGGTGACGGATGCCACCTGGAGAATCGGGTCACTCCCACCCGAATACTGCGCTTTTCCGACGGGCTTAAAAAACGGCACACCACTAGATTATATCCCGCACCTGGCTCGGAGGGTCCTACGCCCACGCAGTCTCACTGATTGCTAGCACAGCAGTCTGAGATCAAACTGCAAGGCGGCAACGAGGCTGGGGGAGGGGCGCCCGCCATTGCCCAGGCTTGATTAGGTAAACAAAGCCGCAGGGAAGCTCCAACTGGGTGGAGCCCACCACAGCTCAAGGAGGCCTGCCTGCCTCTGTAGGCTCCACCTCTAGGGGCAGGGCACAGACAAACAAAAAGACAGCAGTAACCTCTGCAGACTTAAATGACCCTGTCTGACAGCTTTGAAGAGAGCAGTGGTTCTCCCAGCACGCAGCTGGAGATCTGAGAACGGGCAGACTGCCTCCTCAAGTGGGTCCCTGACCCCTGACCCCCCGAGCAGCCTAACTGGGAGGCACCCCCCAGCAGGGGCACACTGACACCTCACACGGCAGGGTATTCCAACAGACCTGCAGCTGAGGGTCCTCTCAGTTAGAAGGAAAACTAACAAACAGAAAGGACATCCACACCAAAAACCCATCTGTACATCACCATCATCAAAGACCAAAAGTAGATAAAACCACAAAGAGGGGGAAAAAACAGAACAGAAAAACTGGAAACTCTAAAAAGCAGAGCACCTCTCCTCCTCCAAAGGAACGCAGTTCCTCACCAGCAACGGAACAAAGCTGGATGGAGAATGACTTTGACGAGCTGAGAGAAGAAGGCTTCAGACGATCAAATTACTCTGAGCTACGGGAGGACATTCAAACCAAAGGCAAAGAAGTTGAAAACTTTGGAAAAAAAAAATGTAGAAGAATGTATAACTAGAATAACCAATACAGAGAAGTGCTTAAAGGAGCTGATGGAGCTGAAAACCAAGGCTCAAGAACTACGTGAAGAATGCAGAAGCCTCAGGAGCTGATGCGATCAACTGGAAGAAAGGGTATCAGCAATGGAAGATGAAATGAATGAAATGAAGTGAGAAGGGAAGTTTGGAGAAAAAAGAATAAAACGAAATGAGCAAAGCCTCCAAGAAATATGGGACTATGTGAAAAGACCAAATCTACGTCTGCTTGGTGTACCTGAAAGTGATCGGGAGAATGGAACCAAGCTGGAAAACACTCTGCAGGATATTATCCAGGAGAACTTCCCCAATCTAGCAAGGCAGGCCAACGTTCAGATTCAGGAAATACAGAGAACACCACAAAGATACTCCTCGAGAAGAGCAACTCCAAGACACATAATTGTCAGATTCACCAAAGTTGAAATGAAGGAAAAAATGTTAAGGGCAGCCAGAGAGAAAGGTCGGGTTACCCTCAAAGGGAAGCCCATCAGACTAACAGTGGATCTCTCGGCAGAAACCCTACAAGCCAGAAGAGAGTGGGGGCCAATATTCAACATTCTTAAAGAAAATAATTTTCAACCCAGAATTTCATATCCAGCCAAACTAAGCTTCATAAGCGAAGGAGAAATAAAATACTTTACAGACAAGCAAATGCTGAGAGATTTTGTCACCACCAAGCCTGCCTTATAAGAGCTCCTGAAGGAAGCACTAAACATGGAAAGGAACAACCGGTACCAGCCGCTGCAAAATCATGCCAAAATGTAAAGACCATCGAGACTAGGAAGAAACTGCATCAACTAACAAGCAAAATAACCAGCTAACATCATAATGACAGGATCAAATTCATACATAACAATATTAACTTTAAATGTCAATGGACTAAATGCTCCAATTAAAAGACACAGACTGGCAAACTGGATAAAGAGTCAAGACCCATCAGTGTGCTGTATTCAGGAAACCCATCTCACGTGCAGAGACACACATAGGCTCAAAATAAAAGGATGCAGGAAGATCTACCAAGCAAATGGAAAACAAAAAAAGGCAGGGGTTGCAATCCTAGTCTCTGATAAAACAGACTTTAAACCAACAAAGATCGAAAGAGACAAAGAAGGCCATTACATAATGGTAAAGGGATCAATTCAACAAGAAGAGCTAACTATCCTAAATATATATGCACCCAATACAGGAGCACCAAGATTCATAAAGCAAGTCCTGAGTGACCTACAAAGAGACTTAGACTCCCACACATTAATAATGGGAGACTTTAACACCCCACTGTCAACATTAGACAGATCAACGAGACAGAAAGTCAACAAGGATACCCAGGAATTGAACTCAGCTCTGCACCAAGTGGACCTAATAGACATCTACAGAACTCTCCACCCCAAATCAACAGAATATACATTTTTTTTCAGCACCACACCACACCTATTCCAAAACTGACCACATACTGGGAAGTAAAGCTCTCCTCAGCGGATGTAAAAGAACAGAAATTATAACAAACTATCTCTCAGACCACAGTGCAATCAAACTAGAACTCAGGATTAAGAATCTCACTCAAAACCACTCAACTACATGGAAACTGAACAACCTGCTCCTGAATGACTACTGGGTACATAACAAAATGAAGGCAGAAATAAAGATGTTCTTTGAAACCAACGAGAACAAAGACACAACATACCGGAATCTCTGGGATGCATTCAAAGCAGTGTGTAGAGGGAAATTTATAGCACTAAATGCCCACAAGAGAAAGCAGGAAAGATCCAAAATTGACACCGTAACATCACAATTAAAAGAACTAGAAAAGCAAGAGCAAACACAGTCAAAAGCTAGCAGAAGGCAAGAAATAACTAAGATCAGAGCAGAACTGAAGGAAATAGAGACACAAAAAACCCTTCAAAAAATTAATGAATCCAGGAGCTGGTTTTTTGAAAGGATCAACAAAAGTGACAGACCGCTAGCAAGACTAATAAAGAAAAAAAGAGAGAAGAATCCAATAGACGCAATAAAAAATGATAAAGGGGATATCGCCACTGATCACACAGAAATACAAACTACCATCAGAGAATACTACAAACACCTCTACGCAAATAAACTAGAAAATCTAGAAGAAATGGATAAACTCCTCGACACATACACTCTCCCAAGACTAAACCAGGAAGAAGTTGAATCTCTGAATAGACCAATAACAGGAGCTGAAATTGTGGCAATAATCAATAGCTCACCAACCAAAAAGAGTCCAGGACCAGATGGATTCACAGCCGAATTCTACCAGAGGTACAAGGAGGAACTGGTACCATTCCTTCTGAAACTATTCCAATCAACAGAAAAAGACAGAATCCTCCCTAACTCATTTTATGAGGCCAGCATCATTCTGATACCAAAGCCAGGCAGAGACACAACCAAAAAAGAGAATTTTAGACCAATATCCTTGATGAACATTGATGCAAAAATCCTCAATAAAATACTGGCAAAACGAATCCAGCGGCACATCAAAAAGCTTATCCACCATGATCAAGTGGGCTTCATCGCTGGGATGCAAGGCTGGTTCAATATACGCAAATCAATAAATGTAATCCAGCATATAAACAGAACCAAAGACAAAAAACACATGATTATCTCAATAGATGCAGAAAAAGCCCTTGACAAAATTCAACAACCCTTCATGCTAAAAACTCTCAATAAATTAGGTATTGATGGGACGTATTTCAAAATAGTAAGAGCTATCTATGACAAACCCACAGCCAATATCATACTGAATGGGCAAAAACTGGAAGCATTCCCTTTGAAAACTGGCACAAGAGAGGGATGCCCTCTCTCACCACTCCTATTCAACATAGTGTTGGAAGTTCTGGCCAGGGCAATTAGGCAGGAGAAGGAAATAAAGGGTATTCAATTAGGAAAGGAGGAAGTCAAATTGTCCCTGTTTGCAGACAACATGATTATATATCTAGAAAACCCCATTGTCTCAGCCCAAAATCTCCTTAAGCTGATAAGCAACTTCAGCAAAGTCTCAGGATACAAAATCAATGTACAAAAATCACAAGCTTTCTTATACACCAACAACAGACAAACAGAGAGCCCAATCATGAGTGAACTCCCATTCACAATTGCTTCAAAGGGAATAAAATGCCTAGGAAATCAACTTACAAGGGATGTGAAGGACCTCTTCAAGGAGAACTACAAACCACTGCTCAAGGAAATAAAAGAGGATACAAACAAATGGAAGAACATTCCATGCTCATGAGTAGGAAGAATCAATATCGTGAAAATGGCCATACTGCCCAAGGTAATTTACAGATTCAATGCCATCCCCATCAAGCTACCAATGCCTTTCTTCACAGAATTGGAAAAAACTACTTTAAAGTTCACATGGAACCAAAAAAGAGCCCGCATTGCCAAGTCAATCCTAAGCCAAAAGAACAAAGCTGGAGGCATCACACTACCTGACTTCAAACTATACTACAAGGCTACAGTAACCAAAACAGCATGGTACTGGTACCAAAACAGAGATATAGATCAATGGAACAGAACAGAGCCCTCAGAAATAACGCCGCATATCTACAACTATCTGATCTTTGACAAACCTGAGAAAAACAAGCAATGGGGAAAGGATTCCCTATTTAATAAATGGTGCTGGGAAAACTGGCTAGCCATATGTAGAAAGCTGAAACTGGATCCCTTCCTTACACCTTATACAAAAATCAATTCAAGATGGATTAAAGACTTAAACGTTAGACGTAAAACCATAAAAACCCTAGAAGAAAACCTAGGCATTACCATTCAGGACATAGGCATAGGCGAGGACTTCACGTCTAAAACACCAAAAGCAATGGCAATAAAAGACAAAATTGACAAATGGGATCTAATTAAACTAAAGAGCTTCTGCACAGAAAAAGAAACTACCATCAGAGTGAACAGGCAACCTACAAAATGGGAGAAAATTTTCACAACCTACTCATCTGACAAAGGGCTAATATCCAGAATCTACAATGAGCTAAAACAAATTTACAAGAAAAAACAAACAACCTCATCAAAAAGTGGGTGAAGGACATGAACAGACACTTCTCAAAAGAAGACATTTATGCAGCCAAAAAACACATGAAAAAATGCTCATCATCACTGGCCATCAGAGAAATGCAAATCAAAACCACAGTGAGATACCATCTCACACCAGTTAGAATGGCAATCATTTAAAAGTCAGGAGACAACAGGTGCTGGAGAAGATGTGGAGAAACAGGAACACTTTTACACTGTTGGCGGGACTGTAAACTAGTTCAACCATTGTGGAAGTCAGTGTGGCGATTCCTCAGGGATCTAGAACTGGAAATAGCATTTGACCCAGCCATCCCATTACTGGGTGTATACACAAAGGACTATAAATCATGCTGCTATAAAGACACATGCACACGTATGTTTATTGCGGCATTATTCACAATAGCAAAGACTTGGAACCAACCCAAATGTCCAACAATGATAGACTGGATTAAGAAAATGTGGCACATATACACCATGGAATACTATGCCGCCATAAAAAATGATGACTTCATGTCCTTTGTAGGGACATGGATGAAATTGGAAATCATCATTCTCAGTAAACTATCGCAAGAACAAAAAACCAAACACCGCATATTCTCACTCATAGGTGGGAATTGAACAATGAGATCACATGGACACAGGAAGGGATATATCACACTCTGGGGACTGTTGTGGGGTGGGGGGAGGGGGGAGGGATAGCACTGGGAGATATACCTAATGCTAGATGAGGAGTTAGAGGGTGCAGAGCACCAGCATGGCACATGTATACATATGGAACTAACCTGCACAATGTGCACATGGACCCTAAAACTTAAAGCATAATTTAAAAAAAAAAAAGAATTGACTACTTCACCAAAGTTTACCTTATACTGTGTACTTATTCACACCCAGAAGTTATTTCTTACACTGGTGATAAGGCTCCATTAAGACAGATTGCAATGTAAGTTAAATTAATACATTTGCAATTTGCTGTAAGAATATTTCTAGACTGTTTTGTATCAGACAATATTATAGGGTAATATGTAGTTCTATAGATGTTATGGCTTTGTCTGTACTTCATTCCAAAAAACTAAGTGCAGTCTATAATCCAATACTGGAGAAGAGGAAGTATAATGTCTTATATGTTTCAATAAATGCTTATTGTTTGAAAACATACAGGCAGTAGCATACATGAATACACCCAGATTCAGTAATGGCTCACAGTAAATGACAGTAACAAGTAGAGCTTTTCTTCTACCCATTGTTCAGAGAAGGAAAAATAAGAGGTATACCATACATGTTTCAAGTACATGGAAAATATCAACAAATTAGAAACACTGCAGAACTATTTCACTATTATTTTGTTACTACATTTTCCATCAAAGAAAATGTCTTTTAAGCTAACACATCAATGAAATGAACTAAGAAGAATATAAACGTTATTTATCAACAGTAAGTGATAGAGTATGTCAAACCCTACTTTAAATATCAATGTCACCAGGATCAGAGAAATTAGATGCCAGAAACTCAAGCGGTTTATATATATATACTAAATCACATCAGAAATCTACCCATTCCAGAACCAGAATATATCCAGAAGTCAGCAATTTATATGAGGAGGCATCTGGAAATCATTTCAAATAAAGGATAGCTAGATGAATTGCTAAACTTACGGAAGAATAAAGTAGGCAGACACATAAGGAGAGCTGCTTTCATTCACTTTAGGAACTGCTTATACGGGGGAAAGCTGCTCTGGTGATTTGCAGGTAATACTCTCCTTTACTTCTATTCTTATTTAAGCATAATTAACAGCAAAGCATTTCTGTTTCTCTTCTATAAATTTACTACTGCTGGTAAAGCCAGAGGCAGATTCTATGCAGCTACATGCTAATTCTAAAGTCACGTGAATATTACCTTTCTTTGATTATATAGTCTATCATTATGTGGAGCTGCCATTGCTTAAGCACATAAAACCCTGAGGGCAAAAAAGGCACTGTTGCTGCCATGGGAGTTTATACTCGGGTTAACAAGAAAGTAACAACAACAACAACAAACATTAATATAGAGAGTCACTTAAAAATATTTATAGGCATATATGACATGGAAAAAAAATCAAGAATGAACAGGAAGTCTATGTTTGGCTAATTCCCTTAACGTCAAGGACAACATAATCCCTTTGCTCCCCAACAGGCCCCTAAGGTGGCATCTTTAAAAAAAAAAAAAAAAAAGGAAACCAAAACTATTAAACTATTCCTACATATTTTCAAACACACATGAGAAACACAGTATTGAAGTACTTATTCCGCTGTCTCCTTTTTTATTATAATAAAAGTAACAGAAAGGAAAACTTAAGTACTTTATGTTTCTTGTCCATGACATTCTTGTTACTTTAAATTTGAATCTTCACCTTTCTCCAAATTTTTGGGAGTTGGCAATGTGGAAACCTCAAAAATACTAGCTCTTTCAGTTTATTACCATAGATATAGTTATGGGTCATAGATATACTTGTATCTATGAGAAGAGATCCTGAGAATGACTACCGTCAAACAGCCAGCTAAAATGAAAATATAATTGGAATTCTGTGCTCTGAAAAGTGGATCATAATTTTATTTCACTCTATCTCCCTAAAAAAATTCATGAAAGTCAGTTTGGATGTTTCATTCAGCTATTTGACAGCAAAGATGAAAACTATATCCACAAATGAAGAAGGGGACACCAAATCTCAGAAATCTCTTCTACACAAATGTTATTGCCAAGGATATTCCTGTAAAAATATTACTTCATTACTTCTAAATAAGACAGAGGTCTTCATTCTACACTAAGTCTTTCCTTAAATTTTAGGGACACTTCACTAGTTAAAAATGACCAACTATTCAGGAAATTTCTATAAACAAGTTAAAGGCCTCAATAATACCTGAAAGCAAACCATTTTACTACCTCTTACATTACCTGATAATTGTATACAGGCAACTGATATCCAGTGGTGACCTGAACTGGTGAATTTGGATAAGCAGGAAATGCCTGAAAAGGTTGCAGAAAAAATGAATATGGTAAACCACATTTTAAAATTAGAAAGAAATATAATTCCCAATATAAGAAAAATATTACAAAACGGAAAATATCCTTTTTCTACATACAACAATGCAGAATTCCAAATGAATGACTTTATGAGGAAAGAAAGATTCTATGTCAAGTGCTACACTTTGGGTGTGAAGGGGGAACAAATGACAAAGAACTGACTACTTCACCAAAATTTACCTTATACTGTGTACTTATTCACACCCAGAAATTATGTCTTACACTGGTGATAAGGTTCCACTAAGACAGATTGCAATGTAAGGTAAATCAATACATTTGCAATTTCGCTGTAAGAATATTTCCAGACTGTTTTGTATCAGACAATATTGTAGGGTAATATGTAGTTCTATAGATGTTATGGCTTTGTCTGTATTTCATTCCAAAAAACTAATTGCAGTCTATATTCCAATACTGGAGAATAAAAAGTATAATGTCTGACATGTTTCAACAAATTCTTATTGTTTGAAAACATACAGGTAGCAGCATACATGAATACACCCAGAATCACTAATGCCTCACAGTAAACGAGAGAAACAAGTAGGGCTTTTTTTCTAGCCATGGTTCAGAGAAGGAAAAAGAAGAGGTATACCATACATGTTTCAAGTACATGGAAAATATCAACAAATTAGAGACACAGCAGAACGATTTCACTATTATTTCATTACTTCATTTTCTGTCAAAGAAAATGTCTTTTAAGCTAACACATCAATGAAATGAACTAAGAAGAAAATAAACGATATTTATCAACAGTAAGTGACACACTATGTCAAACCCTACTTTAAATATCAATGTAACCACGATCAGAGAAATTACATGCCAGAAACTCACCGGGTTTATATATATATACTAAACCACGTCAGAAATCTGCCCATTCCAGAACCAGAATATATCCAGAAGTCAGCCATTTATATGAGGAGGCATGTGGCAATCATTTCAAATAAAGGATAGCTAGATAAACTGCTAAACTTACCGAAGAATAAAGTAGGCAGACACATAAGGAGAGCTGCTTTCATTCACTTTAGGAACTGCTTATAAGGGGGAAAGCAGCTCCGGTGAGTTGGAGGTAATACTCTCCTTTACTCCTATTCTTATTTAGGCGTCATTAACAGCAAAGCATTTCTGTTTCTCTTCTATAAATTTTCTACTGCTGGTAAAGCCAGAGGCATATTCTGTGCAGACACATGCTAATTCTAAAGTCACGTGAATACTCCCTTTCTTTGATTATATAGTCTATCATTATGTAGACCTGCCATTGCTTAAGCACATAAAAACCTGAGGACAAAAAAGGCACTGTTGCTGCCATGGGAGTTTATAATCGGGTTAACAAGAAGGAAACAACAACAAAAAAAACATTAACATAAAAAGTCACTTAAAAATATTTGTAGGCATATATGACATGGAAAAAAATCAAGAATGAACAGGAAGTCTATGTTTGGCTAATTCCCTTAATGTCAAGGACAACATAATCCCTTTGCTACCCAACAGGCCCCTAAGGTGGAATCTTAAAAAATCAATTAATAAATAAAAGGAAACCAAAACTATTGAAGTATTACTACACATTTTCAAAAACACATGAGAAACACAATATTAAAGTACTTATCCTGCTGTCTCCTTTTTTATTGTAATAAAAGTAACAGAAAGGAAAACTCAAATACTTTATGTTTCTAGTCCATGACATTCTTGTTACTTTTACATTGGAAACTTCAGCTTTCTCCACATTTTCGGGATTTCGCAATGTGGAAACCTCAAAGATACTAGCTCTTTCAGTTTATTACCGTAGATATAATTATGGGTCACAGATACACTTGTATCTATGAAAAGAGATCCAGAGCATTACTATCGTCAAACAGCCAGCTAAAATGAAAATGTAATTGGGATTCTGTGCTCTGAAAAGTGCAGCATAATTTTATTTCAGTCTATCTCCCTAAGAAAATTCATGAAAGACACTTTGGACGTTTCATTTAGCTATTTGACAGTAAAGATGAAAACTACATCCAGAAATGAAGAAGAGAACACCAAATCTCAGAAATCTGTTCTACAGAAAAGTTATTGCCAAGTATATTCCTGTCAAAATACTACCTCATTATTCTAAATAACACAGAGGTCTTCATTCTACACTAAGTGTTTCCTTAAATTTTAGGTACAATTCACTAGTTTAAAATGAGCAACTATTCAGGAAATTTGTATGAACAAGTTAAAGGCCTCAATAATACCTAAAAGCAAATCATTTTACTCCCTCTGACATTACCTGATAATTGTATACAGGGAACTGATATCCAGTGGCGACTTGAAATGGTGAATTTGGATAAGCAGGAAATGCCTGAAAAGAAAGGTTCCAGAAAAAAATGAATACGGTAAACCATTTTTTTAAAATTAGAAAGAAATATAATTCTGAATATAACAAAAATAGGTAAAATATTGTTTTTCTACATACAATAATGCAGAATTCTAAATGAATGACTGACTTTATGAAGAAAGAAAGATTCTATGACAAGTGCTACACTTTGGGAGTGAAGGGGGAACTAATGACAAAAGAATTGACTATTTCACCAAAGTTTACCTTATACTGTGTACTTATTCACACCCAGAAGTTATTTCTTACACTGGTGGTAAGGCTCCATTAAGAGAGATTGCAAGGTAAGTTAAATTAATACATTTGCTATTTCCCTGTCAGAATATTTCTAGACTGTTTTGTATCAGACAATATTATAGGACAATATATAGTTTGACAGATGTTATGGCTTTGTCTGTACTTCATTACGAAAAACTAAGTGCAGTCTATAATCCAATACTGGACAAGAGAAAGTATAATGTCTTATATATTTCAAAAAATTTTTATTATCTGAAAACATACAGGTAGCAGCATACATGAATACACCCAGATTCAGTAATCGCTCACAGTAAATGACAGAAACAAGTAAGGCTTTTTTTCTAGCCATTGTTCAGAGAAGGAAAAAGAAGAGGTATACCATACATGTTTCAAGTACATGGAAAATATCACGAAATTAGAGACAACCGCAGAACTATTTCACTATTATTTTGTTACTTCATTTTCCATCAAAGAAAATGTCTTTTAAGCTAACACATAAATAAAACGAACTAAGAAGAATATAAAGGTTAGTTATCAACATTAAGTGATGGAGTATGTCAAACCCTACTTTAAATATCAGTGTAACCAGAATCAGAGAAATTAGACGCCAGAAGCTCACGGGGTTTATATATATACTAAACCACATCAGAAATCTACCCATTCCAGAAGAAGAATATTTCCAGAAGTCAGCAATTTATATGAGGAGGCATCCGGAAATCATTTCAAATAAAGAATAGCTAGATGAACTGCTAAACTTACCAAAGAATAAAGTAGGCAGACACATAAGGGGAGCTGCTTTCATTCACTTTAGGAACTGGTTATAAGGGGGAAAGCAGCTCCGGTGATTTGGCGGTAATACTCTCGTTTACTCCTATTCTCATTTAAGCGTCATTAACAGCAAAGCATTTCTGTTTCTCTTCTATAAATATTCTATTGCTGGTAAAGCCAGAGGCAGATTCTATGCAGATACATGCTAATTGTAAAGTCACATGAACACTACCTTTCTTTGATTATATAGTCTGTCATTATATGGACCTGCCATTGCTTAACCACATAAAAACCTGAGGGCTAAAAAGGCACTCTTGCTCCCATGGGAGTTTATAATCGGGTTAACAAGAAAGTAACAACAACAAAAAAATTAATATAAAGAATCACTTAAAAATATTTATAGGCATATATGACATGGAAAAAAATCAAGAATGAACAGGAAATCTATGTTTGGCTAATTCACTTAACGTCAAGGACAACATAATCCTTTGCTCCCCAACAGGACCTTATGGTGGCATCTTAAAAAAAAAAAAGAAAGAAAAAGAAAGAAAAAAAAAGGACACCGAAAGTATTATATGTATTCCTACACATTTTCAAAAACACATGAGAAATACAACATTGAAGTACTTATCCAGCTGTCTCCTTTTTCATTATAATAAAAGTAACAGAAAGGAAAACTTAAGTACTTTATGTTTCTAGTCCATGACATTCTTGTTACTTTTATATTGGAAACTTCACCTTTCTCCAAATTTTCGGGAGTTGGCAACGTGGAAACCTCAAAGATACTACCTCTTTCAGTTTCTTACCATAGATGTAATTATGGGTCATAGATATACTTGTATCTATGAAAAGAGATCCAGAGCATTACTATCTTCAAACAGCCAGCTAAAATGAAAATGTAATTGGGATTCTGTGCTCTGAAAAGTGCAGCATAAATTTATTTCACTCTATCTCCCTAAGAAAATTCATGAAAGTCAGTTTGGATGTTTCATTCAGCTATTTCACAGTAAAGATGAAAACTGCATCCAGAAATAAAGAAGAGAACACCACATCTCAGAAATCTCTTCTACAGAAAAGTTATTGCCAAGTATATTCCTCTCAAAATACTACTTCATTACTTCTAAATAAGACAGAGGTCTTCATTCTACACTACTTCTACGTGTTTCCTTAAATTTTAGGTACACTTCACTAATTTAAAATGACCAGCTATTCAGGAAATTTGTATAAACAAGTTGAATGCCTCAATAATACCTGAAAGTAAATCATTTTACTCCTTCTTACATTACCTGATAATTATATACAGGCAACTGATATCCAGCAGTGACCTGAAATGGTGAACTTGGATAAGCAGGAAATGGCTGAAAAGAAAGGTTGCAGAAAAAAATGAATATGGTAAACCACTTTTTAAAATTACAAAGAAATATAATTCCCAATATAACAAAAATATTACAAAAGGTAAAATATCCTTTTTCTACGTACAACAATGCAGAATTCCAAATGAATGACTGACTTTATGAAGAAAGAAAGATTCTAGGTCAAGTGCTACACTATGGGTGTGAAGGGGGAACAAATGACAAAATTGACTACTTCACCAAAGTTTACCTTATACTGTGTACTTATTCACACCCAGACGTTATTTCTTACACTGGTGGTAAGGCTCCATTAAGAGAGATTGCAAGGTAAGTTAAATTAATACATTTGCAATTTCTCTGTAAGAATATTTCTAGACTGTTTTGTATCAGACAATATTATAGGGTAATATGTAGTTCGACAGATGTTATGGCTTTGTCTGTACTTCATTACGAAAAACTAAGTGCAGTCTATGATCCAATACTGGAGAAGAGAAAGTATAATGTCTTACATGTTTCAATAAATTCTTATTGTTTGAAAACATACAGGTAGCAGCATACATGAATACACCCAGAATCAGTGATGCCTCACAGTAAATGACAGAAAAAAGTAGGACTTTTTTTCTAGCCATTGTTCAGAGAAGGAAAAAGAAGAGGTATACCATACAAGTTTCAAGTACATGGAAAATATCAACAAATTAGAGACACTGCATAACTATTTCACTATTATTTTGTTACTTCATTTTCCGTCAAAGAAAATGTCTTTAAAGCTAACACGTCAATAAAATGAACTAAGAAGAATATAAACGTTATTTATCAACAGTAGGTGACAGAGTATGTCAAACCCTACTTTAAATATCAATGTAACCAGGATCAGAGAAATTAGATGCCAGAAGCTCACGGGGTTTACATATATATACTAAACCACATCAGAAATCTACCCATTCCAGAACCAGGAAATATCCAGAAGTCAGCAATTTATATGAGGAGGCATCTGGAAATCATTTCAAATAAAGGATAGCTAGATGAACTGCTAAACTTACCGAAGAATAAAGTAGGCAGACACATAAGGAGAGCTGCTTTCATTCACTTTAGGAACTGCTTATAAGGGGGAAAGCAGCTCCGGTGATTTGGAGGTAATACTCTCCTTTACTCCTCTTCTTATTTAGGCGTCATTAACAGCAAAGCATTTCTGTTTCTCTTCTATAAATTTTCTACTGCTGGTAAAGCCAGAGGCATATTCTATGCAGACACATGCTAATTCTAAAGTCACGTGAATACTCCCTTTCTTTGATTATATAGTCTATCATTATGTAGACCTGCCATTGCTTAAGCACATAAAAACCTGAGGACAAAAAAGGCACTGTTGCTGCCATGGGAGTTTATAATCGGGTTAACAAGAAGGAAACAACAACAAAAAAAAATTAACATAAAAAGTCACTTAAAAATATTTGTAGGCATATATGACATGGAAAAAAATCAAGAATGAACAGGAAGTCTATGTTTGGCTAATTCCCTTAACGTCAAGGACAACATAATCCCTTTGCTACCCAACAGGCCCCTAAGGTGGAATCTTAAAAAATCAATCAATAAATAAAAGGAAACCAAAACTATTGAAGTATTGCTACACATTTTCAAAAACACATGAGAAACACAATATTAAAGTACTTATCCTGCTGTCTCCTTTTTTATTGTAATAAAAGTAACAGAAAGGAAAACTCAAATACTTTATGTTTCTAGTCCATGACATTCTTGTTACTTTTACATTGGAAACTTCAGCTCTCTCCACATTTTCGGGATTTCGCAATGTGGAAACCTCAAAGATACTAGCTCTTTCAGTTTATTACCATAGATATAATTATGGGTCACAGATACACTTGTATCTATGAAAAGAGATCCAGAGCATTACTATCTTCAAACAGCCAGCTAAAATGAAAATGTAATTGGGATTCTGTGCTCTGAAAAGTGCAGCATAATTTTATTTCAGTCTATCTCCCTAAGAAAATTCATGAAAGACACTTTGGACGTTTCATTTAGCTATTTGACAGTAAAGATGAAAACTACATCCAGAAATGAAGAAGAGAACACCAAATCTCAGAAATCTGTTCTACAGAAAAGTTATTGCCAAGTATATTCCTGTCAAAATACTACCTCATTATTCTAAATAACACAGAGGTCTTCATTCTACACTAAGTGTTTCCTTAAATTTTAGGTACAATTCACTAGTTTAAAATGAGCAACTATTCAGGAAATTTGTATGAACAAGTTAAAGGCCTCAATAATACCTAAAAGCAAATCATTTTACTCCCTCTGACATTACCTGATAATTGTATACAGGGAACTGATATCCAGTGGCGACTTGAAATGGTGAATTTGGATAAGCAGGAAATGCCTGAAAAGAAAGGTTCCAGAAAAAAATGAATACGGTAAACCATTTTTTTAAAATTAGAAAGAAATATAATTCTGAATATAACAAAAATAGGTAAAATATTGTTTTTCTACATACAATAATGCAGAATTCTAAATGAATGACTGACTTTATGAAGAAAGAAAGATTCTATGACAAGTGCTACACTTTGGGAGTGAAGGGGGAACTAATGACAAAAGAATTGACTATTTCACCAAAGTTTACCTTATACTGTGTACTTATTCACACCCAGAAGTTATTTCTTACACTGGTGGTAAGGCTCCATTAAGAGAGATTGCAAGGTAAGTTAAATTAATACATTTGCTATTTCCCTGTCAGAATATTTCTAGACTGTTTTGTATCAGACAATATTATAGGACAATATATAGTTTGACAGATGTTATGGCTTTGTCTGTACTTCATTACGAAAAACTAAGTGCAGTCTATAATCCAATACTGGACAAGAGAAAGTATAATGTCTTATATGTTTCAAAAAATTTTTATTATCTGAAAACATACAGGTAGCAGCATACATGAATACACCCAGATTCAGTAATCGCTCACAGTAAATGACAGAAACAAGTAAGGCTTTTTTTCTAGCCATTGTTCAGAGAAGGAAAAAGAAGAGGTATACCATACATGTTTCAAGTACATGGAAAATATCACGAAATTAGAGACAACCGCAGAACTATTTCACTATTATTTTGTTACTTCATTTTCCATCAAAGAAAATGTCTTTTAAGCTAACACATAAATAAAACGAACTAAGAAGAATATAAAGGTTAGTTATCAACATTAAGTGATGGAGTATGTCAAACCCTACTTTAAATATCAGTGTAACCAGAATCAGAGAAATTAGACGCCAGAAGCTCACGGGGTTTATATATATACTAAACCACATCAGAAATCTACCCATTCCAGAAGAAGAATATTTCCAGAAGTCAGCAATTTATATGAGGAGGCATCCGGAAATCATTTCAAATAAAGAATAGCTAGATGAACTGCTAAACTTACCAAAGAATAAAGTAGGCAGACACATAAGGGGAGCTGCTTTCATTCACTTTAGGAACTGGTTATAAGGGGGAAAGCAGCTCCGGTGATTTGGCGGTAATACTCTCGTTTACTCCTATTCTCATTTAAGCGTCATTAACAGCAAAGCATTTCTGTTTCTCTTCTATAAATATTCTATTGCTGGTAAAGCCAGAGGCAGATTCTATGCAGATACATGCTAATTGTAAAGTCACATGAACACTACCTTTCTTTGATTATATAGTCTGTCATTATATGGACCTGCCATTGCTTAACCACATAAAAACCTGAGGGCAAAAAAGGCACTCTTGCTCCCATGGGAGTTTATAATCGGGTTAACAAGAAAGTAACAACAACAAAAAAATTAATATAAAGAATCACTTAAAAATATTTATAGGCATATATGACATGGAAAAAAATCAAGAATGAACAGAAAATCTATGTTTGGCTAATTCACTTAACGTCAAGGACAACATAATCCTTTGCTCCCCAACAGGACCTTATGGTGGCATCTTAAAAAAAAAAAAGAAAGAAAAAGAAAGAAAAAAAAAGGACACCGAAAGTATTATATGTATTCCTACACATTTTCAAAAACACATGAGAAATACAACATTGAAGTACTTATCCAGCTGTCTCCTTTTTCATTATAATAAAAGTAACAGAAAGGAAAACTTAAGTACTTTATGTTTCTAGTCCATGACATTCTTGTTACTTTTATATTGGAAACTTCACCTTTCTCCAAATTTTCGGGAGTTGGCAAGGTGGAAACCTCAAAGATACTACCTCTTTCAGTTTCTTACCATAGATGTAATTATGGGTCATAGATATACTTGTATCTATGAAAAGAGATCCAGAGCATTACTATCTTCAAACAGCCAGCTAAAATGAAAATGTAATTGGGATTCTGTGCTCTGAAAAGTGCAGCATAAATTTATTTCACTCTATCTCCCTAAGAAAATTCATGAAAGTCAGTTTGGATGTTTCATTCAGCTATTTCACAGTAAAGATGAAAACTGCATCCAGAAATAAAGAAGAGAACACCACATCTCAGAAATCTCTTCTACAGAAAAGTTATTGCCAAGTATATTCCTCTCAAAATACTACTTCATTACTTCTAAATAAGACAGAGGTCTTCATTCTACACTACTTCTACGTGTTTCCTTAAATTTTAGGTACACTTCACTAATTTAAAATGACCAACTATTCAGGAAATTTGTATAAACAAGTTGAATGCCTCAGTAATACCTGAAAGTAAATCATTTTACTCCTTCTTACATTACCTGATAATTATATACAGGCAACTGATATCCAGCAGTGACCTGAAATGGTGATCTTGGATAAGCAGGAAATGGCTGAAAAGAAAGGTTGCAGAAAAAAATGAATATGGTAAACCACTTTTTAAAATTACAAAGAAATATAATTCCCAATATAACAAAAATATTACAAAAGGTAAAATATCCTTTTTCTACGTACAACAATGCAGAATTCCAAATGAATGACTGACTTTATGAAGAAAGAAAGATTCTAGGTCAAGTGCTACACTATGGGTGTGAAGGGGGAACAAATGACAAAAGAATTGACTACTTCACCAAAGTTTACCTTATACTGTGTACTTATTCACACCCAGACGTTATTTCTTACACTGGTGGTAAGGCTCCATTAAGAGAGATTGCAAGGTAAGTTAAATTAATACATTTGCAATTTCTCTGTAAGAATATTTCTAGACTGTTTTGTATCAGACAATATTATAGGGTAATATGTAGTTCGACAGATGTTATGGCTTTGTCTGTACTTCATTACGAAAAACTAAGTGCAGTCTATGATCCAATACTGGAGAAGAGAAAGTATAATGTCTTACATGTTTCAATAAATTCTTATTGTTTGAAAACATACAGGTAGCAGCATACATGAATACACCCAGAATCAGTGATGCCTCACAGTAAATGACAGAAAAAAGTAGGACTTTTTTTCTAGCCATTGTTCAGAGAAGGAAAAAGAAGAGGTATACCATACAAGTTTCAAGTACATGGAAAATATCAACAAATTAGAGACACTGCATAACTATTTCACTATTATTTTGTTACTTCATTTTCCGTCAAAGAAAATGTCTTTAAAGCTAACACGTCAATAAAATGAACTAAGAAGAATATAAACGTTATTTATCAACAGTAGGTGACAGAGTATGTCAAACCCTACTTTAAATATCAATGTAACCAGGATCAGAGAAATTAGATGCCAGAAGCTCACGGGGTTTACATATATATACTAAACCACATCAGAAATCTACCCATTCCAGAACCAGGAAATATCCAGAAGTCAGCAATTTATATGAGGAGGCATCTGGAAATCATTTCAAATAAAGGATAGCTAGATGAACTGCTAAACTTACCGAAGAATAAAGTAGGCAGACACATAAGGAGAGCTGCTTTCATTCACTTTAGGAACTGCTTATAAGGGGGAAAGCAGCTCCGGTGATTTGGAGGTAATACTCTCGTTCACTCCTGTTCTTATTTAAGCGTCATTAACAGCAAAGCAATTCTGTTTCTCTTCTATAAATTTTCTATTGCTGGTAAAGCCAGAGGCAGATTATTGGCAGATACGTGATAATTCTAAAGTCAAGTGAATACTACTTTTCTGTGATTATATAGTCTATCATTATGTGGACCTGCCATTGCTTAGGCACATAAAAACCTGAGGGCAAAAAAGGCACTCTTGCTCCCATGGGAGTTCATAATCGGGTTAACAAGAAAGTAACAACGACAAAAAAATTAATATAAAGAATCACTTAAAAATATTTATAGGCATATATGACATGGAAAAAAATCAAGAATGAACAGGAAGTCTATGTTTGGCTAATTCACTTAACGTCAAGAACGGAATCCCTTTGCTCCCCAACAGGCCCCTATGGTGGCATCTTAAAAAAAAAAAAAAAAAAAAAAAAAAGGACACCAAAACTATTAAAGTATTCCTACACATTTTCAAAAACTCATGAGAAACACAATATTGAAGTCCTTATCCTGCTGTCTCCTTTTTTATTATAATAAAAGTAACAGAAAGGAAAACTTAAGTACATCATGTTTCTAGTCCATGACATTCTTCTTACTTTTATATTTGAAACTTCATCTTTCTCCAAATTTTCAGGAGTTGGCAATGTGGAAACCTCCAAGATACTACCTCTTTCAGTTTATTACCATAGATATAATTATGGGTCATAGATATACTTGTATCTATGAAAAGAGATCCAGAGAATTACTATCTTCAAACAGCCAGCTAAAATGAAAATGTAATTGGGATTCTGTGCTCTGAAAAGTGCAGCAGAAATTTATTTCACTCTATCTCCCTAAGAAAATTCATGAAAGTCAGTTTGGATGTTTCATTCAGCTATTTCACAGTAAAGATGAAAACTACATCCAGAAGTAAAGGAGAGAACACCACATCTCAGAAATCTCTTCTACAGAAATGTTATTGCCAGGTATATTCCTCTCAAAATACTACTTCATTACTTCTAAATAAGACAGATGTCTTCATTCTACACTAATTCTAAGTGTTTCCTTAAATTTTAGGTACACTTCACTAGTTTAAAATGACCAACTGTTCAGGAAATTTGTCTAAAAAAGTTAAAGGCCCCAATAATACCTGAAAGCAAATCATTTTACTCCCTCTTACATTACCTGATAATTATATACAGGCAACTGATATCCAGTGGTGACCTGAAATGCTGAATCGGGATAAGTAGGATATTCCTGAAAATAAATTATACAGAAAGAATGAATTAATACGTTAAAACATTATTTTTAATTAGGAAGAATTAGTCCCAATATAACAAAACTATGAAAAATTTCGAAATACTAATTATTTTTCTATCTGCAACAATGTAGAATTGTAAGTGACTGACTGATTTATGAAGAACGTATTATTCTCGGTCAAGTGCTATGGTTGGGCGTGGAGGGGGAACAGACAAATGTCAAAAGAACTGGCTATGACACCAGGCAAAGTTAACCTTACTTATATTGTGTACTTATGCCCACCCAGAAGTTATTTCTTGCACTGGTGATAAGGCTGCATTAAGACAGAGTTCAATGTAAGTTAAATTAATACATTTGCTATTTCCCTGTAAAAATGCTTCCAGACTGATGTGTATTTGACAATATTATAAGGTAATACGTAGTTCTGCAGAATTTACGGCGTTTTCTGTACTTCATGTTGAAAAACTAAGTGCAGTATAGAATCCAATACTGGAAAAGAGACAGTATAATGTCTCATATGTTTCAATAAATACTTATTGTTTCAACACATATAGGTAAGCAGCATGCATCAATACACCCAGATTCAGTAATGGCTCACAGTAAATGATAGAAGTAGGGCTTTTATTCCAGCCATTGTTCACAGAAGGAAAAAGAAGATGAGGTATACCGTACATGTTTCAAGTACAGGGAAAATGTCAACAAATGAGAAACACTGAATATAACTACTTCACTACTATTCTGTTACTTTATTTTCCATCAAAGAAAATGTCTTTTAAACTAAGATATAAATAAAATGAACTAAGAAGAAAATAAACGTTATTTACCACCAGTAAGTGACAGAATATGTCAAATCTACTTTAAATAGCAAACTAACAAGGATCAGAGACACTACATGCCAGAAACTTGCGGGATTTACAGATACCTAAAACATATCAGAAATCTACCCATTCCAGAACCAGAATATATCTGGAAGTCAGCAATTTAATATGCAGAGGCATCTGGAAATCATTTCAAATAAAGAATACCTGGATTAACTGCTAAACTTAGAGAAGAATAAAGCAGGCAGACACATGAGGAGAACTGCTTTTAAATATTTTAGTTATATGGGGGAAAGCAGCTCAGGTGTTATAGAGGTAATACTCTTTTTAATCCTATTCTTATTTAAGAGTAATTAACAGCAAAACATTTCTGTTTCTCTTTATGAAATTTTTTATGGTTGGTACATCCAGATGCAGATTCTCATCAGATACATGCTATTCTAAAGCCAAATTAATACTACCTTTCTTAGATAAAGCCACATTAGGACTACCTTTCTTAGATTAAATAATCTATCGACAAGTAACTGAACACTTGTCATAATTTGGAGAAGCCATTGCTTAAGCATACAAAAACCTGAGAGAGAAAAAGGCACTGTTTCTCCCATGGGAGATTATAATTGGGTTAAAAAGAAAGTAACAAAACGTTAACACATCAATATAAAGAATCATTAAAAATATTTATAGGCATATGTGCCACACAAAAAATCAAGAAAGAAGAGCAGGTATATGTTTCACTCATTCGCTTTACCGGAGGAACAACATAACTCCTTTGCGCCCCAACAGGCCAGTGCAGTGGAATCTTAAATTAAAAAAAAAAAAAAAAAAAAAAAAAGTAACCACAATTATTTAAATACTCCTACACGTTTTCAAAAACACATGAGTTACATAATATTGGAGTATTTATCATGATGGCTCCTTTGTTATAATAAAAGAAACAGAATAGAAAAAAGAAGTACTTTAGGTTTCTAATCCCCAAAGTTCTTGTTGTTACTTCTACACAGAAAACCTCACCTTTTTCCCAATTTTATGGAAACAGAATTGTGGAACCCTCAAAGATATTAATTCTTTGAATTTGTTACCACAGATACAATTATGGGTCACAGATAATAGTTGTACCATTGAAAAGAGACCCAGAGAACTGCTATCATGAAGCAGCAAGCTAAAATAAAAATACAACTGAAATTCTGTGCTCTAAGAATTCGGTAAAGCTTTTATTTCACTCTGTATCTCTACAAGATTCAGGAAAGTCAGTCTGGATGTTTCAGCTCTTTGACAGCAAAGATAACAAAATACATGCTGAAACAAAGAAGGGAACACCAAATCTCAGAAATTGTTCTACGGAAAAGTTATTGCTAAGTACCCTCCTGTCAAAATCTTATTTCATCACTTCTAAACAAAACAGAGGTCCTCATTACACTAATTCTAAGTGATTTCTTAAATTTTAGGTACAGTTCACTAGTTTAAAAGGACAACCTATTCAAGCAATTTGTATAAGCAAGTTGAGGCCTCAATAGTAGCTGAAAGTAAATCATCTTACTCCCTCTTCAATTACCTGATAATTATATACAAGCAACTGACATCCAGTGATGACCTGACCTGGTGAATGTGGATAAGCAGAGTAAGCCTGAAAATAAAGTTTACAGAAAGAATGGATTAATACGGTAAAACATTTTCTTTAACTAGAAAGAAATATCATTCCCAAAATAACAAAAATACGAAAAACCTTGAAATGGTAATTATTTTTCTACATACAGAAATACAGATTTCTAAATGAATGACTGACATGAAGAAACAAATATTCTCTGTCAAGTGCTACCCTTTGGGCGGGGAGGGGGAAGAGACAAATGACAAAACAAGTGACTGTTGCACCGGCCAAAGTCTACCATATTTATACTGTGTACTTATGCCCACCCAGAAGTTATTTCTTACGCTGCTGATAAGGCTCTATTAAGATAGATTTCAACGTAAGTTAAAATAATACATTTGCTCTTTCTTTGGCAAAATACTTCTAGACTGTTTGCTATCTGATGATATTATAGGGTAATACTGTAGTTCTTCGGCAGATGTTACGGCTTTCTCTGTACTTCTTTTCCACAAATTAAGGGCAGTAAGTAAGCCACAGCTGGAAAAGAGACAGTATAATGTCTTCTACTTTTCAATAAATACTTACTGATTAAAAACATACAGGTAGCATCATTCATCAATACACCCACATTCAGTAATGGCTCACAGTAAATGCTACAAACAAGTAGGGCTTTTCTTCTAGCCATTGCTCAGAGAAGGAAAAAGAAGAAGAGGTGTACCCCACACGTTTCAAGTACATGGAAAATGTCAACAAATGAGAGACATTGAAGAACTAATTCACTACTATTTGGTTACTTTATTTTCCATCGAAGAAAACCTCTTTTTAAAAACTAACACATAAATAAAATGAACGAAGAACAAACTAAACGTTATTTATCACCAGTAAGTGACAAGAGTATGTCAAATCCTACTTTAAATATCAAAGCAACCAGCATCAGAGAAATTACGTGCCAGAAACTCACGGGATTTCTAGATAGAGCAAAAGAGATCAGAAATCTACCCATCCCAGAACCAGAATATACCCAGAAGTCAAGCAATTTATATGAGGAGGCATCTGGAAATCACTGCAAGTAAAGAATAGCTAGGTTAACTGCTAACCTTAGAGAACAATAAACTAGGCAGACACATAAGGAGGGCTGCTTCCAAATACTTTAGGAACTAGTTATATGAGGTGAAAGAGGCAGAGATAGGAAGAGATTTGTTCATGTGTCTACAGAGGTCATTTCTAAGAGAAAGCTTCGCCAAGTATACAGAAGATTCTTAGCTCAAATGACGAACACGAAGAATAAGAAATTTCTAACAAAAGTAACAGATTTCCCGTTACTCACACTGTTCAAACAGGGATTCTATTGCCACTTACTATGGAAAGTGTAGATACAATTCCACAGAGGGAAGGATGACTAGAATAAACAAGAGAACAGGAACATAAGCAGTTCTTACCTGAACGTGCTGAGTTACAGGATTCGGCGTGATTTGGGGCTGCAGGTAGGTTTCAGTGTTTGGATTCCGCCAGACGTTCTGAAACTGTGGTGGAGGAGGAGGATTAACTACCAAAGGACGTGGCTGCACATGACGAGCACCTTTTTAAAAAGCAAGAAGAAAAAAGCCTATTTTTAGTTATTTGAAAAGCTACACGGGTCAGAAAAGAACCATTTCTTTTCCTACTCACATAACTTTTGTTTCCTGATTGCAGGGCCCAGCTTCAGCTTTTTACCATGGAAATGTATCTGTGACTGAAAATAGAACCGTTAACAAAACTAGAATCAATTTTCAAGTGTTAGCTTCCAAGACTTGGGTAAACACCTGAAGTCTTCTAAAGTACCTATCATCATAGAAGATCGGGGACAACTACGCACCAAATTAAAATTTGTCATCACGAAGCTACCTTACTTACCCTTACTACTCTAATCAGTGTCAAGAGGCATCAAGTGAAAGTTGATCAAAAACTTTCCATCACCCTGTCTCCAACCCTTCCTGTCTGTAGTTCATGAAACTAGGTGTCCAGTCAAAAATAAACAGGATCAAACAAGCTACGTGAGGTTACTCTGAGTTTGGATTTTGAACAGGAAGTGTGTCTTTCCCCAAATTTTACACAAGTCCGAGTGTATCACTGACACTAAACGTTGTAGCAATAAGATAAATAAGAGATTTTTCTATTAGATTACTTACTCCTACTATCTTCTGGACATCCACGTCATTAACAAACGAAACAAATCCATAGCTATAAAGGCAGACAAATGAAGCATAAAATCACCATCATACAGTACGTGGTTCAGAAGGTCTACTATTCTATATACAGAAGTGGTCATGACAAAAGACGAATAATATACCATGATAAGTATTTGCTAAGATGTACATGACAGATCCTCTACAAATACCACTTTTTCTTAAGCAGAACTATGTCAAAATGTGCTAGGATTAGGGCAGTGTGACAACTTTATTGATTAGCAAAGAATTCATATCTGTGAACCTGAGTTTAACTTACTGTCTAAGACAAGGTGGTTAAAATTTAAGATGCTCTGCAGTGTATGAAGAAAACAATTATTTGAGAAAACTGATTAACTCATCTGTATGAAATAGAAACTGGAGACATTTAAATACAAACATTAGAAAAATGGTCAAATAGAAGAACTGGTAATAGCCTTTTATCCCCTACGTGAAAGAAATTAACACTGCAGAATATTGCATTTATACAAGGGTCAGAATATCAGTTTTGAAGTCTTGTCTGATACTTATAGAATAGGTGACTGGAGTTCACATATTTTTGATAAAATTACTCACCCTTTGGACACACCAGTTCGATTCGTGATTATCTTCACTTCTTTCACTGAACCGTATCTACCAAAGCAGCTTCCAATCTCAGTTTCATCCATCTATGGAAAAGAACTGAACGTCAGAGTAAAAATTCAGCATTCAAAAATTTCAACTTTACTACAATTTTACTACCATGAGGTGGAAATTTCTCCCCCATTTATCCCCGAATGACCAGCAGCCCTTTGTCAAAGATATTTTTAGTACCTATGGGTCAAACCTAAAAGCAATTCTAAACCTCCAGGAAGTACAAAAAAAAATTTAAGTTTGTAACAGGGCCCACATCCCATTGTTCATGATGTATGTTAAGGTAAAAATGAGGTACGAATACAATACCCTAGCATCAATTCCACCAACAAAAACAGTGTTTGGCACGATTTTGCCTTCTGGTAACACCCAGCCTTGGCTAGCTGCAGCTGATGAAGACTGGGTGCTGGCCTCTCTGGAGATGGTTGAGTTTGGAGTCTCAGGATTTGCAGCAGACTGTAATTTGGAAAGTAGACATCATAATTACGTATGCAGGCAAAACCCATACATAATGTGAAATACCATTTTTGTATTTTAAGTATATTTTATATAAATTACTTTCATTGTAATTCAGTCACCAGTGCAGCTCAGTTCAGGCTCAGGATTTAAACTTATCAGAGTACATCAGCATGGAATTTTAACCGAAGGATACAGTACTTTCTTAAACCTAGTGCCGCTCATCACCGAGTCTTGTATAATGCTGTGGAAGAATACCCATTTAGTATTTGTGAAAGTACTACGTGAAGTAGTTAAAAAAGACACCCAAAACTAGAGAGTTTAGATTTGTAAAAATTAAAGTTATTAAAATCATCCTGTTCTATATTCATAAACAACTTTTCACTTTACTGAGTAGACTAAAGATAAATCTTAAAAAAAAAAAAAAAAAAAAAGCCCCACCAAAAAGAAAATAAGCCTCAACGTTTTAAACCAATTTGTTACAATCCTCTTCCCTAACGCTAGGGTGTTCAAAGCATCTTTTGAAATAACATTTTTCTTCCTGAGTAACACGGAATCAGTCTGACTGATAATTCTGATTTTCACAGTGGGCTGATAGATATAAATGATACCATCTTTATTTTCAGATAAAAAAACACATACATATAACTCACTAATTTTCTAGATTCTGATCAGAACTGTCTTTATTCTTTCCACAGCAGACTCTAAGGTTAATGTAAAATTTTCTGAAGTAGTATTCATAAGTAATATATACGTTGGAGAAACAATATAGCATAGTGAAACAAATAATTCAGTCAGGAGATCTAGGTTTATGTCCCTTACAGGTAAGTGGTTATAAGCCACCTACTTGCCAGCTATGTATCTGTGGGCAAAGTGCTTTGAGAATGACATGAGATCACATCTGTGAATTCATTTTGTACGTATAAAGTGGTACAAGTGGTGTGCCAATGTAAGTTAGTGTCCTGTTATTTGAATTTATTTTCAGCCGATTTGTTTTCAAGTTTCTTTTTTGGCTTCACTATTTAGCTGACTTATTTTGAAAAAATTTTAATTAAGAACTAATTGACACATCAGGAAACTATGACACATCATTAATTTAAAAATCATTGGTGAAGTGCTGTTGACTTCACAAATGTCAGTACAAAATGCTGCAAAAGAGAAAGCTATTACACATATACCTGTCTGAAAGAAAACAAAAGACAAAAGAAACTGCGTTATCTTTTTGAACACAGTAATGTTATAGAAGTTAATAAGAAAGGAGGGTTCCTGCTTTGTTAATTAGAGCCTAGAAGTTACTGATTCTACACAGCTTTACTAGAGATCAAATCTAAATTGTCAAATCAACTAAAGCCGAGGTTACTGCATTTCTCTATTCTTTCGTGCTTGTACTTGCTATTTTGGGTCTGTAACTAATTCCTAATTCTTTCCTTTAACAGCGTTATTTCATGACAATGATGTGAAAGAAAAATTTAAAACACTATTTTTAAAGTTCTTCCTTTCAAAAATGTCTCACATTATTGCTTTTTCCAAATGACATTAAGCTGCACTACCTTGAACTACTGGGAACCTGATTAGATCTCCCTTCCCTATAGACAATTTACCAATTCCTTCTCAGTTCATTCAGAAATCCCAAACAGAATAAAACAAAACAAAACAAATTCTGAAATTCTTGTAGTTTCTTTTTCTCCTTTCCAATTCCTCCTTGATTTGTGGATGAACTTTGGGTATGTGTTTCCTTGATAAACAAGCTATATTACAGTATCGTCTCTGCACCATAGTGTTTGGATGTATTTTAATTTAGAAATGTAACATCTGGCAGAAAACTGTGTCAGACTACGAGAGGTTATGGAAATGCACTGATTCTCAACTGGGCAAGATTTTTGAGCCCCAGGGGCATTTAGCGACGTTTAGAGATTGGCTGTCACAACTGAGATGTATTCCTGGAATCTGATGGGCCGAAGGCCAGGCACACTACTGCGCATCCTACAGTGTAAAGACAGCCTCCTACCATAAGGAAGTATTTGGTGCACAATTTGAAAAGGGTCTGGTTAAGAAACCTTGTCACCGTGCCACAAGAATTGAAGAGGAAAATTCTTCTTTGGGAAGAACCTGATTTCCATCGCTCACTAAAGTGAATCTTTTCATGACCTCGGTTTCAGTTTCCTTGCTTGAAAACGAATGGCCGGAAAAGACCTCGGGTGTCTCTTCTGATTCTCATACTCATTTGGATACTCGAAATAACCGTAGTTTGGTAAAGAAGAAAAAAGGCATTTGATATTATTAAGAAGTTTGACTTTAGCTTGGATCTTACAAACCGGCTGCCTGCTTAACTGGAATCGTACATATAAAATTCACTGAATCTCTCTAACAGCGTCATAATACTTTAAATGAAGGAAGTAATGATCATGTCCTAGTCCTCAGCCAGCAGGTGGCGCTCAAAGCTAACAAGGTAAGCAATGTACCTCGTTTTCTGCAACGTACTTCACTTTTACCATGGCTCGAGTAGCAGGGATTGTTCAATTCCGACTGTGTACTTATACATAATTATATAATGTATATATAAAAATCCACAATCAACAGACAATCTTTGGTTAGTTTTAAACTACGGCCAAAAATATAAATGAATGCTTCGGATAAGCAAAAGTTTAGTTTGAAAGAAAGTACCATCGTAACCGTCAATGGCATCCTGAAAACAAACTGCATTAAAGAAGTAATTTTCTTAACCGTATCTTCAAGTGAGTTGTTGAATTTTCAAATGAGAAATGTTGCAATAGTAAACAGGGGTGAGCTTCAACACCATCATACACGCAACTCTCACTGCTACATAGGGCAAATACATTCCTTGTTACATGTGGACAACCAAGTGACAACGACAGCTAAAAGCTGCAAAAAAATTATCGTTATTTAAACTCCTGGCATGTCAGCTCCTTTGCCAGTATTATCTAATTCAATTACTATGTCAACCTGTAAGCAAACTGATACTTATATAAACTGACCAGGAAAAAGCCTATCATTTGTAGTCAGCAAAGTTACATTCACAGCAATAGAAGAGGAGCAAATAAAGAGAGTGATAAAATTAAGAAAATATGACAGGAAAATCAGAATCAAAACCTTAAGCAAATCAAAGAGCAGATTCTCGGGGAGTGGTGCGTGGGGAGGATGAAATTCAAGCAATAAACAATCCTGGCAAAACAAAGCAAGAAAACACAAGAAAGCAAAAGTATACATGAGACCTGAAAAATGGGTTGCGGCCACAGATAATAGAAGAATGCTAAGCAGAAACTCTATTTTCAATGAGGAAGAAAGTATTTCTCAACGCGTTTTACAAAGCTAAAAGCATATAGGTAACAAAGCCTCATCCAGATGATCCATCCCTGCCCTCAACACAAATGCAAAATTCCAGCAGTATATAAAGAGTCTAAGTTTACATTGGGAATGCAAGAATACTCCATTCGCAGGATACATTACTTTAGTTCATCACTGAAAATCATTTGATAAAATACAGCACTCATAATTTAAATTTTTTAAAAACCCAAGTAAAATAGAGGTAGAGGAATCTTATTTTCTATCAATCTCATTCTACCCTATCATCAAGCTTACAAGTGAAATAGTTGAGTCAACTCAATTGAAAGTAGGAATGAGGTAAGGGCACCAGGGCACCTCCTTATTACTCCTGCATATGTTTTCCACTGTGTATGACAAAAGTGAATACTAATACAAAGTATTCTTATGAATCAGTAAGAAAAATAAAATTAAAAAGGTAATTTTAAAAGCTAAAGATCAATGATCAACTTCAATGATGATTTTTAAAAGTGCACATCAACATAATGTAATATTTTCCAGCTATTACGCTGACAATTTAAAAAATACTAATAACTTTCACTGGAATGGGTGTGGAAAAGACAGCACTCTACACACCATCAGTGAGAAAATACTAATACGTGATTTACCAAGAGTACTTTGGAAAAGCTGTATCATAATTTGATAAGCGGGGATACTCACCACTATACTAAAAAGGAGAATTCATTATAAAATTGTTATACAAGGGGCAAAGTGCTTTCACCTAGCAATTCCACTTATAGCAATTCATCTCAAGAAATTAATAGTACAAGCGTGCCAAGATATTTACACAAAGATATTCACAGCATTGTTCTTTTTGAGACTGAGTCTCTCTTTGCCGCCTAGGCTGGAGTGCAGTGGCACAATCTCAGCTCACAGCAATCTGCGCCCCAGGATCACGTGATGCTGCTGCCTCAGCCTCCCGAGTAGCTGGGATTACAAGTGTGCGCCACCACGCCTGGCTAAATTTTTTGTATTTTTAGTAGAGACAGGAAACAAAAATCATTCAAATATTCCTTCACATTTTCAAAAACACATGAGATAACACAACATTGAAGTACATACGCTGGTTCCTTTAATTTGTTATTACAATAAAAGAAACAGAATGGAAAAAAGAATTACTTCAAGTTTCTAATCCCTGACGTTCTTGTTGTTACTTTTATATGTAAAACCTCAACTTTTTCCCAATTTTCTGGGGTTGGTATTGTGGAAATCTCAAGGATATTAGTTCTTTGAATGTATTACCATAGATATGATCATGGGTCATATATACAGTCATATCTATGAAAAGAGACACAGAGGACTACTATTGTGAAGCAGCCAGCTAAAATAAAAATATAATTCAAATTCTGTGCTCTAAAAAGTGGGTAATAATTTTATTTCACTCTGTCTCTCTAAAAAACTGATAAAAGTCAGTCTGGATGTTTCGGCTATTTGACGGCAAAGATTTAAAAAAAAAAAAAAAAAAAAAAAACATGCTACAATATAGAAGGGGACACCAAATCTCAAAAACCTATTCTACAGTAAAGTTTTTGCTAAGTACATTCCTGTCAAAATATTACTCAATTACTTCTAAATAATACAGAGGCCTTCATTCTAGACTAATTTGAAGTGTTGTCTTAAATTTTAGGTACATTTCACTTCTTTAAAATGGCAAACTATTCAAGCAATTTGTATAAACAAAGGGCTCAATAATATCTGAAAGTAAATCATTTTACTCCCTCTTAAATTACCTGATAATTATATACAGGCAAATGATATCTAGTGATGCCGTGAACTGCTGAATTTGGGTGAGTAGTGTGTGCCTATAAATAAAGTTTACAGTAAGAATGAATGAATACGGTAAAACATTTTGTTAATTAGAAATACTATTCCCAATATAAAAAACTATGAAAAAGTTTTAAAACATTACTTTTCTATATACAGCACTGCAGAATTCTAAATGAGTGACTGATTTTATGAAGAAGAAATATTCTGTCAAGTGAGGCCCTTTGGCTGGGGAAGGGGAACAGACAAATGACAAAAGAAGGGACTATTTCACCAGACAAGTTTACCTTATTTATACTGTGTACTTACGCCCGCCCAGAAGTTATTTCTTACGCTGGTGATAAGGCTCTATTAAGACAGACTTCAATTGTAAGTTAAATTAATCCATTTGCTATTTCTTTGTTAAAATACTTCTAAAGGGTTTTCTATTTGACAATATTATAGGGTAATACGACGTTCTCCTACAAATGTTACGGCTTTTTCTGTACTTCATTTCAAAAAACTAAGGGCAGTATATGATCCACAGCTGGAAAAGAGACAGTATGGTGTCTTCTACGTTTCAATAAATACTTACTGATTGAAAACTATACGTAGCATCACACATGAATACACCCAGATTACGTAATGGCTCACCGTAAATGTGAGAAACAGGGCTTTTTTGCTAGCCATCGTTCAGAGGACAAAAAAGAAGCAGAGGTATACCCTACCTGTTTCAAGCACATGGAAAACGTCAACAAACGAGAGACACTGAAGAACTATTTCACCACTATTTTGTTACTTTATTTTCCATCAAAGAAAATGTCTTTTAAACTAAGACATCAATAAAACAAACTAAAAAGAAAATAAACATTACTTATCCCCAGTAAGTGACAGAGTATGTCAAATCCTACTTTAAATATCAAGGTAACCAGCATCAGAGAAATCACATGCCCGAAACTCACGGGATTTATAAATATAGGAAAACACATCAGAAATCTACCCATTCCAGAACCAGAATATATCCAGAAGTCAGCAATCTATATGAGGAGACATCTGGAAATCATTGCAAGTAAAGAACAGCTGGATGAATTGCTAACCTTCGGGAAGAATAAACTAGGCAGACACACGAAGACAGCTGCTTTCAAATATTTTCGGAACTAGTTATGTGGGGGGAAAGCAGTTCGGGTGTTTTAGAGGTAATACTCTTTTTTCTTCCTACTCTTATTTAAGAGTAATTAATAGCAAAACATTTCTGTTTCTCTTGAACACTTTTTTTTTTTTTTTTTTTTTTTTTTTTTTACGGAGGGTAAAGCCAGAGGCAGATTCCAGGCAGATACATGCTCATTCTAAAGCCACTATTAATACTACCTTTCATGGAGTGTATAGTCTATCAAAAAGTTACTGAATTCTTTCTTATCATCATGTGTACGAGCCATTCCTTAAGCACGCAAAAACCTGACAGAGAAAAAGGCACTGTTGCTCCCATAGGAGTTTAAAATTGGGTTAAAAAGAAAGTAACAAAATGTGCCACATTAATACAAAGAACGATTTAAAAAATTTATAGGCATATATGACACAGAAAAAAAAGAAAGAACAGGGAGTATAGGTTCGGCGCATTCACTTTATCTGAAGTACAGCATAACTCCTTTGCTCCCCAACAGGCCACTGCGGTGGCAACTTGAAAAAAAAAAAAAAAAAGGAAACCAATATTATTCAAATATTCCTGTACTTTTTCAAAAACACATGAGATACACAATACTGAAGTACTTCTCATGCTGGCTCCTTGGTTAATATAACGAAAGAAACAGAATAGAAAAAAAGAAGTACTTTAGGTTTCTAATCCCTGAAGTTCTTGTTGCTCCTTCTACATAGAAAACCTCACCTTTTTCCCAATTTTCTGCAAATGGCATTGTGGAACTCTCAAAGATACTAATTCTTTGAATTTGTTACCACAGATACGATTATCGGTCATAGATATACTCGTATCGTTGAAAAGAGACCCAGAGAAGTCTTTATCATGAAGCAGCAAGCTAAAATAAAAACACAATTGGAATTCTGCGCTCTAAGAATTGGGTAAAGCTTTTATTTCACTCTGTATCTCTACAAAATTCACGAAAGACAGTCTGCCATGTTTCAGCTCTTTGACAGCAAAGATAACAAAATTCATGCTGAAACCAAGACAGGAACACCAAATCTCAGAAACTGTTCTGCAGAAAAGTTACTGCTAAGTACCCTCCTGTCAAAATATTATTTCATCACTTCTACATACTACAGAGGTCTTCATTACACTAATTCTAAGTGTTTTCTTAAATTTTAGGTACAGTTCACTAGTTTAAAAGGACAAACTATTCAGGCAATTTGTATAAACAAGTTGAAGGCCTCAGTAGTAGCTGAAAGTAAATCATTTTACTCCCTCTTCAATCACCTGATAATTATACACAGGCAACTGATACCCAGTGATGACCTGACCTGGTGAGTTTGGATAAGGAGAATAAGCCGAGAATAAAGTTTACAGAAGGAATGGATTAATACGGTAAAATGTGTTTTTTTTTTTAACTAGAAAGAAATACCATTCCCAAAATAACAAAAATACGAAAAACCTTGAAATGGTAATTATTTTTCTACATACAGAAATACAGATTTCTAAATGAATGACTGACATGAAGAAACAAATATTCTCTGTCAAGTGCTACCCTTTGGGCGGGGAGGGGGAAGAGACAAATGACAAAACAAGTGACTGTTGCACCGGCCAAAGTCTACCATATTTATACTGTGTACTTATGCCCACCCAGAAGTTATTTCTTACGCTGCTGATAAGGCTCTATTAAGATAGATTTCAACGTAAGTTAAAATAATACATTTGCTCTTTCTTTGGCAAAATACTTCTAGACTGTTTGCTATCTGATGATATTATAGGGTAATACTGTAGTTCTTCGGCAGATGTTACGGCTTTCTCTGTACTTCTTTTCCACAAATTAAGGGCAGTAAATAAGCCACAGCTGGAAAAGAGACAGTATAATGTCTTCTACTTTTCAATAAATACTTACTGATTAAAAACATACAGGTAGCATCATTCATCAATACACCCACATTCAGTAATGGCTCACAGTAAATGCTACAAACAAGTAGGGCTTTTCTTCTAGCCATTGCTCAGAGAAGGAAAAAGAAGAAGAGGTGTACCCCACACGTTTCAAGTACATGGAAAATGTCAACAAATGAGAGACACTGAAGAACTAATTCACTACTATTTGGTTACTTTATTTTCCATCGAAGAAAACCTCTTTTTAAAAACTAACACATAAATAAAATGAACGAAGAACAAACTAAACGTTATTTATCACCAGTAAGTGACAAGAGTATGTCAAATCCTACTTTAAATATCAAAGCAACCAGCATCAGAGAAATTACGTGCCAGAAACTCACGGGATTTCTAGATAGAGCAAAAGAGATCAGAAATCTACCCATCCCAGAACCAGAATATACCCAGAAGTCAAGCAATTTATATGAGGAGGCATCTGGAAATCACTGCAAGTAAAGAATAGCTAGGTTAACTGCTAACCTTAGAGAACAATAAACTAGGCAGACACATAAGGAGGGCTGCTTCCAAATACTTTAGGAACTAGTTATATGAGGTGAAAGAGGCAGAGATAGGAAGAGATTTGTTCATGTGTCTACAGAGGTCATTTCTAAGAGAAAGCTTCGCCAAGTATACAGAAGATTCTTAGCTCAAATGACGAACACGAAGAATAAGAAATTTCTAACAAAAGTAACAGATTTCCCGTTACTCACACTGTTCAAACAGGGATTCTATTGCCACTTACTATGGAAAGTGTAGATACAATTCCACAGAGGGAAGGATGACTAGAATAAACAAGAGAACAGGAACATAAGCAGTTCTTACCTGAACGTGCTGAGTTACAGGATTCGGCGTGATTTGGGGCTGCAGGTAGGTTTCAGTGTTTGGATTCCGCCAGACGTTCTGAAACTGTGGTGGAGGAGGAGGATTAACTACCAAAGGACGTGGCTGCACATGACGAGCACCTTTTTAAAAAGCAAGAAGAAAAAAGCCTATTTTTAGTTATTTGAAAAGCTACACGGGTCAGAAAAGAACCATTTCTTTTCCTACTCACATAACTTTTGTTTCCTGATTGCAGGGCCCAGCTTCAGCTTTTTACCATGGAAATGTATCTGTGACTGAAAATAGAACCGTTAACAAAACTAGAATCAATTTTCAAGTGTTAGCTTCCAAGACTTGGGTAAACACCTGAAGTCTTCTAAAGTACCTATCATCATAGAAGATCGGGGACAACTACGCACCAAATTAAAATTTGTCATCACGAAGCTACCTTACTTACCCTTACTACTCTAATCAGTGTCAAGAGGCATCAAGTGAAAGTTGATCAAAAACTTTCCATCACCCTGTCTCCAACCCTTCCTGTCTGTAGTTCATGAAACTAGGTGTCCAGTCAAAAATAAACAGGATCAAACAAGCTACGTGAGGTTACTCTGAGTTTGGATTTTGAACAGGAAGTGTGTCTTTCCCCAAATTTTACACAAGTCCGAGTGTATCACTGACACTAAACGTTGTAGCAATAAGATAAATAAGAGATTTTTCTATTAGATTACTTACTCCTACTATCTTCTGGACATCCACGTCATTAACAAACGAAACAAATCCATAGCTATAAAGGCAGACAAATGAAGCATAAAATCACCATCATACAGTACGTGGTTCAGAAGGTCTACTATTCTATATACAGAAGTGGTCATGACAAAAGACGAATAATATACCATGATAAGTATTTGCTAAGATGTACATGACAGATCCTCTACAAATACCACTTTTTCTTAAGCAGAACTATGTCAAAATGTGCTAGGATTAGGGCAGTGTGACAACTTTATTGATTAGCAAAGAATTCATATCTGTGAACCTGAGTTTAACTTACTGTCTAAGACAAGGTGGTTAAAATTTAAGATGCTCTGCAGTGTATGAAGAAAACAATTATTTGAGAAAACTGATTAACTCATCTGTATGAAATAGAAACTGGAGACATTTAAATACAAACATTAGAAAAATGGTCAAATAGAAGAACTGGTAATAGCCTTTTATCCCCTACGTGAAAGAAATTAACACTGCAGAATATTGCATTTATACAAGGGTCAGAATATCAGTTTTGAAGTCTTGTCTGATACTTATAGAATAGGTGACTGGAGTTCACATATTTTTGATAAAATTACTCACCCTTTGGACACACCAGTTCGATTCGTGATTATCTTCACTTCTTTCACTGAACCGTATCTACCAAAGCAGCTTCCAATCTCAGTTTCATCCATCTATGGAAAAGAACTGAACGTCAGAGTAAAAATTCAGCATTCAAAAATTTCAACTTTACTACAATTTTACTACCATGAGGTGGAAATTTCTCCCCCATTTATCCCCGAATGACCAGCAGCCCTTTGTCAAAGATATTTTTAGTACCTATGGGTCAAACCTAAAAGCAATTCTAAACCTCCAGGAAGTACAAAAAAAAATTTAAGTTTGTAACAGGGCCCACATCCCATTGTTCATGATGTATGTTAAGGTAAAAATGAGGTACGAATACAATACCCTAGCATCAATTCCACCAACAAAAACAGTGTTTGGCACGATTTTGCCTTCTGGTAACACCCAGCCTTGGCTAGCTGCAGCTGATGAAGACTGGGTGCTGGCCTCTCTGGAGATGGTTGAGTTTGGAGTCTCAGGATTTGCAGCAGACTGTAATTTGGAAAGTAGACATCATAATTACGTATGCAGGCAAAACCCATACATAATGTGAAATACCATTTTTGTATTTTAAGTATATTTTATATAAATTACTTTCATTGTAATTCAGTCACCAGTGCAGCTCAGTTCAGGCTCAGGATTTAAACTTATCAGAGTACATCAGCATGGAATTTTAACCGAAGGATACAGTACTTTCTTAAACCTAGTGCCGCTCATCACCGAGTCTTGTATAATGCTGTGGAAGAATACCCATTTAGTATTTGTGAAAGTACTACGTGAAGTAGTTAAAAAAGACACCCAAAACTAGAGAGTTTAGATTTGTAAAAATTAAAGTTATTAAAATCATCCTGTTCTATATTCATAAACAACTTTTCACTTTACTGAGTAGACTAAAGATAAATCTTAAAAAAAAAAAAAAAAAAAAAAAGCCCCACCAAAAAGAAAATAAGCCTCAACGTTTTAAACCAATTTGTTACAATCCTCTTCCCTAACGCTAGGGTGTTCAAAGCATCTTTTGAAATAACATTTTTCTTCCTGAGTAACACGGAATCAGTCTGACTGATAATTCTGATTTTCACAGTGGGCTGATAGATATAAATGATACCATCTTTATTTTCAGATAAAAAAACACATACATATAACTCACTAATTTTCTAGATTCTGATCAGAACTGTCTTTATTCTTTCCACAGCAGACTCTAAGGTTAATGTAAAATTTTCTGAAGTAGTATTCATAAGTAATATATACGTTGGAGAAACAATATAGCATAGTGAAACAAAAATTAATTCAGTCAGGAGATCTAGGTTTATGTCCCTTACAGGTAAGTGGTTATAAGCCACCTACTTGCCAGCTATGTATCTGTGGGCAAAGTGCTTTGAGAATGACATGAGATCACATCTGTGAATTCATTTTGTACGTATAAAGTGGTACAAGTGGTGTGCCAATGTAAGTTAGTGTCCTGTTATTTGAATTTATTTTCAGCCGATTTGTTTTCAAGTTTCTTTTTTGGCTTCACTATTTAGCTGACTTATTTTGAAAAAATTTTAATTAAGAACTAATTGACACATCAGGAAACTATGACACATCATTAATTTAAAAATCATTGGTGAAGTGCTGTTGACTTCACAAATGTCAGTACAAAATGCTGCAAAAGAGAAAGCTATTACACATATACCTGTCTGAAAGAAAACAAAAGACAAAAGAAACTGCGTTATCTTTTTGAACACAGTAATGTTATAGAAGTTAATAAGAAAGGAGGGTTCCTGCTTTGTTAATTAGAGCCTAGAAGTTACTGATTCTACACAGCTTTACTAGAGATCAAATCTAAATTGTCAAATCAACTAAAGCCGAGGTTACTGCATTTCTCTATTCTTTCGTGCTTGTACTTGCTATTTTGGGTCTGTAACTAATTCCTAACTCTTTCCTTTAACAGCGTTATTTCATGACAATGATGTGAAAGAAAAATTTAAAACACTATTTTTAAAGTTCTTCCTTTCAAAAATGTCTCACATTATTGCTTTTTCCAAATGACATTAAGCTGCACTACCTTGAACTACTGGGAACCTGATTAGATCTCCCTTCCCTATAGACAATTTACCAATTCCTTCTCAGTTCATTCAGAAATCCCAAACAGAATAAAACAAAACAAAACAAATTCTGAAATTCTTGTAGTTTCTTTTTCTCCTTTCCAATTCCTCCTTGATTTGTGGATGAACTTTGGGTATGTGTTTCCTTGATAAACAAGCTATATTACAGTATCGTCTCTGCACCATAGTGTTTGGATGTATTTTAATTTAGAAATGTAACATCTGGCAGAAAACTGTGTCAGACTACGAGAGGTTATGGAAATGCACTGATTCTCAACTGGGCAAGATTTTTGAGCCCCAGGGGCATTTAGCGACGTTTAGAGATTGGCTGTCACAACTGAGATGTATTCCTGGAATCTGATGGGCCGAAGGCCAGGCACACTACTGCGCATCCTACAGTGTAAAGACAGCCTCCTACCATAAGGAAGTATTTGGTGCACAATTTGAAAAGGGTCTGGTTAAGAAACCTTGTCACCGTGCCACAAGAATTGAAGAGGAAAATTCTTCTTTGGGAAGAACCTGATTTCCATCGCTCACTAAAGTGAATCTTTTCATGACCTCGGTTTCAGTTTCCTTGCTTGAAAACGAATGGCCGGAAAAGACCTCGGGTGTCTCTTCTGATTCTCATACTCATTTGGATACTCGAAATAACCGTAGTTTGGTAAAGAAGAAAAAAGGCATTTGATATTATTAAGAAGTTTGACTTTAGCTTGGATCTTACAAACCGGCTGCCTGCTTAACTGGAATCGTACATATAAAATTCACTGAATCTCTCTAACAGCGTCATAATACTTTAAATGAAGGAAGTAATGATCATGTCCTAGTCCTCAGCCAGCAGGTGGCGCTCAAAGCTAACAAGGTAAGCAATGTACCTCGTTTTCTGCAACGTACTTCACTTTTACCATGGCTCGAGTAGCAGGGATTGTTCAATTCCGACTGTGTACTTATACATAATTATATAATGTATATATAAAAATCCACAATCAACAGACAATCTTTGGTTAGTTTTAAACTACGGCCAAAAATATAAATGAATGCTTCGGATAAGCAAAAGTTTAGTTTGAAAGAAAGTACCATCGTAACCGTCAATGGCATCCTGAAAACAAACTGCATTAAAGAAGTAATTTTCTTAACCGTATCTTCAAGTGAGTTGTTGAATTTTCAAATGAGAAATGTTGCAATAGTAAACAGGGGTGAGCTTCAACACCATCATACACGCAACTCTCACTGCTACATAGGGCAAATACATTCCTTGTTACATGTGGACAACCAAGTGACAACGACAGCTAAAAGCTGCAAAAAAATTATCGTTATTTAAACTCCTGGCATGTCAGCTCCTTTGCCAGTATTATCTAATTCAATTACTATGTCAACCTGTAAGCAAACTGATACTTATATAAACTGACCAGGAAAAAGCCTATCATTTGTAGTCAGCAAAGTTACATTCACAGCAATAGAAGAGGAGCAAATAAAGAGAGTGATAAAATTAAGAAAATATGACAGGAAAATCAGAATCAAAACCTTAAGCAAATCAAAGAGCAGATTCTCGGGGAGTGGTGCGTGGGGAGGATGAAATTCAAGCAATAAACAATCCTGGCAAAACAAAGCAAGAAAACACAAGAAAGCAAAAGTATACATGAGACCTGAAAAATGGGTTGCGGCCACAGATAATAGAAGAATGCTAAGCAGAAACTCTATTTTCAATGAGGAAGAAAGTATTTCTCAACGCGTTTTACAAAGCTAAAAGCATATAGGTAACAAAGCCTCATCCAGATGATCCATCCCTGCCCTCAACACAAATGCAAAATTCCAGCAGTATATAAAGAGTCTAAGTTTACATTGGGAATGCAAGAATACTCCATTCGCAGGATACATTACTTTAGTTCATCACTGAAAATCATTTGATAAAATACAGCACTCATAATTTAAATTTTTTAAAAACCCAAGTAAAATAGAGGTAGAGGAATCTTATTTTCTATCAATCTCATTCTACCCTATCATCAAGCTTACAAGTGAAATAGTTGAGTCAACTCAATTGAAAGTAGGAATGAGGTAAGGGCACCAGGGCACCTCCTTATTACTCCTGCATATGTTTTCCACTGTGTATGACAAAAGTGAATACTAATACAAAGTATTCTTATGAATCAGTAAGAAAAATAAAATTAAAAAGGTAATTTTAAAAGCTAAAGATCAATGATCAACTTCAATGATGATTTTTAAAAGTGCACATCAACATAATGTAATATTTTCCAGCTATTACGCTGACAATTTAAAAAATACTAATAACTTTCACTGGAATGGGTGTGGAAAAGACAGCACTCTACACACCATCAGTGAGAAAATACTAATACGTGATTTACCAAGAGTACTTTGGAAAAGCTGTATCATAATTTGATAAGCGGGGATACTCACCACTATACTAAAAAGGAGAATTCATTATAAAATTGTTATACAAGGGGCAAAGTGCTTTCACCTAGCAATTCCACTTATAGCAATTCATCTCAAGAAATTAATAGTACAAGCGTGCCAAGATATTTACACAAAGATATTCACAGCATTGTTCTTTTTGAGACTGAGTCTCTCTTTGCCGCCTAGGCTGGAGTGCAGTGGCACAATCTCAGCTCACAGCAATCTGCGCCCCAGGATCACGTGATGCTGCTGCCTCAGCCTCCCGAGTAGCTGGGATTACAAGTGTGCGCCACCACGCCTGGCTAAATTTTTTGTATTTTTAGTAGAGACAGGAAACAAAAATCATTCAAATATTCCTTCACATTTTCAAAAACACATGAGATAACACAACATTGAAGTACATACGCTGGTTCCTTTAATTTGTTATTACAATAAAAGAAACAGAATGGAAAAAAGAATTACTTCAAGTTTCTAATCCCTGACGTTCTTGTTGTTACTTTTATATGTAAAACCTCAACTTTTTCCCAATTTTCTGGGGTTGGTATTGTGGAAATCTCAAGGATATTAGTTCTTTGAATGTATTACCATAGATATGATCATGGGTCATATATACAGTCATATCTATGAAAAGAGACACAGAGGACTACTATTGTGAAGCAGCCAGCTAAAATAAAAATATAATTCAAATTCTGTGCTCTAAAAAGTGGGTAATAATTTTATTTCACTCTGTCTCTCTAAAAAACTGATAAAAGTCAGTCTGGATGTTTCGGCTATTTGACGGCAAAGATTTAAAAAAAAAAAAAAAAAAAAAAAACATGCTACAATATAGAAGGGGACACCAAATCTCAAAAACCTATTCTACAGTAAAGTTTTTGCTAAGTACATTCCTGTCAAAATATTACTCAATTACTTCTAAATAATACAGAGGCCTTCATTCTAGACTAATTTGAAGTGTTGTCTTAAATTTTAGGTACATTTCACTTCTTTAAAATGGCAAACTATTCAAGCAATTTGTATAAACAAAGGGCTCAATAATATCTGAAAGTAAATCATTTTACTCCCTCTTAAATTACCTGATAATTATATACAGGCAAATGATATCTAGTGATGCCGTGAACTGCTGAATTTGGGTGAGTAGTGTGTGCCTATAAATAAAGTTTACAGTAAGAATGAATGAATACGGTAAAACATTTTGTTAATTAGAAATACTATTCCCAATATAAAAAACTATGAAAAAGTTTTAAAACATTACTTTTCTATATACAGCACTGCAGAATTCTAAATGAGTGACTGATTTTATGAAGAAGAAATATTCTGTCAAGTGAGGCCCTTTGGCTGGGGAAGGGGAACAGACAAATGACAAAAGAAGGGACTATTTCACCAGACAAGTTTACCTTATTTATACTGTGTACTTACGCCCGCCCAGAAGTTATTTCTTACGCTGGTGATAAGGCTCTATTAAGACAGACTTCAATTGTAAGTTAAATTAATCCATTTGCTATTTCTTTGTTAAAATACTTCTAAAGGGTTTTCTATTTGACAATATTATAGGGTAATACGACGTTCTCCTACAAATGTTACGGCTTTTTCTGTACTTCATTTCAAAAAACTAAGGGCAGTATATGATCCACAGCTGGAAAAGAGACAGTATGGTGTCTTCTACGTTTCAATAAATACTTACTGATTGAAAACTATACGTAGCATCACACATGAATACACCCAGATTACGTAATGGCTCACCGTAAATGTGAGAAACAGGGCTTTTTTGCTAGCCATCGTTCAGAGGACAAAAAAGAAGCAGAGGTATACCCTACCTGTTTCAAGCACATGGAAAACGTCAACAAACGAGAGACACTGAAGAACTATTTCACCACTATTTTGTTACTTTATTTTCCATCAAAGAAAATGTCTTTTAAACTAAGACATCAATAAAACAAACTAAAAAGAAAATAAACATTACTTATCCCCAGTAAGTGACAGAGTATGTCAAATCCTACTTTAAATATCAAGGTAACCAGCATCAGAGAAATCACATGCCCGAAACTCACGGGATTTATAAATATAGGAAAACACATCAGAAATCTACCCATTCCAGAACCAGAATATATCCAGAAGTCAGCAATCTATATGAGGAGACATCTGGAAATCATTGCAAGTAAAGAACAGCTGGATGAATTGCTAACCTTCGGGAAGAATAAACTAGGCAGACACACGAAGACAGCTGCTTTCAAATATTTTCGGAACTAGTTATGTGGGGGGAAAGCAGTTCGGGTGTTTTAGAGGTAATACTCTTTTTTCTTCCTACTCTTATTTAAGAGTAATTAATAGCAAAACATTTCTGTTTCTCTTGAACACTTTTTTTTTTTTTTTTTTTTTTTTTTTTTTTTACGGAGGGTAAAGCCAGAGGCAGATTCCAGGCAGATACATGCTCATTCTAAAGCCACTATTAATACTACCTTTCATGGAGTGTATAGTCTATCAAAAAGCTACTGAATTCTTTCTTATCATCATGTGTACGAGCCATTCCTTAAGCACGCAAAAACCTGACAGAGAAAAAGGCACTGTTGCTCCCATAGGAGTTTAAAATTGGGTTAAAAAGAAAGTAACAAAATGTGCCACATTAATACAAAGAACGATTTAAAAAATTTATAGGCATATATGACACAGAAAAAAAAGAAAGAACAGGGAGTATAGGTTCGGCGCATTCACTTTATCTGAAGTACAGCATAACTCCTTTGCTCCCCAACAGGCCACTGCGGTGGCAACTTGAAAAAAAAAAAAAAAAAAGGAAACCAATATTATTCAAATATTCCTGTACTTTTTCAAAAACACATGAGATACACAATACTGAAGTACTTCTCATGCTGGCTCCTTGGTTAATATAACGAAAGAAACAGAATAGAAAAAAAGAAGTACTTTAGGTTTCTAATCCCTGAAGTTCTTGTTGCTCCTTCTACATAGAAAACCTCACCTTTTTCCCAATTTTCTGCAAATGGCATTGTGGAACTCTCAAAGATACTAATTCTTTGAATTTGTTACCACAGATACGATTATTGGTCATAGATATACTCGTATCGTTGAAAAGAGACCCAGAGAAGTCTTTATCATGAAGCAGCAAGCTAAAATAAAAACACAATTGGAATTCTGCGCTCTAAGAATTGGGTAAAGCTTTTATTTCACTCTGTATCTCTACAAAATTCACGAAAGACAGTCTGCCATGTTTCAGCTCTTTGACAGCAAAGATAACAAAATTCATGCTGAAACCAAGACAGGAACACCAAATCTCAGAAACTGTTCTGCAGAAAAGTTACTGCTAAGTACCCTCCTGTCAAAATATTATTTCATCACTTCTACATACTACAGAGGTCTTCATTACACTAATTCTAAGTGTTTTCTTAAATTTTAGGTACAGTTCACTAGTTTAAAAGGACAAACTATTCAGGCAATTTGTATAAACAAGTTGAAGGCCTCAGTAGTAGCTGAAAGTAAATCATTTTACTCCCTCTTCAATCACCTGATAATTATACACAGGCAACTGATACCCAGTGATGACCTGACCTGGTGAGTTTGGATAAGGAGAATAAGCCGAGAATAAAGTTTACAGAAGGAATGGATTAATACGGTAAAATGTGTTTTTTTTTTTAACTAGAAAGAAATACCATTCCCAAAATAACAAAAATACGAAAAACCTTGAAATGGTAATTATTTTTCTACATACAGAAATACAGATTTCTAAATGAATGACTGACATGAAGAAACAAATATTCTCTGTCAAGTGCTACCCTTTGGGCGGGGAGGGGGAAGAGACAAATGACAAAACAAGTGACTGTTGCACCGGCCAAAGTCTACCATATTTATACTGTGTACTTATGCCCACCCAGAAGTTATTTCTTACGCTGCTGATAAGGCTCTATTAAGATAGATTTCAACGTAAGTTAAAATAATACATTTGCTCTTTCTTTGGCAAAATACTTCTAGACTGTTTGCTATCTGATGATATTATAGGGTAATACTGTAGTTCTTCGGCAGATGTTACGGCTTTCTCTGTACTTCTTTTCCACAAATTAAGGGCAGTAAGTAAGCCACAGCTGGAAAAGAGACAGTATAATGTCTTCTACTTTTCAATAAATACTTACTGATTAAAAACATACAGGTAGCATCATTCATCAATACACCCACATTCAGTAATGGCTCACAGTAAATGCTACAAACAAGTAGGGCTTTTCTTCTAGCCATTGCTCAGAGAAGGAAAAAGAAGAAGAGGTGTACCCCACACGTTTCAAGTACACGGAAAATGTCAACAAATGAGAGACACTGAAGAACTAATTCACTACTATTTGGTTACTTTATTTTCCATCGAAGAAAACCTCTTTTTAAAAACTAACACATAAATAAAATGAACGAAGAACAAACTAAACGTTATTTATCACCAGTAAGTGACAAGAGTATGTCAAATCCTACTTTAAATATCAAAGCAACCAGCATCAGAGAAATTACGTGCCAGAAACTCACGGGATTTCTAGATAGAGCAAAAGAGATCAGAAATCTACCCATCCCAGAACCAGAATATACCCAGAAGTCAAGCAATTTATATGAGGAGGCATCTGGAAATCACTGCAAGTAAAGAATAGCTAGGTTAACTGCTAACCTTAGAGAACAATAAACTAGGCAGACACATAAGGAGGGCTGCTTCCAAATACTTTAGGAACTAGTTATATGAGGTGAAAGAGGCAGAGATAGGAAGAGATTTGTTCATGTGTCTACAGAGGTCATTTCTAAGAGAAAGCTTCGCCAAGTATACAGAAGATTCTTAGCTCAAATGACGAACACGAAGAATAAGAAATTTCTAACAAAAGTAACAGATTTCCCGTTACTCACACTGTTCAAACAGGGATTCTATTGCCACTTACTATGGAAAGTGTAGATACAATTCCACAGAGGGAAGGATGACTAGAATAAACAAGAGAACAGGAACATAAGCAGTTCTTACCTGAACGTGCTGAGTTACAGGATTCGGCGTGATTTGGGGCTGCAGGTAGGTTTCAGTGTTTGGATTCCGCCAGACGTTCTGAAACTGTGGTGGAGGAGGAGGATTAACTACCAAAGGACGTGGCTGCACATGACGAGCACCTTTTTAAAAAGCAAGAAGAAAAAAGCCTATTTTTAGTTATTTGAAAAGCTACACGGGTCAGAAAAGAACCATTTCTTTTCCTACTCACATAACTTTTGTTTCCTGATTGCAGGGCCCAGCTTCAGCTTTTTACCATGGAAATGTATCTGTGACTGAAAATAGAACCGTTAACAAAACTAGAATCAATTTTCAAGTGTTAGCTTCCAAGACTTGGGTAAACACCTGAAGTCTTCTAAAGTACCTATCATCATAGAAGATCGGGGACAACTACGCACCAAATTAAAATTTGTCATCACGAAGCTACCTTACTTACCCTTACTACTCTAATCAGTGTCAAGAGGCATCAAGTGAAAGTTGATCAAAAACTTTCCATCACCCTGTCTCCAACCCTTCCTGTCTGTAGTTCATGAAACTAGGTGTCCAGTCAAAAATAAACAGGATCAAACAAGCTACGTGAGGTTACTCTGAGTTTGGATTTTGAACAGGAAGTGTGTCTTTCCCCAAATTTTACACAAGTCCGAGTGTATCACTGACACTAAACGTTGTAGCAATAAGATAAATAAGAGATTTTTCTATTAGATTACTTACTCCTACTATCTTCTGGACATCCACGTCATTAACAAACGAAACAAATCCATAGCTATAAAGGCAGACAAATGAAGCATAAAATCACCATCATACAGTACGTGGTTCAGAAGGTCTACTATTCTATATACAGAAGTGGTCATGACAAAAGACGAATAATATACCATGATAAGTATTTGCTAAGATGTACATGACAGATCCTCTACAAATACCACTTTTTCTTAAGCAGAACTATGTCAAAATGTGCTAGGATTAGGGCAGTGTGACAACTTTATTGATTAGCAAAGAATTCATATCTGTGAACCTGAGTTTAACTTACTGTCTAAGACAAGGTGGTTAAAATTTAAGATGCTCTGCAGTGTATGAAGAAAACAATTATTTGAGAAAACTGATTAACTCATCTGTATGAAATAGAAACTGGAGACATTTAAATACAAACATTAGAAAAATGGTCAAATAGAAGAACTGGTAATAGCCTTTTATCCCCTACGTGAAAGAAATTAACACTGCAGAATATTGCATTTATACAAGGGTCAGAATATCAGTTTTGAAGTCTTGTCTGATACTTATAGAATAGGTGACTGGAGTTCACATATTTTTGATAAAATTACTCACCCTTTGGACACACCAGTTCGATTCGTGATTATCTTCACTTCTTTCACTGAACCGTATCTACCAAAGCAGCTTCCAATCTCAGTTTCATCCATCTATGGAAAAGAACTGAACGTCAGAGTAAAAATTCAGCATTCAAAAATTTCAACTTTACTACAATTTTACTACCATGAGGTGGAAATTTCTCCCCCATTTATCCCCGAATGACCAGCAGCCCTTTGTCAAAGATATTTTTAGTACCTATGGGTCAAACCTAAAAGCAATTCTAAACCTCCAGGAAGTACAAAAAAAAATTTAAGTTTGTAACAGGGCCCACATCCCATTGTTCATGATGTATGTTAAGGTAAAAATGAGGTACGAATACAATACCCTAGCATCAATTCCACCAACAAAAACAGTGTTTGGCACGATTTTGCCTTCTGGTAACACCCAGCCTTGGCTAGCTGCAGCTGATGAAGACTGGGTGCTGGCCTCTCTGGAGATGGTTGAGTTTGGAGTCTCAGGATTTGCAGCAGACTGTAATTTGGAAAGTAGACATCATAATTACGTATGCAGGCAAAACCCATACATAATGTGAAATACCATTTTTGTATTTTAAGTATATTTTATATAAATTACTTTCATTGTAATTCAGTCACCAGTGCAGCTCAGTTCAGGCTCAGGATTTAAACTTATCAGAGTACATCAGCATGGAATTTTAACCGAAGGATACAGTACTTTCTTAAACCTAGTGCCGCTCATCACCGAGTCTTGTATAATGCTGTGGAAGAATACCCATTTAGTATTTGTGAAAGTACTACGTGAAGTAGTTAAAAAAGACACCCAAAACTAGAGAGTTTAGATTTGTAAAAATTAAAGTTATTAAAATCATCCTGTTCTATATTCATAAACAACTTTTCACTTTACTGAGTAGACTAAAGATAAATCTTAAAAAAAAAAAAAAAAAAAAAAAGCCCCACCAAAAAGAAAATAAGCCTCAACGTTTTAAACCAATTTGTTACAATCCTCTTCCCTAACGCTAGGGTGTTCAAAGCATCTTTTGAAATAACATTTTTCTTCCTGAGTAACACGGAATCAGTCTGACTGATAATTCTGATTTTCACAGTGGGCTGATAGATATAAATGATACCATCTTTATTTTCAGATAAAAAAACACATACATATAACTCACTAATTTTCTAGATTCTGATCAGAACTGTCTTTATTCTTTCCACAGCAGACTCTAAGGTTAATGTAAAATTTTCTGAAGTAGTATTCATAAGTAATATATACGTTGGAGAAACAATATAGCATAGTGAAACAAAAATTAATTCAGTCAGGAGATCTAGGTTTATGTCCCTTACAGGTAAGTGGTTATAAGCCACCTACTTGCCAGCTATGTATCTGTGGGCAAAGTGCTTTGAGAATGACATGAGATCACATCTGTGAATTCATTTTGTACGTATAAAGTGGTACAAGTGGTGTGCCAATGTAAGTTAGTGTCCTGTTATTTGAATTTATTTTCAGCCGATTTGTTTTCAAGTTTCTTTTTTGGCTTCACTATTTAGCTGACTTATTTTGAAAAAATTTTAATTAAGAACTAATTGACACATCAGGAAACTATGACACATCATTAATTTAAAAATCATTGGTGAAGTGCTGTTGACTTCACAAATGTCAGTACAAAATGCTGCAAAAGAGAAAGCTATTACACATATACCTGTCTGAAAGAAAACAAAAGACAAAAGAAACTGCGTTATCTTTTTGAACACAGTAATGTTACAGAAGTTAATAAGAAAGGAGGGTTCCTGCTTTGTTAATTAGAGCCTAGAAGTTACTGATTCTACACAGCTTTACTAGAGATCAAATCTAAATTGTCAAATCAACTAAAGCCGAGGTTACTGCATTTCTCTATTCTTTCGTGCTTGTACTTGCTATTTTGGGTCTGTAACTAATTCCTAATTCTTTCCTTTAACAGCGTTATTTCATGACAATGATGTGAAAGAAAAATTTAAAACACTATTTTTAAAGTTCTTCCTTTCAAAAATGTCTCACATTATTGCTTTTTCCAAATGACATTAAGCTGCACTACCTTGAACTACTGGGAACCTGATTAGATCTCCCTTCCCTATAGACAATTTACCAATTCCTTCTCAGTTCATTCAGAAATCCCAAACAGAATAAAACAAAACAAAACAAATTCTGAAATTCTTGTAGTTTCTTTTTCTCCTTTCCAATTCCTCCTTGATTTGTGGATGAACTTTGGGTATGTGTTTCCTTGATAAACAAGCTATATTACAGTATCGTCTCTGCACCATAGTGTTTGGATGTATTTTAATTTAGAAATGTAACATCTGGCAGAAAACTGTGTCAGACTACGAGAGGTTACGGAAATGCACTGATTCTCAACTGGGCAAGATTTTTGAGCCCCAGGGGCATTTAGCGACGTTTAGAGATTGGCTGTCACAACTGAGATGTATTCCTGGAATCTGATGGGCCGAAGGCCAGGCACACTACTGCGCATCCTACAGTGTAAAGACAGCCTCCTACCATAAGGAAGTATTTGGTGCACAATTTGAAAAGGGTCTGGTTAAGAAACCTTGTCACCGTGCCACAAGAATTGAAGAGGAAAATTCTTCTTTGGGAAGAACCTGATTTCCATCGCTCACTAAAGTGAATCTTTTCATGACCTCGGTTTCAGTTTCCTTGCTTGAAAACGAATGGCCGGAAAAGACCTCGGGTGTCTCTTCTGATTCTCATACTCATTTGGATACTCGAAATAACCGTAGTTTGGTAAAGAAGAAAAAAGGCATTTGATATTATTAAGAAGTTTGACTTTAGCTTGGATCTTACAAACCGGCTGCCTGCTTAACTGGAATCGTACATATAAAATTCACTGAATCTCTCTAACAGCGTCATAATACTTTAAATGAAGGAAGTAATGATCATGTCCTAGTCCTCAGCCAGCAGGTGGCGCTCAAAGCTAACAAGGTAAGCAATGTACCTCGTTTTCTGCAACGTACTTCACTTTTACCATGGCTCGAGTAGCAGGGATTGTTCAATTCCGACTGTGTACTTATACATAATTATATAATGTATATATAAAAATCCACAATCAACAGACAAACTTTGGTTAGTTTTAAACTACGGCCAAAAATATAAATGAATGCTTCGGATAAGCAAAAGTTTAGTTTGAAAGAAAGTACCATCGTAACCGTCAATGGCATCCTGAAAACAAACTGCATTAAAGAAGTAATTTTCTTGGCCGGGCGCGGTGGCTCACGCCTGTAATCCCAGCACTTTGGGAGGCCGAGGCGGGTGGATCATGAGGTCAGGAGATCGAGACCATCCTGGCTAACAAGGTGAAACCCCGTCTCTACTAAAAATACAAAAAATTAGCCGGGCGCGGTGGCGGGCGCCTGTAGTCCCAGCTACTCGGGAGGCTGAGGCAGGAGAATGGCGTGAACCCGGGAAGCGGAGCTTGCAGTGAGCCGAGATTGCGCCACTGCAGTCCGCAGTCCGGCCTGGGCGACAGAGCGAGACTCCGTCTCAAAAAAATAAAATAAAATAAAACAAACAAACAAACAAAAAAACACAAAACACAAGAAGTAATTTTCTTAACCGTATCTTCAAGTGAGTTGTTGAATTTTCAAATGAGAAATGTTGCAATAGTAAACAGGGGTGAGCTTCAAGACCGTCATAATCACAACTCTCATTGCTATTTCTAGCAAACATATTCCTTGTTATATGCGGACAATCAAGTGACAAAGACAGCTAAAAGCTGGAAAAAATTATCATTAAACTCCTGCCATGTCAGCTCCTCTGCCAGTACTATCTAATGCAATTACTATGTGAACATGTAAGCAAATTGTTATTTACATAAACTGGCCAGGAAAAAGCCTATCATTTGTAGTCATCAAAGTTACATTCACAGCAATAGGAAGAGGAGCAAATAAAGAGAATGCTAAAATTAAGAAAATATGACGTGAAAATCAGAAGTTAATCCAAGAACAGAGTCCCGGGGAGTGGTGGGTGGCAAGGATGAAATTCAAGCAATACACAATCCTTGCAAAACTAAGCAAGAAAAAGCAAAAATATATGAGACCTGAAAAATGGGTTGTGGCCCGTGGTTATAAAAGAATGTTATGCTCAAACTCTATAGGAATAAATTTTGAAATCAACGACATGGTCAACTTGTACAGAAATTTTAATTCTTCCCAAACAATCTTGAAAAAGAACACCCAATGGTATTTGGCTTAGTTTCCCTGGGAGTTTTTTCAACTTGTAAAGAAACAGGTAACTTGGGTGTATGTGGTGTGTCACAGAGAGGTGCACACAGACGCCAGAAACCTGAAGTAAAGATAGAAGAAGAGATTAAGAAATGTAAACTCTTTTCTTCAATTTTCAAAGAGGAAAAAAGTACTTCTCAATGCATTTTACAAAGGTTAACAACACATAAGCAACAAAGCCTCATCAAGATGGTCCAACCCTCTCCTCAACACAAATGCAAAATTCCAGTAGGAAAGAATATAGTTTATATTGGCAATGCAAGAATACTGCATTCGCAGGATACGTTACTTTAATTCGTCATTGAAAAAGTATTTAATAAAATACAGCATTCATTTTTAAATTTTTTTAAAACCTAAGTAAAATAGAAATAGAGGATTCTTGCTTTCTATCAATCTAATTCTACCCTATCATGAAGCTTACAGTGAAATACTAGAGCCATCTCCACTGAAAATAGGAATGAGGTAAGGGCACCATGGCACCTCATCATTACTACTATATATATTTTCCCACTATGTATGACAAATGCGAATATTAATACAGGGTTTTTATGAGTCAGTAAGAAAAATAAAATTAAAAAAGGAAATTTAAAAAGCTAATGATCAATGCTCAACTTCACTGATGATTCAAAAAAGTGCACATCAACATAGTGTAACATTATCCAGCTATTAGGCTGACGATGTACAAAATCCTAATACCGTTCATTAGAAAGGGTGTGCAACAGAGATCACTCTACACACCATCAGTGGGAAAATACTGATACATGCTTTACCAAGAGCACCTTGGAAAAGGTGTATCATAATTTGACAGGGGGATACTCACCACTATACTAATGAGGAGCATAATTTAAAATTGTTATGAAAGGGCAAAAGCACTTCCACCCAGCAATGCCACTTACAGCAATTAATCTCAAGGAATTAATAATTAAGTACAAGTGTGCCAAGATATTTACACAAGGACATTCATGGCATTTTTTAAATTTTGTTTTGAGACTGAGTCTCCCTTTGTTGCCTAGGCTGGACTGCAGTGGCACCATCTCAGCTCACTGCAACCTGCTTCCCAGGTTCAAATGATTCTCCTGCCTCAGCCTCCCGAGTAGCTGGGATTACAAGTGCACGCCACCACGCCTGGCTAATTTTTCGTATTTTTAGTAGAGATGGGGTTTCACCATGTTAATCGGGCTGCTCTCGAAATCCTGACCTCAAGTGATCCGCCCGCCTCAGTCTCCCAAAGTGTTGGGATTACAGGCGTGAGCCACCGCGCCCAGCCCATGATAGTTTTAATACTGAAAAAGTATTCATCATAAGGGAATTCAGTAAAACAACAGTACAATTTTTAACATGATATACTGAAAATTAAAGTTATCTTCAGAATAATACCCACATTAATTGAAAGCTGCCAGTTGTAAAATAGTATTAAGCAGCACTATGTAACTTTTGTAAAAGCTGGCCTATCTATATGCAATTGCAATACATGCATAAAAATAAGTTGGAAAGGCATTCATGTATCAAAACTTAACTGTGGTTTTATGTGTTGGTATTAACATGGACTGCTATTTTCTTAGTGTGATTGTTTTCAAATGAGTAAATATACTACACTACTTTTATAATCAGGAAAAAAACCTAATGAAACGATAAGCATTTCTTCCCTCTACCTCTAAAAATGAAAAGTATTATTGTAAATAATTATAACTTATAACTCAAGGTGATTTTTTCATTAGCATGGGTAACATGTTGCACACTTATTACACATTATAGTTGCTTATGTATTTTTAATGTTTATACATGGTAATATAAACCGTGTATAAAACTCCTCCTTTTATTTCCAAAAACGAAAAGACAAAATTATCAATGCAGATACGCACACAGCATGTAACACGCGTGTTTGTGACTCAGTGTTTGGTCAGCGTATTCAGAGCCACATCTGTGATGGCGCTCAATGAACGCTGGGCATTTACCAAACTCACAGAAATGCACACCCAACATTATCTACCAATTGGACATTTAGTCAAAGTTTCCTGGTTTATCTACGGGGGAAAGATTGTGCCTGGAGTTTAAAAATTCTAAAATTCTCAATGGTAACTGCCGAAGCCAACCTCTTGCCACAAAGATGGCGTCGAGTGAGCTTTTGTGCCTGTCGCCGCCGCAGTAGGGAGCCGCCATCAGCCAGCCGCCATCAGCCAAGCCCCCAGCAGCTGCTAGCCGCGAAAGGATCAGAGGCACTTCCCACCCAGCCCCCTCAGCTAGTGGGCCGCGCCTTCAGGCCGCCCCACCCGCCACACTCAGGCCCCCACAAACCCCACCAACCCACCCCACCCAGTAGTACAAGGACCAGGAGGGAACCACTTCCTGAAGAAGTTCCGGCCCTCCCAATCCAAGGAGGCAAGTCTCTCAGCAGGCCCGCCGCCATCTTGCGGAGCCACCAGGAGAGCGTCAGAAGTGAAGTTGGCGGGGTGGGGGCGCGTGGGAGTGGGGGAAGGGGGAAAGGGCGCCTAGGAGTGGGGGTGGGGACGCGTGGGGGTGGGGAACCCGCACCCCAAACCGCTGCCAGGAGAGAACCCGGGGCAGGAAATGGGTTCCGCAAGGAGGCCGTGGCCCTTGTAAGTGAACTGTGAGGCAGGGCGTCCTGGGGACCCACGCCATGCTTGCTGTCCCGCCACTTCTGTGCCTGCCTCTCTGTATAGGCCGCGCTGCTGCCAGGCCGCCTCACCCCACCCTGCGGGCCACGGCTCCTAATGCATTCAGCGGGGTGGCCCCGAAACAGGAAAACCGAGGATAAGGCGGAGCCTGGTTTCACCCACCGGTGAAGACCCCACAGGCCTTGCCCCTCAGGTCTTTCCTTCAACTCACCATGGTGGTGGCAGGCAGCAGCTCCCGACAGGCTCAAGGAGGAACAGAGGCAGTGTTTCACCCACCACTTCTGGGTCTGCTGGTGAAGTCCGCTGGAACACGCTGTGGGGCTTCGAGTGGTCAAAGGAGCCAAAGGCTAAGGTGTAAGGAAAACCAAGGGCGGGCGAACCCTCGGAGGTAGAACCGCCAGGCTGAGGAGCGCAGGCCGACTGAGGCATGGACTGCGGGGCTCTGGGAGGTGGCTCCTGTGCCGGGTATCGGGGCGCGTGGTATCGGCCTGAGCCAATGGGTGGCAGCACACCCGCCCCCTGGAGGGTGGAGGCCTGCGGGGGATGACGGCCGTCCCCCACGCTGTGGGTGCGTAGAGTACGCAGGGTATGCCGTGCGTGTGTGCTGGCCAGTGCCTGGGTTCCAGGCAGGCACCGCCTCCAAAACACCCTTGAAATAAGTATGCATACTGAAATATATGGTATAGTTTTAAAAAATGATAATGTGTCTGGGCTGTAGTTTCAAAATGGCTTCCGGAATGCACAGGTTTAGCACAATCACTGTTAGCGTCACACCCACCCCAAAATCTTTTAAAGTACCTGCAGAAATAAATAGTAGCAAGTCTGTGGAAAACGGAGGGAGACATCAACAGGCCAGAAACTTGGACTCCTTTCTGTCAAGTTTGAGATATAAGGGGTTGGATGGGAGGGAACGCCAGTTTTGACATTCAGGATGTTCCTTCTTTCAAGAGATAGTTACTGAGTGCCTGTGATTACCAGGTACTGCAGATGCAGGAGTGAACAGAATAAAATAATATCTCTTTGCTCAGGGATTTTACATTTTAATGGAAGACTTCACCTTCTAGGACTTACAGAAAGACGCTAGGCCTGCCTAGAGACTTACAGAACATTCTCAAGATCAGAGCAAGGGCCTAGAGCGGGAGCAAGCTGTGGGGCAGGTGGTGGAGCCAATCACATAACTTTGGGGACCACTCCAGCACCTGGTTATGCACACAGGGCTACGTGGCTATGACCTTTATCCTCAAACTTCACTTCTGTACTGACGGAAAGAATTAAAATGTGACTTTTTGAACTGGCAAAATGCTGGACTGCTATAACGTGAGACGTGTCTCACTACTGACATCTAGTAATGCGGGATAAAAAAAAATAACGTTTTGTTTCCAATAGGCAGATAAGCCCATAAAAAAAGAAGGGAAATTCCAAGAACCAAAAATCAACTGAAAACCAGAGCAATGAATTGTTCAAATGATTGTTCTCCTGCCCTGGATATGGGGGCTGGGTTGTAGGGCAGCCAGTCATACTCGTTTGCCCAGGACTTACTGGTTTTAGCACTGAGAAATTCCTGCATCCCTAAGGAAACCAGAAGGATTGGTCCTCCTAGGTGTGGGCAAAATGTTACTCTCTCTAACTTGAGGTCTGGATGTTTAGGGGCAGGAGGTAAGGGCTCAAGGTGGGAGCTGGAACTGAGTACTCTGCAAAAAGCCATTGTCCCTAAAATCCTTAGGAAAAGGATGGAGTGGGGAAAATATAAATCACCCATGAACGAGCAGATGAGGAAGCTTGCCCCATCTCTGGATGAAGAAAATACGTATTTAACTCTCATTATATTTTAAAACCCTAGACCTGCATTTCATCAAAGTTTGGGGTTTAAATCTGTGACATATTATTGGAATCTGCAAGCCAAGAAATGGGTCCTCCTACACCATCACCCTCTCTCCTGCCTAAAGAGATCCTAGACATGGGGCATCTAGAATGCCTGGCAGAAGCAAACATAAAGCCGACTTGGATGAATCCTTCTACAACCTAGGCTGAAAGAAAATGATCCTTTAAGGACACGCTCACAGTAAAAATTTATACAACACTACTTATCTTGAATAAGAATGGCATACAAACAAGAAAGTTAAAACTTACAGAAGAAGCTTCTCAGTAGCAATAGAAACTAGAAGATAACAGTAATATGCTCACGTGTGTATGTGTTTTGTTTTGTGTTTTTTCTTTTTGTCACGTTATTTTATTCCTCAACTTATTTGGAGTAATGCAGTCTATATTTTTAAGTGACTGTTTTACTATTTGAAAATGTAAACTTAAAATATAAAGCTAATACATAGCTTTACTCTCCTCTTGAATAATACAAAGGCCTTTAGGATGTTTTAGCTTTGGACACCCTCCCCTCTCTCAGTTTATATGTTATTCACTATTTTAGCTCTATCCTGGTTTCACCATATAAATTAGACATCGTTTTTTTAGACCCATCCACATATGTAGTAACATTTTGCTTACCATTTCTTTGCATATCTCAGATCTGCCTTCTGAATCATTTTCCTTACGCCTGTAGCAAATTCTTTATAATTTCCTTGTGTGACAGTGTGATGTGGTAAACTCTTGGGTTTTTTTCTACCTAAAATATTTTGATTTTTCCCTGTTGTTTCATAATTATACTGAATATATAATTCTAGGTTTAAAAGTATTTTCCCTCTCAGAATATTGAGCATATTACTCTGTTATCTTCTAGTTTCTATTGCAACTGAGAAATCTGCTGTCAGTCTTTTTGCTGTGTAAGATCAGTTTTTCTTTGGTGTTCTGAACTTTCACAATGATGTAAGTAGGTGTGGAGTTTTTAAAAATTTTGCCTGCTTAGGAGTTTTAACACTTTCTGGATTTGTGTATTAGTTCTTAACAGTTCTGAACAGTTTCACCCATTTTCTTGTTAAAGGTTAGCTGGTCAAGGGATCAAACATTATTTGTATTTTATATTTCATAAGTGATTCTTAGAATTTTCTTTAGATCATGAATTTTTTAAAGGCTGGTGCTGTTTTCTTGAAATCTTATGAAATCTCTTAAAAAATTTTTAGGATCAAAACTGATTGTATCCATTTCAATGTGTTAAGTAAGATTAGTGGCATAATTCGTATCAGCTCAGAAATAGATCTCTATATTTCTTCCTATATGCTGGGGGAGAAGAAAAAATGCTGGTGTCTTTGAACACCTCTGCCAGTTCTTCTGTGCTCCTAAAGCCTACGGCTTTGGAAAGAAGGCTACGTTTGTATAGGCACACTTGAATTTCAATCACTTGCAAATCATTTTCAAGATTTTTGTTTTATCTGCCCTGAGCGTCTATTATTATTTACCTGTTTTTAAAATTAACTTATTGTCCTAAACAATAACATTTGCAAGATCAGATGTACTGTTTTAGCTACATTTTAAACGGTGACATTAAAATAAATACAGAAAGATTCAAATTTAAAACACTGTTTGTTTATGCGTCACTTCATACCACATTCTGCCAGGTCAACAGGTAACATGGTTTTGGGAAACACTGGACTAGCAGAACTCCATAGAGCTTTAGATATGCAAAGTTAGGCCCAAGGGACTAAAGAGTAGAGTTTCAAATTGTTCTGCCTAATAAATGAGAATAATCAAATTACAAGGGGAGAAACCAAGCAAGGGGGTGGGGGGAGAAGTGGAAGTCCTGGAAGCTGGAGAAAAGAAGTAACCTTGCAGGTTGGCTTATTTGCTCACACCTGTAATTCTCACACTTTGGGAGGCTGAGCCCGATGGATCGCCCAAGTTCAGGTGTTTGAGACCAGTCTGGGGAACATGGGAAAACCCTGTCTCTACCAAAAATACCAAAAATTAGCTGGGTGTGGCAGTGTGCAGCTGTGGTCCCTGCTCCTCAGGAGGCTGAGGTGGGAGGATCATTTGAGTCTGGGAGGTGGCGGTTGCAGTGAGCCAAGATTGCCCCCACTGCATTCCAGCCTGGGTGACACAGTGAGACTCCTTCTCAGAAAAATGAAATTAACCTTGCAAAGAGACAAGAAGTTGGAGCCTGCAGTGAAAGATGTCTGAGTATATTAGAAACTTTTTTTTATATATGTTTTAAATAATTTATATTTTTTAAATATAATTTTAAAAATTATATTTATTGTTTAAATAAATTTAACTATTTTTTAAACAAATTTAAAAAACTTGTATGTCCGTGCCTCACCCCAAACCAACTAAATCAGCTGAGGGCAGGGCTCAGAAGTCAATATTTTTTTTAAGGAAATGTTTGTCTTGTTACTCCAATATGGGGCCAAATTTGAAAATTGGTGCTATTGGTGCTATGGAGGCTTGCTACTCAGTGTATGTAATCCTCAGATCAGCAACTTCACATCACGCGGGTGCTGTAAAATCTCAGGTCCCATGCCAAACCTACTGAATCAGAGTCTGCATTTTAACAAGATCTCCAAATGGCTCATGTGCACACTGACTGACGGTCAAGAAACATTGCCATCGAGAGCGCTTGTCATAAACAAGTTGCACCCCCCCTGGATCTGAGAATGCTTCACCTTATAAATAAATAGTCTACTTTCTCAGCCTTTCTTGCAGCTACATCTTGGGCAGGTAACCTACACAACAGCAGTGAGATGCACCCATCCCAAATTTTGAAGAGGGGACTGCTGATGCTGTAAAGAAGGGACTGCAGAGAATTCTTTCTGGAGAAGAGTATCAACAGCAGCAGCGGCAGCCATGGTATCGGTTAGAGCTGCGGTGGCCACTACTGTCAGTTGTGCAAGCCACGATGTAACTCAGTGCCCAGTGGTGACAGCTGAGGTTTCTTCACTGGACAAGTTCTGCGGCACGGTTTTGTGTGTCATTCCTGGAGACAACCTGGCTCTTTGGTTCATTTTGAGATTCTGTGGGCTAGTTATCCAATAAATTTTAATAAGTTGTTCTCCTGTTTAAACCAGCCAAAACTTCTGTGACTATTGCTTGCAACGAAGCATCTTGACTACATTAGGTGATGAGTGAGGTTAGCCAGACTGCTTTTAAAAAGAAGGTTAACAGCTAAAAGATTTATGACTCTTTACTGTGATTATGTAGCATACTGTCCTGCTATAGTGTCCAACCTTTACCAAGCTTCCAGTACACACACAAATGCCTTATGTCAGCGGTATTTTGTGAGGAGTGTCAAGGACACTGTCCGTTGCAACATGGGTCAGGGACAGCATGCTGATCCACAGCAAGATGATATGTAGATGAAATAATTCAGTAGGAACAGTAGCTTACAGCCAAAAGTGACCTGGAAAAGCAAAAATCATGAGCTCAGTATGCCCAGCAAGATAGAAAGAAATATGTGCTATTCCCATTGCATGTTAGCAGATGTTTAAACCAATTCCATTTAAATCTCAGGGTATGGTGCGTCATCTTCTGTTGGACCTGTATTCGTGTGGTCCAGCATAGCAACACACATCTCGTGTACACTTGTGCATACTTACAGATATGTCTATCAACTGAGCAACATTGGCTTAAGCCCTGCCTGTTCACCTTTAATCCTACTACCTGCAATAATAGTTTATTCAGTCAAAACTTAAATCTCCTAAGCAGATTGTCTGAATTTTGGGATTGGTCTGAAGCAAACGTGCATAATCTTCATGATGGCCTCTTGATTCTAAATATTAAATATTTAACTGAAAAATTATCAGTTTGTTAAAAGTAATAATATTGACACAAGGCACTGATACTGATACGGTGCATACTATGTACCAGGCATTATTGTAATCATTTTACTTCTAGTTCATCTAATCCTCATAACAATACTAGGTGCTATTATTATCTCAATTTTATGGAGAAGGAAGTAGAGGTACACAGAGGTTGGATAACTTGCCTGAGATCATAGTTGGTAGGCATCAGAGCTGTGATTTAAACCCAGTCAGACTTTAACATCTGAGTTCTCAACCAGTATGCTATATTAGCAAACTACATGGAGGAAGAAAGGGGTAATATAGTGGGACAAATTTATGTATTAAATGTCTTGTTCCCATGAGAGTAGCTAAACAAAGAAGCAAAACCACAAATCTAAGCCCTAAACAACACTATGGTCTGAATGTTTGCCCCCACTCAACCTCTCACCTGTACATATGTTGAAACTCTAGTCCCTGGGGTGATGGTATCAGGAAGCGGAGCCTTTGGGAGATGAATTAGGTCCTAAGGGCAGAGCGTTCGTGAATGAATGATGGTATTAGGAAGTGGAGCCTTTGGGAGACGAATTATGTCATGAGGCCAGAGCTTTGGTGAATGGGATTGATGCCCTTGTAAAAGAGGACTCGGGGAGCTTAGTTACTCCTTCTACCATGTAAGAATACAGCAAGAAGTTGGCAGTCTGCACCCCAGAAAAGTGTCCTCACCAGAACCTCACCGTGCTGACACCCTGGTCTTGGACTTGCCAGTCTCCAAAACTGTGAGATACAAATTTCTGTTGTTTATAAGCCATCCAGGTTCAGGTATTGTTATTATAAGAGCCTGAACAGATTAAGAAAGGTAGTACTGGGAGAGGGGTGCTGCTATAATAAATGCCTAAAACTATGGAATCAGTTTTGTAAATGGGTAATGGGTAGAGGCTGGAAGAGTTTTGACATGTATCCTAGAAAAATGCTACACTGCTGTGAACAGACCAGGCCATAAAGGGTGATTCTGATGAGGGTTCAGAAGGAGAAAAGGAGAGCTGTAGAGAAAACTTGACTCTTCTTAGAGAGTACCTAAGTAGTTGTGAAGAGACTTAGTAGAAATATAGACAGTAAAGACCATTCTGACGTGAGGAACATGTTATTGGAGACTAGAGGAAAGACAATCCTTGTTACAAAGTAGCAACAAACTTGGATAAATCATGTTCATGTACTATTGTTTTGTGGAGTATTGCTTTTACTATAGCAGCCTGAACAGATAATACTTCTATCTACACTAATGAATTGCTCCAAAACAATTGGCCCTTGAGGAGCCTATCTGCTTAACAAAAGTAAAATTTCCACATTTCCTTCTGAATTTTGCCTGTTAACAAATCTTTCAGTACTTTTTTCAAATGTTGGAATCAATCTCATCTCTACACCACTGACTGCCTACTCACACACATACTTCTCCCAGTTGCTTTGAAACTGCTTTTTCTGCATCAGGAGGCATCACTACTGAGCAAACTCTTGCAAATCACAAGTTGAACACTTGTGGAGAAAGCAGAGAGAAAAAGCTGGTATAACTCACTCTTCTTCCTTTCCTCATCCCTAATCATGCTAACCTTCATTTCCTTAGTTTTATTCTTTCTACATTCATTTTTTGTTTCTTATCCATTTTTGACAATACGAGTAATAGATAATATGTGCCCCTTTCTTTAAAATACTAAAAACATTCAGGTAGGCTTAAGTTACCTTTTGACCACCAGCTCTACATCCCAGATCCATTCCCAGAGATGGGTAGTTTGGTGTAAATCCTTTCAGATGTTTTTCTAGATGTTTCCTTTTATACACTTATAGGGAACATTTGATATTTGAACTTACAGAACATATTTACTAACATAAAATATGTGGCATTTTTATTATACTTGTAATAGAGAAATTATATTCATATAATAAGTACTATGTATATGTATACATATTGTAGAAAATGTATGCTTACACTATATATTTATACTTAGAGGGTATATAGAGGGAATATATATTATTTGGGGTATATGTTCTTGAACAAAAATGCTATTAAAATGTATGTAACTTGATTTTTTTCCTCCAAGAACATGACTCAGAAATACCTACATTAACAGGTAGATTTTTTTTCTTTTTTAGAAATGAGGTCTTGCTGTATTGCCCAGGCTGGCCTGGAACTCCTGGGTTCAAGTGATCCTCCCACCTCAGCCTATGAGTAGCTGGGACTATGGGGGTACACCATCACACCCAGTTACTCAGAAATTTCTAATGTCAGCACATATATATATACTTAATTCCTTTTAACTTTGGCATAATTTTACATAATATGGATATGCCACCATTATTAGCCATTCCCTGGTCAATGGACATTTAGGTCACTTGTGCTTTGTCGTAGTTATTAATAATATACAATGAACCTCTCTCATTGGAGCCAAATGAGTATTTATTTTTTCTGGGGGTGAACGCCAAGAGATATATCTGTCGGGTCATGGATATGCACATTTCAAATTTTAATAGATATCAGAAAATTGCCCTTTGAAGTGTTGTGCCAGTATGTACCAATTTACACTCCACCATTTGTGAGTTAGAGTCTTCATTTGTCTATTCACTTTCCAATATTGATATCACTGCTCTTTAATTTGCCAACCTGATGGTCAAGAAGTGGCATCTCATTTTCATTTTACTTTGGTTTTCCCTGATTGCTCATGGAGTTAAACTTTTTTCTACTGTTTGTTGACTGTTTGGATTCCTCATTGCTGAGAGACCTGTTCATAGCCTCCGGTCATTTTTCATTTGAGTTGCTTGTCTTTATCATATTGTTTTGTGGTAATCTGGCTTCTTTCATTTTTTTGTTTGTTTGTTTGTTTGTTGTTTTGTTTTCTTTTGTTTTCAGGCAGAGTCTGGCTCTGTTGCCCAGACTGGTGTGCAGTGGCGCGATCTTGGCTCACTGCAACCTCTGCCTCCCAGGTTAAACTGATTCTCCTGCCTCAGCGTCCAGTGTAGCTGGGACTACAGGCACACACCACCACGCCTGGCTAATTTTTGTAGTTTTAGTACAGATGAGGCTTCACCATATTGGTCAGGCTGGTCTCGAACTCCTGACCTCAGGTGATCCACCCACCTCAGCCTCCCAAAGTGCTGGGATTACCGGCATGAGCCACCACACCCAGCCAGCTTCCTTCTTTATCTTCCTCCTCAGTCCCTCAGGCAAAGGTGCAGCGGTATTGGTGCCTCTTTGAAGTTCCACTTCAGTGTGATGAACTACAGTTACATTTATTTTCAAGAATTTCTTTTCCTAAACTGGAGAAATTTAAGCCATGAATCAGAGAGAAAGGGAAATCTCTGGTGTAAACATTAACCACTGAAACTTTCAATGTCTTTGAACCCGTCAACTCTGCTGGACCTCTTTCTAAAAAACAGATGAGAGTTGTTACTCAAGTCAGTTAGCCCTTTAGTACTTTCAAACATTTTTTTTTTAGGAGCTCAAGGAATTGCCAGAGAGAAGGAGAACTGTTAGCTCTGATTTCTAAAGAGCTTTCCTAAATATTGATTGCATTTTTTAGGCAATGCGACAATCTCAAAGCACTTTGCTAAGGGCGACATTGTGTTGAGGTCTAACTGTTAAATTTCTCATCTTGCCCCGATTCCCTTAATTTACAATGAGAATATCTGTAGAGAAATGAGGTGAGACATCAGGTGAGTAAATACACATTAACAGGGGCAGCATTTACAGATTAGCAGGGAAGGTTCTGATGACAACTTGATTAATGCAAAACTAAATTAATCAATCTCTGATCACCACAAAAAGGAGCGGGTGAAATGTTTCTTTTTTCCTCATGAAGGATTTTTTTTTTTTCTGTGACTTACGTGGCATTGACTGAAAAAAAAAAAAGTCCACAATTTCAAAACCCTTTTGGCAAAAACTTTATGTACCTCTAGCTAGCATTTCAGCCTGCATTAGCAAGTACAAGGAACTGAAAGGACTAAAGAAGAGAATACAGTCAAAGGAAAATCATGGAATAAAGAAAAACCAGGCACAGAGATAATATACATAATTTTTAAAAAAAGGAAGGAAGTGGAGGGAAACCTTTTTTGTTATTTCCAATACCTAGTCAGTCAACAAGTTTTATTTTGTTTTGTTCCGTTTTTAAGAGACAGGTCTCGTTCTGTCAGCTAGGCTGGAGTACGGTGGTGTTGTCATAGCTCACTGCAGTCTCAAATTCCTGGGCTCAAGGGATCCTCCCACCTCAGCCTCCCAAGAAGCTAATACTATGGGTTCATGCCACCATGTCCAGTTAATTTTGTTTTCATTTTTGTATTTTTTGTAGAGATGGGGTCTGATATGGTTAGGCTTTGTGTCCTCACCCAAATCTCATCATGAATTGTAATCCCCATAATCCCGAAATGTCAAGGGAGACACCAGGTGGCGGTAATTGAATCGTAGGGACAGCTTCCCCCATACCGTTCTAATGATAATGAGTTCTCATGAGATCTGATGGTTTTATGAGGGTGTCTTCCCCCTTCCCTTGGCAGTTTTTCCTGCTACCTTGTGAATAAGGTGCCTTGCCTCCCCTTCACCTTCCACCATGATTGTAAGTTTCCTGAGGCCTCTCCAGGCATGCTGAACTGTGAGTCAATTAGACCATTTTTCCTTTGTAAATTACTCAGTCTTGGGCAGTTATTTATAGCAGTATGAAAATGGCCTAATACAGTAAGTTGGTATGACTGAGAGTGGGGTGCTGCTATAAAGATATCCAAGAATGTGGAAGCATCTTTGGAACGGGGTAACAGGCGGAGGTTGGAACAGTTTGGAGGGCTCAGAAGAAGACAAGAAAATGAGGGAAAATTTGGAACTTCCTAGAGACTTGTTGAATGTCTTTCACCAAAATGCTGATAATGATATAGACAATGAAGTCCAGGCTGATGTGGTCTCAGATGGAGATGAGGAACTTGTTGGGAAGCAGAATAAAGGTGACTATTGCTATAATTTAGCAAAGAGACTGGGAGCATTTTGCACCTACCCTAGAGATCTGTGGAACTTTGAGCTTGAAGGAGAAGATTTAGGGTATCTGGTGGAAGAAATTTCTCAGCAGCAATGTGTTCAAGAATTGACTTGGATGCTCCTAAAATCACTCAGTTTTATGCACTCATAAAGAGATGGTTTGGAATTGGAACTTATGTTTAAAAGTGAAATGGAGTGTAAAAGTTTTGAAAATTTGTAACCTCATGATGTGACAGAAAAGAAAGAAAAACCCATTTTCTGTTGAGAAATTTGAGCTGGCTTCAGAAATTTGCATAAGTAACAAGGAACCAAATGATAGTCACCAAGACAGTGGGGAAGATGTCTCCAGGGCATGCCAGAGAACTTCATAGCAGCCCCTCTTATTACAGACCTGGAGGCCTAGGGGGAAAAAATGGTTTCATGGGCTGGGCACAGGGCCTTGCTGCTTTGTGCAGTCTTGGGACTTGGTGCCATGCATCCCAGCCATGGGTAAAAGGGGATAACACAGAGCTCAGGCTATTGCTTCAGAGGCTGCAAGCCCCAAGCCTTGGCATCTCCCATGTGCTGTTGAGCCTGTGGGTGCACAGAAGCCAAGAAGTTAGGTTTAGGAACCTCTGCCTAGATTTCAGAGGATGCATGACAATGCCTGCATGTCTAGGGATCTGCCCCAGAATGGCACTGTGCTCCTGGAAAATACAAAATACATTCAATGCCAGCCTGTGAAAGCAGCCAGGAAGGGGGTTGTACTCTGCAAACCACAGGGGTGGAGCGCCTAAGGCCATGGGAACCCATCTCTTGTATCAGCATGATCTAGATATGAGACATGAAGTCAAAGGAGATCACTGCAGAGCTTAAGATTTGGCTGCCCTGAAGATTTCAGACTTTGCATGGGGTCTGCTGCACCTTCATTTTAGCCAATTTCACCCATTTGGAATGGGTGTATTTACTCAATGCCTGTACCCTCATTGTATCTAGGAAGTTACTAACTTACTTTTGATTTTACAGGCTCATACGTGAGACTTGCCTTGTCTCAGGTGAGACTTTGAACTTGGACTTTTGGGTGAAATGTTGGAACCTGGACCCAATGCTAGCTAGAGGTACATAAAGTTTTTGCCAAAAGGGTTTTGAAATTGTGGACTTTTTTTTTTTCAGTCAATGCCACGTAAGTCACAGAAAAAAAAAAATCCTTCATGAGGAAAAAAGAAACATTTCACCCGCTCCTTTTTGTGGTGATCAGAGATTGATTAATTTAGTTTTGCATTAATCAAGTTGTCATCAGAACCTTCCCTGCTAATCTGTAAATGCTGCCCCTGTTAATGTGTATTTACTCACCTGATGTCTCACCTCATTTCTCTACAGATATTCTCATTGTAAATTAAGGGAATCGGGGCAAGATGAGAAATTTAACAGTTAGACCTCAACACAATGTCGCCCTTAGCAAAGTGCTTTGAGATTGTCGCATTGCCTAAAAAATGCAATCAATATTTAGGAAAGCTCTTTAGAAATCAGAGCTAACAGTTCTCCTTCTCTCTGGCAATTCCTTGAGCTCCTAAAAAAAAAATGTTTGAAAGTACTAAAGGGCTAACTGACTTGAGTAACAACTCTCATCTGTTTTTTAGAAAGAGGTCCAGCAGAGTTGACGGGTTCAAAGACATTGAAAGTTTCAGTGGTTAATGTTTACACCAGAGATTTCCCTTTCTCTCTGATTCATGGCTTAAATTTCTCCAGTTTAGGAAAAGAAATTCTTGAAAATAAATGTAACTGTAGTTCATCACACTGAAGTGGAACTTCAAAGAGGCACCAATACCGCTGCACCTTTGCCTGAGGGACTGAGGAGGAAGATAAAGAAGGAAGCTGGCTGGGTGTGGTGGCTCATGCCGGTAATCCCAGCACTTTGGGAGGCTGAGGTGGGTGGATCACCTGAGGTCAGGAGTTCGAGACCAGCCTGACCAATATGGTGAAGCCTCATCTGTACTAAAACTACAAAAATTAGCCAGGCGTGGTGGTGTGTGCCTGTAGTCCCAGCTACACTGGACGCTGAGGCAGGAGAATCAGTTTAACCTGGGAGGCAGAGGTTGCAGTGAGCCAAGATCGCGCCACTGCACACCAGTCTGGGCAACAGAGCCAGACTCTGCCTGAAAACAAAAGAAAACAAAACAACAAACAAACAAACAAACAAAAAAATGAAAGAAGCCAGATTACCACAAAACAATATGATAAAGACAAGCAACTCAAATGAAAAATGACCGGAGGCTATGAACAGGTCTCTCAGCAATGAGGAATCCAAACAGTCAACAAACAGTAGAAAAAAGTTTAACTCCATGAGCAATCAGGGAAAACCAAAGTAAAATGAAAATGAGATGCCACTTCTTGACCATCAGGTTGGCAAATTAAAGAGCAGTGATATCAATATTGGAAAGTGAATAGACAAATGAAGACTCTAACTCACAAATGGTGGAGTGTAAATTGGTACATACTGGCACAACACTTCAAAGGGCAATTTTCTGATATCTATTAAAATTTGAAATGTGCATATCCATGACCCGACAGATATATCTCTTGGCGTTCACCCCCAGAAAAAATAAATACTCATTTGGCTCCAATGAGAGAGGTTCATTGTATATTATTAATAACTACGACAAAGCACAAGTGACCTAAATGTCCATTGACCAGGGAATGGCTAATAATGGTGGCATATCCATATTATGTAAAATTATGCCAAAGTTAAAAGGAATTAAGTATATATATATGTGCTGACATTAGAAATTTCTGAGTAACTGGGTGTGATGGTGTACCCCCATAGTCCCAGCTACTCATAGGCTGAGGTGGGAGGATCACTTGAACCCAGGAGTTCCAGGCCAGCCTGGGCAATACAGCAAGACCTCATTTCTAAAAAAGAAAAAAAATCTACCTGTTAATGTAGGTATTTCTGAGTCATGTTCTTGGAGGAAAAAAATCAAGTTACATACATTTTAATAGCATTTTTGTTCAAGAACATATACCCCAAATAATATATATTCCCTCTATATACCCTCTAAGTATAAATATATAGTGTAAGCATACATTTTCTACAATATGTATACATACACATAGTACTTATTATATGAATATAATTTCTCTATTACAAGTATAATAAAAATGCCACATATTTTATGTTAGTAAATATGTTCTGTAAGTTCAAATATCAAATGTTCCCTATAAGTGTATAAAAGGAAACATCTAGAAAAACATCTGAAAGGATTTACACCAAACTACCCATCTCTGGGAATGGATCTGGGATGTAGAGCTGGTGGTCAAAAGGTAACTTAAGCCTACCTGAATGTTTTTAGTATTTTAAAGAAAGGGGCACATATTATCTATTACTCGTATTGTCAAAAATGGATAAGAAACAAAAAATGAATGTAGAAAGAATAAAACTAAGGAAATGAAGGTTAGCATGATTAGGGATGAGGAAAGGAAGAAGAGTGAGTTATACCAGCTTTTTCTCTCTGCTTTCTCCACAAGTGTTCAACTTGTGATTTGCAAGAGTTTGCTCAGTAGTGATGCCTCCTGATGCAGAAAAAGCAGTTTCAAAGCAACTGGGAGAAGTATGTGTGTGAGTAGGCAGTCAGTGGTGTAGAGATGAGATTGATTCCAACATTTGAAAAAAGTACTGAAAGATTTGTTAACAGGCAAAATTCAGAAGGAAATGTGGAAATTTTACTTTTGTTAAGCAGATAGGCTCCTCAAGGGCCAATTGTTTTGGAGCAATTCATTAGTGTAGATAGAAGTATTATCTGTTCAGGCTGCTATAGTAAAAGCAATACTCCACAAAACAATAGTACATGAACATGATTTATCCAAGTTTGTTGCTACTTTGTAACAAGGATTGTCTTTCCTCTAGTCTCCAATAACATGTTCCTCACGTCAGAATGGTCTTTACTGTCTATATTTCTACTAAGTCTCTTCACAACTACTTAGGTACTCTCTAAGAAGAGTCAAGTTTTCTCTACAGCTCTCCTTTTCTCCTTCTGAACCCTCATCAGAATCACCCTTTATGGCCTGGTCTGTTCACAGCAGTGTAGCATTTTTCTAGGATACATGTCAAAACTCTTCCAGCCTCTACCCATTACCCATTTACAAAACTGATTCCATAGTTTTAGGCATTTATTATAGCAGCACCCCTCTCCCAGTACTACCTTTCTTAATCTGTTCAGGCTCTTATAATAACAATACCTGAACCTGGATGGCTTATAAACAACAGAAATTTGTATCTCACAGTTTTGGAGACTGGCAAGTCCAAGACCAAGGTGTCAGCACGGTGAGGTTCTGGTGAGGACACTTTTCTGGGGTGCAGACTGCCAACTTCTTGCTGTATTCTTACATGGTAGAAGGAGTAACTAAGCTCCCCGAGTCCTCTTTTACAAGGGCATCAATCCCATTCACCAAAGCTCTGGCCTCATGACATAATTCGTCTCCCAAAGGCTCCACTTCCTAATACCATCATTCATTCACGAACGCTCTGCCCTTAGGACCTAATTCATCTCCCAAAGGCTCCGCTTCCTGATACCATCACCCCAGGGACTAGAGTTTCAACATATGTACAGGTGAGAGGTTGAGTGGGGGCAAACATTCAGACCATAGTGTTGTTTAGGGCTTAGATTTGTGGTTTTGCTTCTTTGTTTAGCTACTCTCATGGGAACAAGACATTTAATACATAAATTTGTCCCACTATATTACCCCTTTCTTCCTCCATGTAGTTTGCTAATATAGCATACTGGTTGAGAACTCAGATGTTAAAGTCTGACTGGGTTTAAATCACAGCTCTGATGCCTACCAACTATGATCTCAGGCAAGTTATCCAACCTCTGTGTACCTCTACTTCCTTCTCCATAAAATTGAGATAATAATAGCACCTAGTATTGTTATGAGGATTAGATGAACTAGAAGTAAAATGATTACAATAATGCCTGGTACATAGTATGCACCGTATCAGTATCAGTGCCTTGTGTCAATATTATTACTTTTAACAAACTGATAATTTTTCAGTTAAATATTTAATATTTAGAATCAAGAGGCCATCATGAAGATTATGCACGTTTGCTTCAGACCAATCCCAAAATTCAGACAATCTGCTTAGGAGATTTAAGTTTTGACTGAATAAACTATTATTGCAGGTAGTAGGATTAAAGGTGAACAGGCAGGGCTTAAGCCAATGTTGCTCAGTTGATAGACATATCTGTAAGTATGCACAAGTGTACACGAGATGTGTGTTGCTATGCTGGACCACACGAATACAGGTCCAACAGAAGATGAGGCACCATACCCTGAGATTTAAATGGAATTGGTTTAAACATCTGCTAACATGCAATGGGAATAGCACATATTTCTTTCTATCTTGCTGGGCATACTGAGCTCATGATTTTTGCTTTTCCAGGTCACTTTTGGCTGTAAGCTACTGTTCCTACTGAATTATTTCATCTACATATCATCTTGCTGTGGATCAGCATGCTGTCCCTGACCCATGTTGCAACGGACAGTGTCCTTGACACTCCTCACAAAATACCGCTGACATAAGGCATTTGTGTGTGTACTGGAAGCTTGGTAAAGGTTGGACACTATAGCAGGACAGTATGCTACATAATCACAGTAAAGAGTCATAAATCTTTTAGCTGTTAACCTTCTTTTTAAAAGCAGTCTGGCTAACCTCACTCATCACCTAATGTAGTCAAGATGCTTCGTTGCAAGCAATAGTCACAGAAGTTTTGGCTGGTTTAAACAGGAGAACAACTTATTAAAATTTATTGGATAACTAGCCCACAGAATCTCAAAATGAACCAAAGAGCCAGGTTGTCTCCAGGAATGACACACAAAACCGTGCCGCAGAACTTGTCCAGTGAAGAAACCTCAGCTGTCACCACTGGGCACTGAGTTACATCGTGGCTTGCACAACTGACAGTAGTGGCCACCGCAGCTCTAACCGATACCATGGCTGCCGCTGCTGCTGTTGATACTCTTCTCCAGAAAGAATTCTCTGCAGTCCCTTCTTTACAGCATCAGCAGTCCCCTCTTCAAAATTTGGGATGGGTGCATCTCACTGCTGTTGTGTAGGTTACCTGCCCAAGATGTAGCTGCAAGAAAGGCTGAGAAAGTAGACTATTTATTTATAAGGTGAAGCATTCTCAGATCCAGGGGGGGTGCAACTTGTTTATGACAAGCGCTCTCGATGGCAATGTTTCTTGACCGTCAGTCAGTGTGCACATGAGCCATTTGGAGATCTTGTTAAAATGCAGACTCTGATTCAGTAGGTTTGGCATGGGACCTGAGATTTTACAGCACCCGCGTGATGTGAAGTTGCTGATCTGAGGATTACATACACTGAGTAGCAAGCCTCCATAGCACCAATAGCACCAATTTTCAAATTTGGCCCCATATTGGAGTAACAAGACAAACATTTCCTTAAAAAAAATATTGACTTCTGAGCCCTGCCCTCAGCTGATTTAGTTGGTTTGGGGTGAGGCACGGACATACAAGTTTTTTAAATTTGTTTAAAAAATAGTTAAATTTATTTAAACAATAAATATAATTTTTAAAATTATATTTAAAAAATATAAATTATTTAAAACATATATAAAAAAAAGTTTCTAATATACTCAGACATCTTTCACTGCAGGCTCCAACTTCTTGTCTCTTTGCAAGGTTAATTTCATTTTTCTGAGAAGGAGTCTCACTGTGTCACCCAGGCTGGAATGCAGTGGGGGCAATCTTGGCTCACTGCAACCGCCACCTCCCAGACTCAAATGATCCTCCCACCTCAGCCTCCTGAGGAGCAGGGACCACAGCTGCACACTGCCACACCCAGCTAATTTTTGGTATTTTTGGTAGAGACAGGGTTTTCCCATGTTCCCCAGACTGGTCTCAAACACCTGAACTTGGGCGATCCATCGGGCTCAGCCTCCCAAAGTGTGAGAATTACAGGTGTGAGCAAATAAGCCAACCTGCAAGGTTACTTCTTTTCTCCAGCTTCCAGGACTTCCACTTCTCCCCCCACCCCCTTGCTTGGTTTCTCCCCTTGTAATTTGATTATTCTCATTTATTAGGCAGAACAATTTGAAACTCTACTCTTTAGTCCCTTGGGCCTAACTTTGCATATCTAAAGCTCTATGGAGTTCTGCTAGTCCAGTGTTTCCCAAAACCATGTTACCTGTTGACCTGGCAGAATGTGGTATGAAGTGACGCATAAACAAACAGTGTTTTAAATTTGAATCTTTCTGTATTTATTTTAATGTCACCGTTTAAAATGTAGCTAAAACAGTACATCTGATCTTGCAAATGTTATTGTTTAGGACAATAAGTTAATTTTAAAAACAGGTAAATAATAATAGACGCTCAGGGCAGATAAAACAAAAATCTTGAAAATGATTTGCAAGTGATTGAAATTCAAGTGTGCCTATACAAACGTAGCCTTCTTTCCAAAGCCGTAGGCTTTAGGAGCACAGAAGAACTGGCAGAGGTGTTCAAAGACACCAGCATTTTTTCTTCTCCCCCAGCATATAGGAAGAAATATAGAGATCTATTTCTGAGCTGATACGAATTATGCCACTAATCTTACTTAACACATTGAAATGGATACAATCAGTTTTGATCCTAAAAATTTTTTAAGAGATTTCATAAGATTTCAAGAAAACAGCACCAGCCTTTAAAAAATTCATGATCTAAAGAAAATTCTAAGAATCACTTATGAAATATAAAATACAAATAATGTTTGATCCCTTGACCAGCTAACCTTTAACAAGAAAATGGGTGAAACTGTTCAGAACTGTTAAGAACTAATACACAAATCCAGAAAGTGTTAAAACTCCTAAGCAGGCAAAATTTTTAAAAACTCCACACCTACTTACATCATTGTGAAAGTTCAGAACACCAAAGAAAAACTGATCTTACACAGCAAAAAGACTGACAGCAGATTTCTCAGTTGCAATAGAAACTAGAAGATAACAGAGTAATATGCTCAATATTCTGAGAGGGAAAATACTTTTAAACCTAGAATTATATATTCAGTATAATTATGAAACAACAGGGAAAAATCAAAATATTTTAGGTAGAAAAAAACCCAAGAGTTTACCACATCACACTGTCACACAAGGAAATTATAAAGAATTTGCTACAGGCGTAAGGAAAATGATTCAGAAGGCAGATCTGAGATATGCAAAGAAATGGTAAGCAAAATGTTACTACATATGTGGATGGGTCTAAAAAAACGATGTCTAATTTATATGGTGAAACCAGGATAGAGCTAAAATAGTGAATAACATATAAACTGAGAGAGGGGAGGGTGTCCAAAGCTAAAACATCCTAAAGGCCTTTGTATTATTCAAGAGGAGAGTAAAGCTATGTATTAGCTTTATATTTTAAGTTTACATTTTCAAATAGTAAAACAGTCACTTAAAAATATAGACTGCATTACTCCAAATAAGTTGAGGAAAAAAATAACGTGACAAAAAGAAAAAACACAAAACAAAACACATACACACGTGAGCATATTACTGTTATCTTCTAGTTTCTATTGCTACTGAGAAGCTTCTTCTGTAAGTTTTAACTTTCTTGTTTGTATGCCATTCTTATTCAAGATAAGTAGTGTTGTATAAATTTTTACTGTGAGCGTGTCCTTAAAGGATCATTTTCTTTCAGCCTAGGTTGTAGAAGGATTCATCCAAGTCGGCTTTATGTTTGCTTCTGCCAGGCATTCTAGATGCCCCATGTCTAGGATCTCTTTAGGCAGGAGAGAGGGTGATGGTGTAGGAGGACCCATTTCTTGGCTTGCAGATTCCAATAATATGTCACAGATTTAAACCCCAAACTTTGATGAAATGCAGGTCTAGGGTTTTAAAATATAATGAGAGTTAAATACGTATTTTCTTCATCCAGAGATGGGGCAAGCTTCCTCATCTGCTCGTTCATGGGTGATTTATATTTTCCCCACTCCATCCTTTTCCTAAGGATTTTAGGGACAATGGCTTTTTGCAGAGTACTCAGTTCCAGCTCCCACCTTGAGCCCTTACCTCCTGCCCCTAAACATCCAGACCTCAAGTTAGAGAGAGTAACATTTTGCCCACACCTAGGAGGACCAATCCTTCTGGTTTCCTTAGGGATGCAGGAATTTCTCAGTGCTAAAACCAGTAAGTCCTGGGCAAACGAGTATGACTGGCTGCCCTACAACCCAGCCCCCATATCCAGGGCAGGAGAACAATCATTTGAACAATTCATTGCTCTGGTTTTCAGTTGATTTTTGGTTCTTGGAATTTCCCTTCTTTTTTTATGGGCTTATCTGCCTATTGGAAACAAAACGTTATTTTTTTTTATCCCGCATTACTAGATGTCAGTAGTGAGACACGTCTCACGTTATAGCAGTCCAGCATTTTGCCAGTTCAAAAAGTCACATTTTAATTCTTTCCGTCAGTACAGAAGTGAAGTTTGAGGATAAAGGTCATAGCCACGTAGCCCTGTGTGCATAACCAGGTGCTGGAGTGGTCCCCAAAGTTATGTGATTGGCTCCACCACCTGCCCCACAGCTTGCTCCCGCTCTAGGCCCTTGCTCTGATCTTGAGAATGTTCTGTAAGTCTCTAGGCAGGCCTAGCGTCTTTCTGTAAGTCCTAGAAGGTGAAGTCTTCCATTAAAATGTAAAATCCCTGAGCAAAGAGATATTATTTTATTCTGTTCACTCCTGCATCTGCAGTACCTGGTAATCACAGGCACTCAGTAACTATCTCTTGAAAGAAGGAACATCCTGAATGTCAAAACTGGCGTTCCCTCCCATCCAACCCCTTATATCTCAAACTTGACAGAAAGGAGTCCAAGTTTCTGGCCTGTTGATGTCTCCCTCCGTTTTCCACAGACTTGCTACTATTTATTTCTGCAGGTACTTTAAAAGATTTTGGGGTGGGTGTGACGCTAACAGTGATTGTGCTAAACCTGTGCATTCCGGAAGCCATTTTGAAACTACAGCCCAGACACATTATCATTTTTTAAAACTATACCATATATTTCAGTATGCATACTTATTTCAAGGGTGTTTTGGAGGCGGTGCCTGCCTGGAACCCAGGCACTGGCCAGCACACACGCACGGCATACCCTGCGTACTCTACGCACCCACAGCGTGGGGGACGGCCGTCATCCCCCGCAGGCCTCCACCCTCCAGGGGGCGGGTGTGCTGCCACCCATTGGCTCAGGCCGATACCACGCGCCCCGATACCCGGCACAGGAGCCACCTCCCAGAGCCCCGCAGTCCATGCCTCAGTCGGCCTGCGCTCCTCAGCCTGGCGGTTCTACCTCCGAGGGTTCGCCCGCCCTTGGTTTTCCTTACACCTTAGCCTTTGGCTCCTTTGACCACTCGAAGCCCCACAGCGTGTTCCAGCGGACTTCACCAGCAGACCCAGAAGTGGTGGGTGAAACACTGCCTCTGTTCCTCCTTGAGCCTGTCGGGAGCTGCTGCCTGCCACCACCATGGTGAGTTGAAGGAAAGACCTGAGGGGCAAGGCCTGTGGGGTCTTCACCGGTGGGTGAAACCAGGCTCCGCCTTATCCTCGGTTTTCCTGTTTCGGGGCCACCCCGCTGAATGCATTAGGAGCCGTGGCCCGCAGGGTGGGGTGAGGCGGCCTGGCAGCAGCGCGGCCTATACAGAGAGGCAGGCACAGAAGTGGCGGGACAGCAAGCATGGCGTGGGTCCCCAGGACGCCCTGCCTCACAGTTCACTTACAAGGGCCACGGCCTCCTTGCGGAACCCATTTCCTGCCCCGGGTTCTCTCCTGGCAGCGGTTTGGGGTGCGGGTTCCCCACCCCCACGCGTCCCCACCCCCACTCCTAGGCGCCCTTTCCCCCTTCCCCCACTCCCACGCGCCCCCACCCCGCCAACTTCACTTCTGACGCTCTCCTGGTGGCTCCGCAAGATGGCGGCGGGCCTGCTGAGAGACTTGCCTCCTTGGATTGGGAGGGCCGGAACTTCTTCAGGAAGTGGTTCCCTCCTGGTCCTTGTACTACTGGGTGGGGTGGGTTGGTGGGGTTTGTGGGGGCCTGAGTGTGGCGGGTGGGGCGGCCTGAAGGCGCGGCCCACTAGCTGAGGGGGCTGGGTGGGAAGTGCCTCTGATCCTTTCGCGGCTAGCAGCTGCTGGGGGCTTGGCTGATGGCGGCTGGCTGATGGCGGCTCCCTACTGCGGCGGCGACAGGCACAAAAGCTCACTCGACGCCATCTTTGTGGCAAGAGGTTGGCTTCGGCAGTTACCATTGAGAATTTTAGAATTTTTAAACTCCAGGCACAATCTTTCCCCCGTAGATAAACCAGGAAACTTTGACTAAATGTCCAATTGGTAGATAATGTTGGGTGTGCATTTCTGTGAGTTTGGTAAATGCCCAGCGTTCATTGAGCGCCATCACAGATGTGGCTCTGAATACGCTGACCAAACACTGAGTCACAAACACGCGTGTTACATGCTGTGTGCGTATCTGCATTGATAATTTTGTCTTTTCGTTTTTGGAAATAAAAGGAGGAGTTTTATACACGGTTTATATTACCATGTATAAACATTAAAAATACATAAGCAACTATAATGTGTAATAAGTGTGCAACATGTTACCCATGCTAATGAAAAAATCACCTTGAGTTATAAGTTATAATTATTTACAATAATACTTTTCATTTTTAGAGGTAGAGGGAAGAAATGCTTATCGTTTCATTAGGTTTTTTTCCTGATTATAAAAGTAGTGTAGTATATTTACTCATTTGAAAACAATCACACTAAGAAAATAGCAGTCCATGTTAATACCAACACATAAAACCACAGTTAAGTTTTGATACATGAATGCCTTTCCAACTTATTTTTATGCATGTATTGCAATTGCATATAGATAGGCCAGCTTTTACAAAAGTTACATAGTGCTGCTTAATACTATTTTACAACTGGCAGCTTTCAATTAATGTGGGTATTATTCTGAAGATAACTTTAATTTTCAGTATATCATGTTAAAAATTGTACTGTTGTTTTACTGAATTCCCTTATGATGAATACTTTTTCAGTATTAAAACTATCATGGGCTGGGCGCGGTGGCTCACGCCTGTAATCCCAACACTTTGGGAGACTGAGGCGGGCGGATCACTTGAGGTCAGGATTTCGAGAGCAGCCCGATTAACATGGTGAAACCCCATCTCTACTAAAAATACGAAAAATTAGCCAGGCGTGGTGGCGTGCACTTGTAATCCCAGCTACTCGGGAGGCTGAGGCAGGAGAATCATTTGAACCTGGGAAGCAGGTTGCAGTGAGCTGAGATGGTGCCACTGCAGTCCAGCCTAGGCAACAAAGGGAGACTCAGTCTCAAAACAAAATTTAAAAAATGCCATGAATGTCCTTGTGTAAATATCTTGGCACACTTGTACTTAATTATTAATTCCTTGAGATTAATTGCTGTAAGTGGCATTGCTGGGTGGAAGTGCTTTTGCCCTTTCATAACAATTTTAAATTATGCTCCTCATTAGTATAGTGGTGAGTATCCCCCTGTCAAATTATGATACACCTTTTCCAAGGTGCTCTTGGTAAAGCATGTATCAGTATTTTCCCACTGATGGTGTGTAGAGTGATCTCTGTTGCACACCCTTTCTAATGAACGGTATTAGGATTTTGTACATCGTCAGCCTAATAGCTGGATAATGTTACACTATGTTGATGTGCACTTTTTTGAATCATCAGTGAAGTTGAGCATTGATCATTAGCTTTTTAAATTTCCTTTTTTAATTTTATTTTTCTTACTGACTCATAAAAACCCTGTATTAATATTCGCATTTGTCATACATAGTGGGAAAATATATATAGTAGTAATGATGAGGTGCCATGGTGCCCTTACCTCATTCCTATTTTCAGTGGAGATGGCTCTAGTATTTCACTGTAAGCTTCATGATAGGGTAGAATTAGATTGATAGAAAGCAAGAATCCTCTATTTCTATTTTACTTAGGTTTTAAAAAAATTTAAAAATGAATGCTGTATTTTATTAAATACTTTTTCAATGACGAATTAAAGTAACGTATCCTGCGAATGCAGTATTCTTGCATTGCCAATATAAACTATATTCTTTCCTACTGGAATTTTGCATTTGTGTTGAGGAGAGGGTTGGACCATCTTGATGAGGCTTTGTTGCTTATGTGTTGTTAACCTTTGTAAAATGCATTGAGAAGTACTTTTTTCCTCTTTGAAAATTGAAGAAAAGAGTTTACATTTCTTAATCTCTTCTTCTATCTTTACTTCAGGTTTCTGGCGTCTGTGTGCACCTCTCTGTGACACACCACATACACCCAAGTTACCTGTTTCTTTACAAGTTGAAAAAACTCCCAGGGAAACTAAGCCAAATACCATTGGGTGTTCTTTTTCAAGATTGTTTGGGAAGAATTAAAATTTCTGTACAAGTTGACCATGTCGTTGATTTCAAAATTTATTCCTATAGAGTTTGAGCATAACATTCTTTTATAACCACGGGCCACAACCCATTTTTCAGGTCTCATATATTTTTGCTTTTTCTTGCTTAGTTTTGCAAGGATTGTGTATTGCTTGAATTTCATCCTTGCCACCCACCACTCCCCGGGACTCTGTTCTTGGATTAACTTCTGATTTTCACGTCATATTTTCTTAATTTTAGCATTCTCTTTATTTGCTCCTCTTCCTATTGCTGTGAATGTAACTTTGATGACTACAAATGATAGGCTTTTTCCTGGCCAGTTTATGTAAATAACAATTTGCTTACATGTTCACATAGTAATTGCATTAGATAGTACTGGCAGAGGAGCTGACATGGCAGGAGTTTAATGATAATTTTTTCCAGCTTTTAGCTGTCTTTGTCACTTGATTGTCCGCATATAACAAGGAATATGTTTGCTAGAAATAGCAATGAGAGTTGTGATTATGACGGTCTTGAAGCTCACCCCTGTTTACTATTGCAACATTTCTCATTTGAAAATTCAACAACTCACTTGAAGATACGGTTAAGAAAATTACTTCTTGTGTTTTGTGTTTTTTTGTTTGTTTGTTTGTTTTATTTTATTTTATTTTTTTGAGACGGAGTCTCGCTCTGTCGCCCAGGCCGGACTGCGGACTGCAGTGGCGCAATCTCGGCTCACTGCAAGCTCCGCTTCCCGGGTTCACGCCATTCTCCTGCCTCAGCCTCCCGAGTAGCTGGGACTACAGGCGCCCGCCACCGCGCCCGGCTAATTTTTTGTATTTTTAGTAGAGACGGGGTTTCACCTTGTTAGCCAGGATGGTCTCGATCTCCTGACCTCATGATCCACCCGCCTCGGCCTCCCAAACTGCTGGGATTACAGGCGTGAGCCACCGCGCCCGGCCAAGAAAATTACTTCTTTAATGCAGTTTGTTTTCAGGATGCCATTGACGGTTACGATGGTACTTTCTTTCAAACTAAACTTTTGCTTATCCGAAGCATTCATTTATATTTTTGGCCGTAGTTTAAAACTAACCAAAGTTTGTCTGTTGATTGTGGATTTTTATATATACATTATATAATTATGTATAAGTACACAGTCGGAATTGAACAATCCCTGCTACTCGAGCCATGGTAAAAGTGAAGTACGTTGCAGAAAACGAGGTACATTGCTTACCTTGTTAGCTTTGAGCGCCACCTGCTGGCTGAGGACTAGGACATGATCATTACTTCCTTCATTTAAAGTATTATGACGCTGTTAGAGAGATTCAGTGAATTTTATATGTACGATTCCAGTTAAGCAGGCAGCCGGTTTGTAAGATCCAAGCTAAAGTCAAACTTCTTAATAATATCAAATGCCTTTTTTCTTCTTTACCAAACTACGGTTATTTCGAGTATCCAAATGAGTATGAGAATCAGAAGAGACACCCGAGGTCTTTTCCGGCCATTCGTTTTCAAGCAAGGAAACTGAAACCGAGGTCATGAAAAGATTCACTTTAGTGAGCGATGGAAATCAGGTTCTTCCCAAAGAAGAATTTTCCTCTTCAATTCTTGTGGCACGGTGACAAGGTTTCTTAACCAGACCCTTTTCAAATTGTGCACCAAATACTTCCTTATGGTAGGAGGCTGTCTTTACACTGTAGGATGCGCAGTAGTGTGCCTGGCCTTCGGCCCATCAGATTCCAGGAATACATCTCAGTTGTGACAGCCAATCTCTAAACGTCGCTAAATGCCCCTGGGGCTCAAAAATCTTGCCCAGTTGAGAATCAGTGCATTTCCGTAACCTCTCGTAGTCTGACACAGTTTTCTGCCAGATGTTACATTTCTAAATTAAAATACATCCAAACACTATGGTGCAGAGACGATACTGTAATATAGCTTGTTTATCAAGGAAACACATACCCAAAGTTCATCCACAAATCAAGGAGGAATTGGAAAGGAGAAAAAGAAACTACAAGAATTTCAGAATTTGTTTTGTTTTGTTTTATTCTGTTTGGGATTTCTGAATGAACTGAGAAGGAATTGGTAAATTGTCTATAGGGAAGGGAGATCTAATCAGGTTCCCAGTAGTTCAAGGTAGTGCAGCTTAATGTCATTTGGAAAAAACAATAATGTGAGACATTTTTGAAAGGAAGAACTTTAAAAATAGTGTTTTAAATTTTTCTTTCACATCATTGTCATGAAATAACGCTGTTAAAGGAAAGAATTAGGAATTAGTTACAAACCCAAAATAGCAAGTACAAGCACGAAAGAATAGAGAAATGCAGTAACCTCGGCTTTAGTTGATTTGACAATTTAGATTTGATCTCTAGTAAAGCTGTGTAGAATCAGTAACTTCTAGGCTCTAATTAACAAAGCAGGAACCCTCCTTTCTTATTAACTTCTGTAACATTACTGTGTTCTAAAAGATAACGCAGTTTCTTTTGTCTTTTGTTTTCTTTCAGACAGGTATATGTGTAATAGCTTTCTCTTTTGCAGCATTTTGTACTGACATTTGTGAAGTCAACAGCACTTCACCAATGATTTTTAAATTAATGATGTGTCATAGTTTCCTGATGTGTCAATTAGTTCTTAATTAAAATTTTTTTCAAAATAAGTCAGCTAAATAGTGAAGCCAAAAAAGAAACTTGAAAACAAATCGGCTGAAAATAAATTCAAATAACAGGACACTAACTTACATTGGCACACCACTTGTACCACTTTATACGTACAAAATGAATTCACAGATGTGATCTCATGTCATTCTCAAAGCACTTTGCCCACAGATACATAGCTGGCAAGTAGGTGGCTTATAACCACTTACCTGTAAGGGACATAAACCTAGATCTCCTGACTGAATTAATTTTTGTTTCACTATGCTATATTGTTTCTCCAACGTATATATTACTTATGAATACTACTTCAGAAAATTTTACATTAACCTTAGAGTCTGCTGTGGAAAGAATAAAGACAGTTCTGATCAGAATCTAGAAAATTAGTGAGTTATATGTATGTGTTTTTTTATCTGAAAATAAAGATGGTATCATTTATATCTATCAGCCCACTGTGAAAATCAGAATTATCAGTCAGACTGATTCCGTGTTACTCAGGAAGAAAAATGTTATTTCAAAAGATGCTTTGAACACCCTAGCGTTAGGGAAGAGGATTGTAACAAATTGGTTTAAAACGTTGAGGCTTATTTTCTTTTTGGTGGGGCTTTTTTTTTTTTTTTTTTTTTTTAAGATTTATCTTTAGTCTACTCAGTAAAGTGAAAAGTTGTTTATGAATATAGAACAGGATGATTTTAATAACTTTAATTTTTACAAATCTAAACTCTCTAGTTTTGGGTGTCTTTTTTAACTACTTCACGTAGTACTTTCACAAATACTAAATGGGTATTCTTCCACAGCATTATACAAGACTCGGTGATGAGCGGCACTAGGTTTAAGAAAGTACTGTATCCTTCGGTTAAAATTCCATGCTGATGTACTCTGATAAGTTTAAATCCTGAGCCTGAACTGAGCTGCACTGGTGACTGAATTACAATGAAAGTAATTTATATAAAATATACTTAAAATACAAAAATGGTATTTCACATTATGTATGGGTTTTGCCTGCATACGTAATTATGATGTCTACTTTCCAAATTACAGTCTGCTGCAAATCCTGAGACTCCAAACTCAACCATCTCCAGAGAGGCCAGCACCCAGTCTTCATCAGCTGCAGCTAGCCAAGGCTGGGTGTTACCAGAAGGCAAAATCGTGCCAAACACTGTTTTTGTTGGTGGAATTGATGCTAGGGTATTGTATTCGTACCTCATTTTTACCTTAACATACATCATGAACAATGGGATGTGGGCCCTGTTACAAACTTAAATTTTTTTTTGTACTTCCTGGAGGTTTAGAATTGCTTTTAGGTTTGACCCATAGGTACTAAAAATATCTTTGACAAAGGGCTGCTGGTCATTCGGGGATAAATGGGGGAGAAATTTCCACCTCATGGTAGTAAAATTGTAGTAAAGTTGAAATTTTTGAATGCTGAATTTTTACTCTGACGTTCAGTTCTTTTCCATAGATGGATGAAACTGAGATTGGAAGCTGCTTTGGTAGATACGGTTCAGTGAAAGAAGTGAAGATAATCACGAATCGAACTGGTGTGTCCAAAGGGTGAGTAATTTTATCAAAAATATGTGAACTCCAGTCACCTATTCTATAAGTATCAGACAAGACTTCAAAACTGATATTCTGACCCTTGTATAAATGCAATATTCTGCAGTGTTAATTTCTTTCACGTAGGGGATAAAAGGCTATTACCAGTTCTTCTATTTGACCATTTTTCTAATGTTTGTATTTAAATGTCTCCAGTTTCTATTTCATACAGATGAGTTAATCAGTTTTCTCAAATAATTGTTTTCTTCATACACTGCAGAGCATCTTAAATTTTAACCACCTTGTCTTAGACAGTAAGTTAAACTCAGGTTCACAGATATGAATTCTTTGCTAATCAATAAAGTTGTCACACTGCCCTAATCCTAGCACATTTTGACATAGTTCTGCTTAAGAAAAAGTGGTATTTGTAGAGGATCTGTCATGTACATCTTAGCAAATACTTATCATGGTATATTATTCGTCTTTTGTCATGATCACTTCTGTATATAGAATAGTAGACCTTCTGAACCACGTACTGTATGATGGTGATTTTATGCTTCATTTGTCTGCCTTTATAGCTATGGATTTGTTTCGTTTGTTAATGACGTGGATGTCCAGAAGATAGTAGGAGTAAGTAATCTAATAGAAAAATCTCTTATTTATCTTATTGCTACAACGTTTAGTGTCAGTGATACACTCGGACTTGTGTAAAATTTGGGGAAAGACACACTTCCTGTTCAAAATCCAAACTCAGAGTAACCTCACGTAGCTTGTTTGATCCTGTTTATTTTTGACTGGACACCTAGTTTCATGAACTACAGACAGGAAGGGTTGGAGACAGGGTGATGGAAAGTTTTTGATCAACTTTCACTTGATGCCTCTTGACACTGATTAGAGTAGTAAGGGTAAGTAAGGTAGCTTCGTGATGACAAATTTTAATTTGGTGCGTAGTTGTCCCCGATCTTCTATGATGATAGGTACTTTAGAAGACTTCAGGTGTTTACCCAAGTCTTGGAAGCTAACACTTGAAAATTGATTCTAGTTTTGTTAACGGTTCTATTTTCAGTCACAGATACATTTCCATGGTAAAAAGCTGAAGCTGGGCCCTGCAATCAGGAAACAAAAGTTATGTGAGTAGGAAAAGAAATGGTTCTTTTCTGACCCGTGTAGCTTTTCAAATAACTAAAAATAGGCTTTTTTCTTCTTGCTTTTTAAAAAGGTGCTCGTCATGTGCAGCCACGTCCTTTGGTAGTTAATCCTCCTCCTCCACCACAGTTTCAGAACGTCTGGCGGAATCCAAACACTGAAACCTACCTGCAGCCCCAAATCACGCCGAATCCTGTAACTCAGCACGTTCAGGTAAGAACTGCTTATGTTCCTGTTCTCTTGTTTATTCTAGTCATCCTTCCCTCTGTGGAATTGTATCTACACTTTCCATAGTAAGTGGCAATAGAATCCCTGTTTGAACAGTGTGAGTAACGGGAAATCTGTTACTTTTGTTAGAAATTTCTTATTCTTCGTGTTCGTCATTTGAGCTAAGAATCTTCTGTATACTTGGCGAAGCTTTCTCTTAGAAATGACCTCTGTAGACACATGAACAAATCTCTTCCTATCTCTGCCTCTTTCACCTCATATAACTAGTTCCTAAAGTATTTGGAAGCAGCCCTCCTTATGTGTCTGCCTAGTTTATTGTTCTCTAAGGTTAGCAGTTAACCTAGCTATTCTTTACTTGCAGTGATTTCCAGATGCCTCCTCATATAAATTGCTTGACTTCTGGGTATATTCTGGTTCTGGGATGGGTAGATTTCTGATCTCTTTTGCTCTATCTAGAAATCCCGTGAGTTTCTGGCACGTAATTTCTCTGATGCTGGTTGCTTTGATATTTAAAGTAGGATTTGACATACTCTTGTCACTTACTGGTGATAAATAACGTTTAGTTTGTTCTTCGTTCATTTTATTTATGTGTTAGTTTTTAAAAAGAGGTTTTCTTCGATGGAAAATAAAGTAACCAAATAGTAGTGAATTAGTTCTTCAGTGTCTCTCATTTGTTGACATTTTCCATGTACTTGAAACGTGTGGGGTACACCTCTTCTTCTTTTTCCTTCTCTGAGCAATGGCTAGAAGAAAAGCCCTACTTGTTTGTAGCATTTACTGTGAGCCATTACTGAATGTGGGTGTATTGATGAATGATGCTACCTGTATGTTTTTAATCAGTAAGTATTTATTGAAAAGTAGAAGACATTATACTGTCTCTTTTCCAGCTGTGGCTTATTTACTGCCCTTAATTTGTGGAAAAGAAGTACAGAGAAAGCCGTAACATCTGCCGAAGAACTACAGTATTACCCTATAATATCATCAGATAGCAAACAGTCTAGAAGTATTTTGCCAAAGAAAGAGCAAATGTATTATTTTAACTTACGTTGAAATCTATCTTAATAGAGCCTTATCAGCAGCGTAAGAAATAACTTCTGGGTGGGCATAAGTACACAGTATAAATATGGTAGACTTTGGCCGGTGCAACAGTCACTTGTTTTGTCATTTGTCTCTTCCCCCTCCCCGCCCAAAGGGTAGCACTTGACAGAGAATATTTGTTTCTTCATGTCAGTCATTCATTTAGAAATCTGTATTTCTGTATGTAGAAAAATAATTACCATTTCAAGGTTTTTCGTATTTTTGTTATTTTGGGAATGATATTTCTTTCTAGTTAAAGAAAATGTTTTACCGTATTAATCCATTCTTTCTGTAAACTTTATTTTCAGGCTTATTCTGCTTATCCACATTCACCAGGTCAGGTCATCACTGGATGTCAGTTGCTTGTATATAATTATCAGGTAATTGAAGAGGGAGTAAGATGATTTACTTTCAGCTACTATTGAGGCCTCAACTTGCTTATACAAATTGCTTGAATAGGTTGTCCTTTTAAACTAGTGAACTGTACCTAAAATTTAAGAAATCACTTAGAATTAGTGTAATGAGGACCTCTGTTTTATTTAGAAGTGATGAAATAAGATTTTGACAGGAGGGTACTTAGCAATAACTTTTCCGTAGAACAATTTCTGAGATTTGGTGTTCCCTTCTTTGTTTCAGCATGTATTTTGTTATCTTTGCTGTCAAAGAGCTGAAACATCCAGACTGACTTTCCTGAATCTTGTAGAGATACAGAGTGAAATAAAAGCTTTACCGAATTCTTAGAGCACAGAATTTCAGTTGTATTTTTATTTTAGCTTGCTGCTTCATGATAGCAGTTCTCTGGGTCTCTTTTCAATGGTACAACTATTATCTGTGACCCATAATTGTATCTGTGGTAACAAATTCAAAGAATTAATATCTTTGAGGGTTCCACAATTCTGTTTCCATAAAATTGGGAAAAAGGTGAGGTTTTCTGTGTAGAAGTAACAACAAGAACTTTGGGGATTAGAAACCTAAAGTACTTCTTTTTTCTATTCTGTTTCTTTTATTATAACAAAGGAGCCATCATGATAAATACTCCAATATTATGTAACTCATGTGTTTTTGAAAACGTGTAGGAGTATTTAAATAATTGTGGTTACTTTTTTTTTTTTTTTTTTTTTTTTAATTTAAGATTCCACTGCACTGGCCTGTTGGGGCGCAAAGGAGTTATGTTGTTCCTCCGGTAAAGCGAATGAGTGAAACATATACCTGCTCTTCTTTCTTGATTTTTTGTGTGGCACATATGCCTATAAATATTTTTAATGATTCTTTATATTGATGTGTTAACGTTTTGTTACTTTCTTTTTAACCCAATTATAATCTCCCATGGGAGAAACAGTGCCTTTTTCTCTCTCAGGTTTTTGTATGCTTAAGCAATGGCTTCTCCAAATTATGACAAGTGTTCAGTTACTTGTTGATAGATTATTTAATCTAAGAAAGGTAGTCCTAATGTGGCTTTATCTAAGAAAGGTAGTATTAATTTGGCTTTAGAATAGCATGTATCTGATGAGAATCTGCATCTGGATGTACCAACCATAAAAAATTTCATAAAAGAAACAGAAATGTTTTGCTGTTAATTACTCTTAAATAAGAATAGGATTAAAAAGAGTATTACCTCTATAACACCTGAGCTGCTTTCCCCCATATAACTAAAATATTTAAAAGCAGTTCTCCTCATGTGTCTGCCTGCTTTATTCTTCTCTAAGTTTAGCAGTTAATCCAGGTATTCTTTATTTGAAATGATTTCCAGATGCCTCTGCATATTAAATTGCTGACTTCCAGATATATTCTGGTTCTGGAATGGGTAGATTTCTGATATGTTTTAGGTATCTGTAAATCCCGCAAGTTTCTGGCATGTAGTGTCTCTGATCCTTGTTAGTTTGCTATTTAAAGTAGATTTGACATATTCTGTCACTTACTGGTGGTAAATAACGTTTATTTTCTTCTTAGTTCATTTTATTTATATCTTAGTTTAAAAGACATTTTCTTTGATGGAAAATAAAGTAACAGAATAGTAGTGAAGTAGTTATATTCAGTGTTTCTCATTTGTTGACATTTTCCCTGTACTTGAAACATGTACGGTATACCTCATCTTCTTTTTCCTTCTGTGAACAATGGCTGGAATAAAAGCCCTACTTCTATCATTTACTGTGAGCCATTACTGAATCTGGGTGTATTGATGCATGCTGCTTACCTATATGTGTTGAAACAATAAGTATTTATTGAAACATATGAGACATTATACTGTCTCTTTTCCAGTATTGGATTCTATACTGCACTTAGTTTTTCAACATGAAGTACAGAAAACGCCGTAAATTCTGCAGAACTACGTATTACCTTATAATATTGTCAAATACACATCAGTCTGGAAGCATTTTTACAGGGAAATAGCAAATGTATTAATTTAACTTACATTGAACTCTGTCTTAATGCAGCCTTATCACCAGTGCAAGAAATAACTTCTGGGTGGGCATAAGTACACAATATAAGTAAGGTTAACTTTGCCTGGTGTCATAGCCAGTTCTTTTGACATTTGTCTGTTCCCCCTCCACGCCCAACCATAGCACTTGACCGAGAATAATACGTTCTTCATAAATCAGTCAGTCACTTACAATTCTACATTGTTGCAGATAGAAAAATAATTAGTATTTCGAAATTTTTCATAGTTTTGTTATATTGGGACTAATTCTTCCTAATTAAAAATAATGTTTTAACGTATTAATTCATTCTTTCTGTATAATTTATTTTCAGGAATATCCTACTTATCCCGATTCAGCATTTCAGGTCACCACTGGATATCAGTTGCCTGTATATAATTATCAGGTAATGTAAGAGGGAGTAAAATGATTTGCTTTCAGGTATTATTGGGGCCTTTAACTTTTTTAGACAAATTTCCTGAACAGTTGGTCATTTTAAACTAGTGAAGTGTACCTAAAATTTAAGGAAACACTTAGAATTAGTGTAGAATGAAGACATCTGTCTTATTTAGAAGTAATGAAGTAGTATTTTGAGAGGAATATACCTGGCAATAACATTTCTGTAGAAGAGATTTCTGAGATGTGGTGTTCTCTCCTTTACTTCTGGATGTAGTTTTCATCTTTACTGTGAAATAGCTGAATGAAACATCCAAACTGACTTTCATGAATTTTCTTAGGGAGATAGAGTGAAATAAATTTCTGCTGCACTTTTCAGAGCACAGAATCCCAATTACATTTTCATTTTAGCTGGCTGTTTGAAGATAGTAATTCTCTGGATCTCTTTTCATAGATACAAGTATATCTATGACCCATAATTATATCTATGGTAATAAACTGAAAGAGGTAGTATCTTGGAGGTTTCCACATTGCCAACTCCTGAAAATTTGGAGAAAGATGAAGTTTCAAATATAAAAGTAAGAAGAATGTCATGGACTAGAAACATGATGTACTTAAGTTTTCCTTTCTGTTACTTTTATTATAATAAAAAAGGAGACAGCAGGATAAGGACTTCAATATTGTGTTTCTCATGAGTTTTTGAAAATGTGTAGGAATACTTTAATAGTTTTGGTGTCCTTTTTTTTTTTTTTTTTTTTTTTTTTAAGATGCCACCATAGGGGCCTGTTGGGGAGCAAAGGGATTCCGTTCTTGACGTTAAGTGAATTAGCCAAACATAGACTTCCTGTTCATTCTTGATTTTTTTCCATGTCCTATATGCCTATAAATATTTTTAAGTGATTCTTTATATTAATTTTTTTGTCGTTGTTACTTTCTTGTTAACCCGATTATGAACTCCCATGGGAGCAAGAGTGCCTTTTTTGCCCTCAGGTTTTTATGTGCCTAAGCAATGGCAGGTCCACATAATGATAGACTATATAATCACAGAAAAGTAGTATTCACTTGACTTTAGAATTATCACGTATCTGCCAATAATCTGCCTCTGGCTTTACCAGCAATAGAAAATTTATAGAAGAGAAACAGAATTGCTTTGCTGTTAATGACGCTTAAATAAGAACAGGAGTGAACGAGAGTATTACCTCCAAATCACCGGAGCTGCTTTCCCCCTTATAAGCAGTTCCTAAAGTGAATGAAAGCAGCTCTCCTTATGTGTCTGCCTACTTTATTCTTCGGTAAGTTTAGCAGTTCATCTAGCTATCCTTTATTTGAAATGATTTCCAGATGCCTCCTCATATAAATTGCTGACTTCTGGATATTTCCTGGTTCTGGAATGGGTAGATTTCTGATGTGGTTTAGTATATATATGTAAACCCCGTGAGCTTCTGGCATCTAATTTCTCTGATCCTGGTTACATTGATATTTAAAGTAGGGTTTGACATACTCTGTCACCTACTGTTGATAAATAACGTTTATATTCTTCTTAGTTCATTTTATTGACGTGTTAGCTTTAAAGACATTTTCTTTGACGGAAAATGAAGTAACAAAATAATAGTGAAATAGTTATGCAGTGTCTCTAATTTGTTGATATTTTCCATGTACTTGAAACTTGTATGGTATACCTCTTCTTTTTCCTTCTCTGAACAATGGCTAGAAAAAAAGTCCTACTTTTTTCTGTCATTTACTGTGAGGCATCACTGATTCTGGGTGTATTCATGTATGCTGCTACCTGTATGTTTTCAAACAATAAGAATTTATTGAAACATGTAAGACATTATACTTTCTCTTCTCCAGTATTGGATCATAGACTGCACTTAGTTTTTCGTAATGAAGTACAGACAAAGCCATAACATCTGTCGAACTACATATTACCCTATAATATTGTCTGATACAAAACAGTCTAGAAATATTCTTACAGAGAAATTGCAAATGTATTAATTTAACTTACCTTGCAATCTCTCTTAATGGAGCCTTACCACCAGTGTAAGAAATAACGTCTGGGTGTGAATAAGTACACAGTATAAGGTAAACTTTGGTGAAGTAGTCAATTCTTTTGTCATTTGTTCCCCCTTCACACCCATAGTGTAGCACTTGACCTAGAATCTTTCTTTCTTCATAAAGTCAGTCATTCATTTGGAATTCTGCATTGTTGTACGTAGAAAAAGGATATTTTACCTTTTGTAATATTTTTGTTATATTGGGAATTATATTTCTTTGTAATTTTAAAAAGTGGTTTACCATATTCATTTTTTTCTGCAACCTTTCTTTTCAGCCATTTCCTGCTTATCCAAGATCACCATTTCAGGTCACTGCTGGATATCAGTTGCCTGTATATAATTATCAGGTAATGTAAGAAGGAGTAAAATGATTTACTTTCAGGTATTACTGAGGCATTCAACTTGTTTATACAAATTTCCTGAATAGTTGGTCATTTTAAATTAGTGAAGTGTACCTAAAATTTAAGGAAACACGTAGAAGTAGTGTAGAATGAAGACCTCTGTCTTATTTAGAAGTAATGAAGTAGTATTTTGAGAGGAATATACTTGGCAATAACTTTTCTGTAGAAGAGATTTCTGAGATGTGGTGTTCTCTTCTTTATTTCTGGATGCAGTTTTCATCTTTACTGTGAAATAGCTGAATGAAACATCCAAACTGACTTTCATGAATTTTCTTAGGGAGATAGAGTGAAATAAATTTATGCTGCACTTTTCAGAGCACAGAATCCCAATTACATTTTCATTTTAGCTGGCTGTTTGAAGATAGTAATGCTCTGGATCTCTTTTCATAGATACAAGTATATCTATGACCCATAATTACATCTATGGTAAGAAACTGAAAGAGGTAGTATCTTTGAGGTTTCCACCTTGCCAACTCCCGAAAATTTGGAGAAAGGTGAAGTTTCCAATATAAAAGTAACAAGAATGTCATGGACTAGAAACATAAAGTACTTAAGTTTTCCTTTCTGTTACTTTTATTATAATGAAAAAGGAGACAGCCGGATAAGTACTTCAATGTTGTATTTCTCATGTGTTTTTGAAAATGTGTAGGAATACATATAATAGTTTCGGTGTCCTTTTTTTTTCTTTCTTTTTCTTTCTTTTTTTTTTTTAAGATGCCACCATAAGGTCCTGTTGGGGAGCAAAGGATTATGTTGTCCTTGACGTTAAGTGAATTAGCCAAACATAGATTTTCTGTTCATTCTTGATTTTTTTCCATGTCATATATGCCTATAAATATTTTTAAGTGATTCTTTATATTAATTTTTTTGTTGTTGTTACTTTCTTGTTAACCCGATTATAAACTCCCATGGGAGCAAGAGTGCCTTTTTTGCCCTCAGGTTTTTATGTGGTTAAGCAATGGCAGGTCCATATAATGACAGACTATATAATCAAAGAAAGGTAGTGTTCATGTGACTTTACAATTAGCATGTATCTGCATAGAATCTGCCTCTGGCTTTACCAGCAATAGAATATTTATAGAAGAGAAACAGAAATGCTTTGCTGTTAATGACGCTTAAATGAGAATAGGAGTAAACGAGAGTATTACCGCCAAATCACCGGAGCTGCTTTCCCCCTTATAACCAGTTCCTAAAGTGAATGAAAGCAGCTCCCCTTATGTGTCTGCCTACTTTATTCTTTGGTAAGTTTAGCAGTTCATCTAGCTATTCTTTATTTGAAATGATTTCCGGATGCCTCCTCATATAAATTGCTGACTTCTGGAAATATTCTTCTTCTGGAATGGGTAGATTTCTGATGTGGTTTAGTATATATATAAACCCCGTGAGCTTCTGGCGTCTAATTTCTCTGATTCTGGTTACACTGATATTTAAAGTAGGGTTTGACATACTCCATCACTTAATGTTGATAACTAACCTTTATATTCTTCTTAGTTCGTTTTATTTATGTGTTAGCTTAAAAGACATTTTCTTTGATGGAAAATGAAGTAACAAAATAATAGTGAAATAGTTCTGCGGTTGTCTCTAATTTCGTGATATTTTCCATGTACTTGAAACATGTATGGTATACCTCTTCTTTTTCCTTCTCTGAACAATGGCTAGAAAAAAAGCCTTACTTGTTTCTGTCATTTACTGTGAGCGATTACTGAATCTGGGTGTATTCATGTATGCTGCTACCTGTATGTTTTCAGATAATAAAAATTTTTTGAAACATATAAGACATTATACTTTCTCTTGTCCAGTATTGGATTATAGACTGCACTTAGTTTTTCGTAATGAAGTACAGACAAAGCCATAACATCTGTCAAACTATATATTGTCCTATAATATTGTCTGATACAAAACAGTCTAGAAATATTCTGACAGGGAAATAGCAAATGTATTAATTTAACTTACCTTGCAATCTCTCTTAATGGAGCCTTACCACCAGTGTAAGAAATAACTTCTGGGTGTGAATAAGTACACAGTATAAGGTAAACTTTGGTGAAATAGTCAATTCTTTTGTCATTAGTTCCCCCTTCACTCCCAAAGTGTAGCACTTGTCATAGAATCTTTCTTTCTTCATAAAGTCAGTCATTCATTTAGAATTCTGCATTATTGTATGTAGAAAAACAATATTTTACCTATTTTTGTTATATTCAGAATTATATTTCTTTCTAATTTTAAAAAAATGGTTTACCGTATTCATTTTTTTCTGGAACCTTTCTTTTCAGGCATTTCCTGCTTATCCAAATTCACCATTTCAAGTCGCCACTGGATATCAGTTCCCTGTATACAATTATCAGGTAATGTCAGAGGGAGTAAAATGATTTGCTTTTAGGTATTATTGAGGCCTTTAACTTGTTCATACAAATTTCCTGAATAGTTGCTCATTTTAAACTAGTGAATTGTACCTAAAATTTAAGGAAACACTTAGTGTAGAATGAAGACCTCTGTGTTATTTAGAATAATGAGGTAGTATTTTGACAGGAATATACTTGGCAATAACTTTTCTGTAGAACAGATTTCTGAGATTTGGTGTTCTCTTCTTCATTTCTGGATGTAGTTTTCATCTTTACTGTCAAATAGCTAAATGAAACGTCCAAAGTGTCTTTCATGAATTTTCTTAGGGAGATAGACTGAAATAAAATTATGCTGCACTTTTCAGAGCACAGAATCCCAATTACATTTTCATTTTAGCTGGCTGTTTGAAGATAGTAATGCTCTGGATCTCTTTTCATAGATACAAGTGTATCTGTGACCCATAATTATATCTATGGTAATAAACTGAAAGAGCTAGTATCTTTGAGGTTTCCACATTGCGAAATCCCGAAAATGTGGAGAGAGCTGAAGTTTCCAATGTAAAAGTAACAAGAATGTCATGGACTAGAAACATAAAGTATTTGAGTTTTCCTTTCTGTTACTTTTATTACAATAAAAAAGGAGACAGCAGGATAAGTACTTTAATATTGTGTTTCTCATGTGTTTTTGAAAATGTGTAGCAATACTTCAATAGTTTTGGTTTCCTTTTATTTATTGATTGATTTTTTAAGATTCCACCTTAGGGGCCTGTTGGGTAGCAAAGGGATTATGTTGTCCTTGACGTTAAGGGAATTAGCCAAACATAGACTTCCTGTTCATTCTTGATTTTTTTCCATGTCATATATGCCTACAAATATTTTTAAGTGATTTTTATGTTAATTTTTTTTTGTTGTTGTTTCCTTCTTGTTAACCCGATTATAAACTCCCATGGCAGCAACAGTGCCTTTTTTGTCCTCAGGTTTTTATGTGCTTAAGCAATGGCAGGTCTACATAATGATAGACTATATAATCAAAGAAAGGGAGTATTCACGTGACTTTAGAATTAGCATGTGTCTGCATAGAATATGCCTCTGGCTTTACCAGCAGTAGAAAATTTATAGAAGAGAAACAGAAATGCTTTGCTGTTAATGACGCCTAAATAAGAAGAGGAGTAAAGGAGAGTATTACCTCCAAATCACCGGAGCTGCTTTCCCCCTTATAAGCAGTTCCTAAAGTGAATGAAAGCAGCTCTCCTTATGTGTCTGCCTACTTTATTCTTCGGTAAGTTTAGCAGTTCATCTAGCTATCCTTTATTTGAAATGATTTCCAGATGCCTCCTCATATAAATTGCTGACTTCTGGATATTTCCTGGTTCTGGAATGGGTAGATTTCTGATGTGGTTTAGTATATATATGTAAACCCCGTGAGCTTCTGGCATCTAATTTCTCTGATCCTGGTTACATTGATATTTAAAGTAGGGTTTGACATACTCTGTCACCTACTGTTGATAAATAACGTTTATATTCTTCTTAGTTCATTTTATTGACGTGTTAGCTTTAAAGACATTTTCTTTGACGGAAAATGAAGTAACAAAATAATAGTGAAATAGTTATGCAGTGTCTCTAATTTGTTGATATTTTCCATGTACTTGAAACTTGTATGGTATACCTCTTCTTTTTCCTTCTCTGAACAATGGCTAGAAAAAAAGTCCTACTTTTTTCTGTCATTTACTGTGAGGCATCACTGATTCTGGGTGTATTCATGTATGCTGCTACCTGTATGTTTTCAAACAATAAGAATTTATTGAAACATGTAAGACATTATACTTTCTCTTCTCCAGTATTGGATCATAGACTGCACTTAGTTTTTCGTAATGAAGTACAGACAAAGCCATAACATCTGTCGAACTACATATTACCCTATAATATTGTCTGATACAAAACAGTCTAGAAATATTCTTACAGAGAAATTGCAAATGTATTAATTTAACTTACCTTGCAATCTCTCTTAATGGAGCCTTACCACCAGTGTAAGAAATAACGTCTGGGTGTGAATAAGTACACAGTATAAGGTAAACTTTGGTGAAGTAGTCAATTTTGTCATTTGTTCCCCCTTCACACCCATAGTGTAGCACTTGACCTAGAATCTTTCTTTCTTCATAAAGTCAGTCATTCATTTGGAATTCTGCATTGTTGTACGTAGAAAAAGGATATTTTACCTTTTGTAATATTTTTGTTATATTGGGAATTATATTTCTTTGTAATTTTAAAAAGTGGTTTACCATATTCATTTTTTTCTGCAACCTTTCTTTTCAGCCATTTCCTGCTTATCCAAGTTCACCATTTCAGGTCACTGCTGGATATCAGTTGCCTGTATATAATTATCAGGTAATGTAAGAAGGAGTAAAATGATTTACTTTCAGGTATTATTGAGGCATTCAACTTGTTTATACAAATTTCCTGAATAGCTGGTCATTTTAAATTAGTGAAGTGTACCTAAAATTTAAGGAAACACGTAGAAGTAGTGTAGAATGAAGACCTCTGTCTTATTTAGAAGTAATGAAGTAGTATTTTGAGAGGAATATACTTGGCAATAACTTTTCTGTAGAAGAGATTTCTGAGATGTGGTGTTCTCTTCTTTATTTCTGGATGCAGTTTTCATCTTTACTGTGAAATAGCTGAATGAAACATCCAAACTGACTTTCATGAATTTTCTTAGGGAGATAGAGTGAAATAAATTTATGCTGCACTTTTCAGAGCACAGAATCCCAATTACATTTTCATTTTAGCTGGCTGTTTGAAGATAGTAATGCTCTGGATCTCTTTTCATAGATACAAGTATATCTATGACCCATAATTACATCTATGGTAAGAAACTGAAAGAGGTAGTATCTTTGAGGTTTCCACCTTGCCAACTCCCGAAAATTTGGAGAAAGGTGAAGTTTCCAATATAAAAGTAACAAGAATGTCATGGACTAGAAACATAAAGTACTTAAGTTTTCCTTTCTGTTACTTTTATTATAATGAAAAAGGAGACAGCCGGATAAGTACTTCAATGTTGTATTTCTCATGTGTTTTTGAAAATGTGTAGGAATACATATAATAGTTTCGGTGTCCTTTTTTTTTCTTTCTTTTTCTTTCTTTTTTTTTTTTAAGATGCCACCATAAGGTCCTGTTGGGGAGCAAAGGATTATGTTGTCCTTGACGTTAAGTGAATTAGCCAAACATAGATTTCCTGTTCATTCTTGATTTTTTTCCATGTCATATATGCCTATAAATATTTTTAAGTGATTCTTTATATTAATTTTTTTGTTGTTGTTACTTTCTTGTTAACCCGATTATAAACTCCCATGGGAGCAAGAGTGCCTTTTTTGCCCTCAGGTTTTTATGTGGTTAAGCAATGGCAGGTCCATATAATGACAGACTATATAATCAAAGAAAGGTAGTGTTCATGTGACTTTACAATTAGCATGTATCTGCATAGAATCTGCCTCTGGCTTTACCAGCAATAGAATATTTATAGAAGAGAAACAGAAATGCTTTGCTGTTAATGACGCTTAAATGAGAATAGGAGTAAACGAGAGTATTACCGCCAAATCACCGGAGCTGCTTTCCCCCTTATAACCAGTTCCTAAAGTGAATGAAAGCAGCTCCCCTTATGTGTCTGCCTACTTTATTCTTTGGTAAGTTTAGCAGTTCATCTAGCTATTCTTTATTTGAAATGATTTCCGGATGCCTCCTCATATAAATTGCTGACTTCTGGAAATATTCTTCTTCTGGAATGGGTAGATTTCTGATGTGGTTTAGTATATATATAAACCCCGTGAGCTTCTGGCGTCTAATTTCTCTGATTCTGGTTACACTGATATTTAAAGTAGGGTTTGACATACTCCATCACTTAATGTTGATAACTAACCTTTATATTCTTCTTAGTTCGTTTTATTTATGTGTTAGCTTAAAAGACATTTTCTTTGATGGAAAATGAAGTAACAAAATAATAGTGAAATAGTTCTGCGGTTGTCTCTAATTTCGTGATATTTTCCATGTACTTGAAACATGTATGGTATACCTCTTCTTTTTCCTTCTCTGAACAATGGCTAGAAAAAAAGCCTTACTTGTTTCTGTCATTTACTGTGAGCGATTACTGAATCTGGGTGTATTCATGTATGCTGCTACCTGTATGTTTTCAGATAATAAAAATTTTTTGAAACATATAAGACATTATACTTTCTCTTGTCCAGTATTGGATTATAGACTGCACTTAGTTTTTCGTAATGAAGTACAGACAAAGCCATAACATCTGTCAAACTATATATTGTCCTATAATATTGTCTGATACAAAACAGTCTAGAAATATTCTGACAGGGAAATAGCAAATGTATTAATTTAACTTACCTTGCAATCTCTCTTAATGGAGCCTTACCACCAGTGTAAGAAATAACTTCTGGGTGTGAATAAGTACACAGTATAAGGTAAACTTTGGTGAAATAGTCAATTCTTTTGTCATTAGTTCCCCCTTCACTCCCAAAGTGTAGCACTTGTCATAGAATCTTTCTTTCTTCATAAAGTCAGTCATTCATTTAGAATTCTGCATTATTGTATGTAGAAAAACAATATTTTACCTATTTTTGTTATATTCAGAATTATATTTCTTTCTAATTTTAAAAAAATGGTTTACCGTATTCATTTTTTTCTGGAACCTTTCTTTTCAGGCATTTCCTGCTTATCCAAATTCACCATTTCAAGTCGCCACTGGATATCAGTTCCCTGTATACAATTATCAGGTAATGTCAGAGGGAGTAAAATGATTTGCTTTTAGGTATTATTGAGGCCTTTAACTTGTTCATACAAATTTCCTGAATAGTTGCTCATTTTAAACTAGTGAATTGTACCTAAAATTTAAGGAAACACTTAGTGTAGAATGAAGACCTCTGTGTTATTTAGAATAATGAGGTAGTATTTTGACAGGAATATACTTGGCAATAACTTTTCTGTAGAACAGATTTCTGAGATTTGGTGTTCTCTTCTTCATTTCTGGATGTAGTTTTCATCTTTACTGTCAAATAGCTAAATGAAACGTCCAAAGTGTCTTTCATGAATTTTCTTAGGGAGATAGACTGAAATAAAATTATGCTGCACTTTTCAGAGCACAGAATCCCAATTACATTTTCATTTTAGCTGGCTGTTTGACGATAGTAATGCTCTGGATCTCTTTTCATAGATACAAGTGTATCTGTGACCCATAATTATATCTACGGTAATAAACTGAAAGAGCTAGTATCTTTGAGGTTTCCACATTGCGAAATCCCGAAAATGTGGAGAGAGCTGAAGTTTCCAATGTAAAAGTAACAAGAATGTCATGGACTAGAAACATAAAGTATTTGAGTTTTCCTTTCTGTTACTTTTATTACAATAAAAAAGGAGACAGCAGGATAAGTACTTTAATATTGTGTTTCTCATGTGTTTTTGAAAATGTGTAGTAATACTTCAATAGTTTTGGTTTCCTTTTATTTATTAATTGATTTTTTAAGATTCCACCTTAGGGGCCTGTTGGGTAGCAAAGGGATTATGTTGTCCTTGACATTAAGGGAATTAGCCAAACATAGACTTCCTGTTCATTCTTGATTTTTTTCCATGTCATATATGCCTACAAATATTTTTAAGTGACTTTTTATGTTAATGTTTTTTTTGTTGTTGTTTCCTTCTTGTTAACCCGATTATAAACTCCCATGGCAGCAACAGTGCCTTTTTTGTCCTCAGGTTTTTATGTGCTTAAGCAATGGCAGGTCTACATAATGATAGACTATATAATCAAAGAAAGGGAGTATTCACGTGACTTTAGAATTAGCATGTGTCTGCATAGAATATGCCTCTGGCTTTACCAGCAGTAGAAAATTTATAGAAGAGAAACAGAAATGCTTTGCTGTTAATGACGCCTAAATAAGAAGAGGAGTAAAGGAGAGTATTACCTCCAAATCACCGGAGCTGCTTTCCCCCTTATAAGCAGTTCCTAAAGTGAATGAAAGCAGCTCTCCTTATGTGTCTGCCTACTTTATTCTTCGGTAAGTTTAGCAGTTCATCTAGCTATCCTTTATTTGAAATGATTTCCAGATGCCTCCTCATATAAATTGCTGACTTCTGGATATTTCCTGGTTCTGGAATGGGTAGATTTCTGATGTGGTTTAGTATATATATGTAAACCCCGTGAGCTTCTGGCATCTAATTTCTCTGATCCTGGTTACATTGATATTTAAAGTAGGGTTTGACATACTCTGTCACCTACTGTTGATAAATAACGTTTATATTCTTCTTAGTTCATTTTATTGACGTGTTAGCTTTAAAGACATTTTCTTTGACGGAAAATGAAGTAACAAAATAATAGTGAAATAGTTATGCAGTGTCTCTAATTTGTTGATATTTTCCATGTACTTGAAACTTGTATGGTATACCTCTTCTTTTTCCTTCTCTGAACAATGGCTAGAAAAAAAGTCCTACTTTTTTCTGTCATTTACTGTGAGGCATCACTGATTCTGGGTGTATTCATGTATGCTGCTACCTGTATGTTTTCAAACAATAAGAATTTATTGAAACATGTAAGACATTATACTTTCTCTTCTCCAGTATTGGATCATAGACTGCACTTAGTTTTTCGTAATGAAGTACAGACAAAGCCATAACATCTGTCGAACTACATATTACCCTATAATATTGTCTGATACAAAACAGTCTAGAAATATTCTTACAGAGAAATTGCAAATGTATTAATTTAACTTACCTTGCAATCTCTCTTAATGGAGCCTTACCACCAGTGTAAGAAATAACGTCTGGGTGTGAATAAGTACACAGTATAAGGTAAACTTTGGTGAAGTAGTCAATTTTGTCATTTGTTCCCCCTTCACACCCATAGTGTAGCACTTGACCTAGAATCTTTCTTTCTTCATAAAGTCAGTCATTCATTTGGAATTCTGCATTGTTGTACGTAGAAAAAGGATATTTTACCTTTTGTAATATTTTTGTTATATTGGGAATTATATTTCTTTGTAATTTTAAAAAGTGGTTTACCATATTCATTTTTTTCTGCAACCTTTCTTTTCAGCCATTTCCTGCTTATCCAAGTTCACCATTTCAGGTCACTGCTGGATATCAGTTGCCTGTATATAATTATCAGGTAATGTAAGAAGGAGTAAAATGATTTACTTTCAGGTATTATTGAGGCATTCAACTTGTTTATACAAATTTCCTGAATAGCTGGTCATTTTAAATTAGTGAAGTGTACCTAAAATTTAAGGAAACACGTAGAAGTAGTGTAGAATGAAGACCTCTGTCTTATTTAGAAGTAATGAAGTAGTATTTTGAGAGGAATATACTTGGCAATAACTTTTCTGTAGAAGAGATTTCTGAGATGTGGTGTTCTCTTCTTTATTTCTGGATGCAGTTTTCATCTTTACTGTGAAATAGCTGAATGAAACATCCAAACTGACTTTCATGAATTTTCTTAGGGAGATAGAGTGAAATAAATTTATGCTGCACTTTTCAGAGCACAGAATCCCAATTACATTTTCATTTTAGCTGGCTGTTTGAAGATAGTAATGCTCTGGATCTCTTTTCATAGATACAAGTATATCTATGACCCATAATTACATCTATGGTAAGAAACTGAAAGAGGTAGTATCTTTGAGGTTTCCACCTTGCCAACTCCCGAAAATTTGGAGAAAGGTGAAGTTTCCAATATAAAAGTAACAAGAATGTCATGGACTAGAAACATAAAGTACTTAAGTTTTCCTTTCTGTTACTTTTATTATAATGAAAAAGGAGACAGCCGGATAAGTACTTCAATGTTGTATTTCTCATGTGTTTTTGAAAATGTGTAGGAATACATATAATAGTTTCGGTGTCCTTTTTTTTTCTTTCTTTTTCTTTCTTTTTTTTTTTTAAGATGCCACCATAAGGTCCTGTTGGGGAGCAAAGGATTATGTTGTCCTTGACGTTAAGTGAATTAGCCAAACATAGATTTCCTGTTCATTCTTGATTTTTTTCCATGTCATATATGCCTATAAATATTTTTAAGTGATTCTTTATATTAATTTTTTTGTTGTTGTTACTTTCTTGTTAACCCGATTATAAACTCCCATGGGAGCAAGAGTGCCTTTTTTGCCCTCAGGTTTTTATGTGGTTAAGCAATGGCAGGTCCATATAATGACAGACTATATAATCAAAGAAAGGTAGTGTTCATGTGACTTTACAATTAGCATGTATCTGCATAGAATCTGCCTCTGGCTTTACCAGCAATAGAATATTTATAGAAGAGAAACAGAAATGCTTTGCTGTTAATGACGCTTAAATGAGAATAGGAGTAAACGAGAGTATTACCGCCAAATCACCGGAGCTGCTTTCCCCCTTATAACCAGTTCCTAAAGTGAATGAAAGCAGCTCCCCTTATGTGTCTGCCTACTTTATTCTTTGGTAAGTTTAGCAGTTCATCTAGCTATTCTTTATTTGAAATGATTTCCGGATGCCTCCTCATATAAATTGCTGACTTCTGGAAATATTCTTCTTCTGGAATGGGTAGATTTCTGATGTGGTTTAGTATATATATAAACCCCGTGAGCTTCTGGCGTCTAATTTCTCTGATTCTGGTTACACTGATATTTAAAGTAGGGTTTGACATACTCCATCACTTAATGTTGATAACTAACCTTTATATTCTTCTTAGTTCGTTTTATTTATGTGTTAGCTTAAAAGACATTTTCTTTGATGGAAAATGAAGTAACAAAATAATAGTGAAATAGTTCTGCGGTTGTCTCTAATTTCGTGATATTTTCCATGTACTTGAAACATGTATGGTATACCTCTTCTTTTTCCTTCTCTGAACAATGGCTAGAAAAAAAGCCTTACTTGTTTCTGTCATTTACTGTGAGCGATTACTGAATCTGGGTGTATTCATGTATGCTGCTACCTGTATGTTTTCAGATAATAAAAATTTTTTGAAACATATAAGACATTATACTTTCTCTTGTCCAGTATTGGATTATAGACTGCACTTAGTTTTTCGTAATGAAGTACAGACAAAGCCATAACATCTGTCAAACTATATATTGTCCTATAATATTGTCTGATACAAAACAGTCTAGAAATATTCTGACAGGGAAATAGCAAATGTATTAATTTAACTTACCTTGCAATCTCTCTTAATGGAGCCTTACCACCAGTGTAAGAAATAACTTCTGGGTGTGAATAAGTACACAGTATAAGGTAAACTTTGGTGAAATAGTCAATTCTTTTGTCATTAGTTCCCCCTTCACTCCCAAAGTGTAGCACTTGTCATAGAATCTTTCTTTCTTCATAAAGTCAGTCATTCATTTAGAATTCTGCATTATTGTATGTAGAAAAACAATATTTTACCTATTTTTGTTATATTCAGAATTATATTTCTTTCTAATTTTAAAAAAATGGTTTACCGTATTCATTTTTTTCTGGAACCTTTCTTTTCAGGCATTTCCTGCTTATCCAAATTCACCATTTCAAGTCGCCACTGGATATCAGTTCCCTGTATACAATTATCAGGTAATGTCAGAGGGAGTAAAATGATTTGCTTTTAGGTATTATTGAGGCCTTTAACTTGTTCATACAAATTTCCTGAATAGTTGCTCATTTTAAACTAGTGAATTGTACCTAAAATTTAAGGAAACACTTAGTGTAGAATGAAGACCTCTGTGTTATTTAGAATAATGAGGTAGTATTTTGACAGGAATATACTTGGCAATAACTTTTCTGTAGAACAGATTTCTGAGATTTGGTGTTCTCTTCTTCATTTCTGGATGTAGTTTTCATCTTTACTGTCAAATAGCTAAATGAAACGTCCAAAGTGTCTTTCATGAATTTTCTTAGGGAGATAGACTGAAATAAAATTATGCTGCACTTTTCAGAGCACAGAATCCCAATTACATTTTCATTTTAGCTGGCTGTTTGACGATAGTAATGCTCTGGATCTCTTTTCATAGATACAAGTGTATCTGTGACCCATAATTATATCTACGGTAATAAACTGAAAGAGCTAGTATCTTTGAGGTTTCCACATTGCGAAATCCCGAAAATGTGGAGAGAGCTGAAGTTTCCAATGTAAAAGTAACAAGAATGTCATGGACTAGAAACATAAAGTATTTGAGTTTTCCTTTCTGTTACTTTTATTACAATAAAAAAGGAGACAGCAGGATAAGTACTTTAATATTGTGTTTCTCATGTGTTTTTGAAAATGTGTAGTAATACTTCAATAGTTTTGGTTTCCTTTTATTTATTAATTGATTTTTTAAGATTCCACCTTAGGGGCCTGTTGGGTAGCAAAGGGATTATGTTGTCCTTGACATTAAGGGAATTAGCCAAACATAGACTTCCTGTTCATTCTTGATTTTTTTCCATGTCATATATGCCTACAAATATTTTTAAGTGACTTTTTATGTTAATGTTTTTTTTGTTGTTGTTTCCTTCTTGTTAACCCGATTATAAACTCCCATGGCAGCAACAGTGCCTTTTTTGTCCTCAGGTTTTTATGTGCTTAAGCAATGGCAGGTCTACATAATGATAGACTATATAATCAAAGAAAGGGAGTATTCACGTGACTTTAGAATTAGCATGTGTCTGCACAGAATATGCCTCTGGCTTTACCAGCAGTAGAAAATTTATAGAAGAGAAACAGAAATGCTTTGCTGTTAATGACGCCTAAATAAGAATAGGAGTAAAGGAGAGTATTACCTCCAACTCACCGGAGCTGCTTTCCCCCTTATAAGCAGTTCCTAAAGTGAATGAAAGCAGCTCTCCTTATGTGTCTGCCTACTTTATTCTTCGGTAAGTTTAGCAGTTTATCTAGCTATCCTTTATTTGAAATGATTGCCACATGCCTCCTCATATAAATGGCTGACTTCTGGATATATTCTGGTTCTGGAATGGGCAGATTTCTGACGTGGTTTAGTATATATATATAAACCCGGTGAGTTTCTGGCATGTAATTTCTCTGATCGTGGTTACATTGATATTTAAAGTAGGGTTTGACATAGTGTGTCACTTACTGTTGATAAATATCGTTTATTTTCTTCTTAGTTCATTTCATTGATGTGTTAGCTTAAAAGACATTTTCTTTGACAGAAAATGAAGTAATGAAATAATAGTGAAATCGTTCTGCTGTGTCTCTAATTTGTTGATATTTTCCATGTACTTGAAACATGTATGGTATACCTCTTCTTTTTCCTTCTCTGAACCATGGCTAGAAAAAAAGCCCTACTTGTTTCTCTCGTTTACTGTGAGGCATTAGTGATTCTGGGTGTATTCATGTATGCTGCTAACTGTATGTTTTCAAACAATAAGAATTTGTTGAAACATGTCAGACATTATACTTTTTATTCTCCAGTATTGGAATATAGACTGCAATTAGTTTTTTGGAATGAAATACAGACAAAGCCATAACATCTATAGAACTACATATTACCCTACAATATTGTCTGATACAAAACAGTCTGGAAATATTCTTACAGCGAAATTGCAAATGTATTGATTTACCTTACATTGCAATCTGTCTTAGTGGAACCTTATCACCAGTGTAAGACATAATTTCTGGGTGTGAATAAGTACACAGTATAAGGTAAATTTTGGTGAAGTAGTCAGTTCTTTGTCATTTGTTCCCCCTTCACACCCAAAGTGTAGCACTTGACATAGAATCTTTCTTTCCTCATAAAGTCATTCATTTGGAATTCTGCATTGTTGTATGTAGAAAAAGGATATTTTCCGTTTTGTAATATTTTTCTTATATTGGGAATTATATTTCTTTCTAATTTTAAAATGTGGTTTACCATATTCATTTTTTCTGCAACCTTTTCAGGCATTTCCTGCTTATCCAAATTCACCAGTTCAGGTCACCACTGGATATCAGTTGCCTGTATACAATTATCAGGTAATGTAAGAGGTAGTAAAATGGTTTGCTTTCAGGTATTATTGAGGCCTTTAACTTGTTTATAGAAATTTCCTGAATAGTTGGTCATTTTTAACTAGTGAAGTGTCCCTAAAATTTAAGGAAAGACTTAGTGTAGAATGAAGACCTCTGTCTTATTTAGAAGTAATGAAGTAATATTTTTACAGGAATATCCTTGGCAATAACATTTGTGTAGAAGAGATTTCTGAGATTTGGTGTCCCCTTCTTCATTTGTGGATATAGTTTTCATCTTTGCTGTCAAATAGCTGAATGAAACATCCAAACTGACTTTCATGAATTTTTTTAGGGAGATAGAGTGAAATAAAATTATGATCCACTTTTCAGAGCACAGAATTCCAATTATATTTTCATTTTAGCTGGCTGTTTGACGGTAGTCATTCTCAGGATCTCTTCTCATAGATACAAGTATATCTATGACCCATAACTATATCTATGGTAATAAACTGAAAGAGCTAGTATTTTTGAGGTTTCCACATTGCCAACTCCCAAAAATTTGGAGAAAGGTGAAGATTCAAATTTAAAGTAACAAGAATGTCATGGACAAGAAACATAAAGTACTTAAGTTTTCCTTTCTGTTACTTTTATTATAATAAAAAAGGAGACAGCGGAATAAGTACTTCAATACTGTGTTTCTCATGTGTGTTTGAAAATATGTAGGAATAGTTTAATAGTTTTGGTTTCCTTTTTTTTTTTTTTTTTTTTAAAGATGCCACCTTAGGGGCCTGTTGGGGAGCAAAGGGATTATGTTGTCCTTGACGTTAAGGGAATTAGCCAAACATAGACTTCCTGTTCATTCTTGATTTTTTTCCATGTCCTATATGCCTATAAATATTTTTAAGTGATTCTTTATATTAATTTTTTTGTCGTTGTTACTTTCTTGTTAACCCGATTATGAACTCCCATGGGAGCAAGAGTGCCTTTTTTGCCCTCAGGTTTTTATGTGCCTAAGCAATGGCAGGTCCACATAATGATAGACTATATAATCACAGAAAAGTAGTATTCACTTGACTTTAGAATTATCACGTATCTGCCAATAATCTGCCTCTGGCTTTACCAGCAATAGAAAATTTATAGAAGAGAAACAGAATTGCTTTGCTGTTAATGACGCTTAAATAAGAACAGGAGTGAACGAGAGTATTACCTCCAAATCACCGGAGCTGCTTTCCCCCTTATAAGCAGTTCCTAAAGTGAATGAAAGCAGCTCTCCTTATGTGTCTGCCTACTTTATTCTTCGGTAAGTTTAGCAGTTCATCTAGCTATCCTTTATTTGAAATGATTTCCAGATGCCTCCTCATATAAATTGCTGACTTCTGGATATTTCCTGGTTCTGGAATGGGTAGATTTCTGATGTGGTTTAGTATATATATGTAAACCCCGTGAGCTTCTGGCATCTAATTTCTCTGATCCTGGTTACATTGATATTTAAAGTAGGGTTTGACATACTCTGTCACCTACTGTTGATAAATAACGTTTATATTCTTCTTAGTTCATTTTATTGACGTGTTAGCTTTAAAGACATTTTCTTTGACGGAAAATGAAGTAACAAAATAATAGTGAAATAGTTATGCAGTGTCTCTAATTTGTTGATATTTTCCATGTACTTGAAACTTGTATGGTATACCTCTTCTTTTTCCTTCTCTGAACAATGGCTAGAAAAAAAGTCCTACTTTTTTCTGTCATTTACTGTGAGGCATCACTGATTCTGGGTGTATTCATGTATGCTGCTACCTGTATGTTTTCAAACAATAAGAATTTATTGAAACATGTAAGACATTATACTTTCTCTTCTCCAGTATTGGATCATAGACTGCACTTAGTTTTTCGTAATGAAGTACAGACAAAGCCATAACATCTGTCGAACTACATATTACCCTATAATATTGTCTGATACAAAACAGTCTAGAAATATTCTTACAGAGAAATTGCAAATGTATTAATTTAACTTACCTTGCAATCTCTCTTAATGGAGCCTTACCACCAGTGTAAGAAATAACGTCTGGGTGTGAATAAGTACACAGTATAAGGTAAACTTTGGTGAAGTAGTCAATTCTTTTGTCATTTGTTCCCCCTTCACACCCATAGTGTAGCACTTGACCTAGAATCTTTCTTTCTTCATAAAGTCAGTCATTCATTTGGAATTCTGCATTGTTGTACGTAGAAAAAGGATATTTTACCTTTTGTAATATTTTTGTTATATTGGGAATTATATTTCTTTGTAATTTTAAAAAGTGGTTTACCATATTCATTTTTTTCTGCAACCTTTCTTTTCAGCCATTTCCTGCTTATCCAAGATCACCATTTCAGGTCACTGCTGGATATCAGTTGCCTGTATATAATTATCAGGTAATGTAAGAAGGAGTAAAATGATTTACTTTCAGGTATTACTGAGGCATTCAACTTGTTTATACAAATTTCCTGAATAGTTGGTCATTTTAAATTAGTGAAGTGTACCTAAAATTTAAGGAAACACGTAGAAGTAGTGTAGAATGAAGACCTCTGTCTTATTTAGAAGTAATGAAGTAGTATTTTGAGAGGAATATACTTGGCAATAACTTTTCTGTAGAAGAGATTTCTGAGATGTGGTGTTCTCTTCTTTATTTCTGGATGCAGTTTTCATCTTTACTGTGAAATAGCTGAATGAAACATCCAAACTGACTTTCATGAATTTTCTTAGGGAGATAGAGTGAAATAAATTTATGCTGCACTTTTCAGAGCACAGAATCCCAATTACATTTTCATTTTAGCTGGCTGTTTGAAGATAGTAATGCTCTGGATCTCTTTTCATAGATACAAGTATATCTATGACCCATAATTACATCTATGGTAAGAAACTGAAAGAGGTAGTATCTTTGAGGTTTCCACCTTGCCAACTCCCGAAAATTTGGAGAAAGGTGAAGTTTCCAATATAAAAGTAACAAGAATGTCATGGACTAGAAACATAAAGTACTTAAGTTTTCCTTTCTGTTACTTTTATTATAATGAAAAAGGAGACAGCCGGATAAGTACTTCAATGTTGTATTTCTCATGTGTTTTTGAAAATGTGTAGGAATACATATAATAGTTTCGGTGTCCTTTTTTTTTCTTTCTTTTTCTTTCTTTTTTTTTTTTAAGATGCCACCATAAGGTCCTGTTGGGGAGCAAAGGATTATGTTGTCCTTGACGTTAAGTGAATTAGCCAAACATAGATTTCCTGTTCATTCTTGATTTTTTTCCATGTCATATATGCCTATAAATATTTTTAAGTGATTCTTTATATTAATTTTTTTGTTGTTGTTACTTTCTTGTTAACCCGATTATAAACTCCCATGGGAGCAAGAGTGCCTTTTTTGCCCTCAGGTTTTTATGTGGTTAAGCAATGGCAGGTCCATATAATGACAGACTATATAATCAAAGAAAGGTAGTGTTCATGTGACTTTACAATTAGCATGTATCTGCATAGAATCTGCCTCTGGCTTTACCAGCAATAGAATATTTATAGAAGAGAAACAGAAATGCTTTGCTGTTAATGACGCTTAAATGAGAATAGGAGTAAACGAGAGTATTACCGCCAAATCACCGGAGCTGCTTTCCCCCTTATAACCAGTTCCTAAAGTGAATGAAAGCAGCTCCCCTTATGTGTCTGCCTACTTTATTCTTTGGTAAGTTTAGCAGTTCATCTAGCTATTCTTTATTTGAAATGATTTCCGGATGCCTCCTCATATAAATTGCTGACTTCTGGAAATATTCTTCTTCTGGAATGGGTAGATTTCTGATGTGGTTTAGTATATATATAAACCCCGTGAGCTTCTGGCGTCTAATTTCTCTGATTCTGGTTACACTGATATTTAAAGTAGGGTTTGACATACTCCATCACTTAATGTTGATAACTAACCTTTATATTCTTCTTAGTTCGTTTTATTTATGTGTTAGCTTAAAAGACATTTTCTTTGATGGAAAATGAAGTAACAAAATAATAGTGAAATAGTTCTGCGGTTGTCTCTAATTTCGTGATATTTTCCATGTACTTGAAACATGTATGGTATACCTCTTCTTTTTCCTTCTCTGAACAATGGCTAGAAAAAAAGCCTTACTTGTTTCTGTCATTTACTGTGAGCGATTACTGAATCTGGGTGTATTCATGTATGCTGCTACCTGTATGTTTTCAGATAATAAAAATTTTTTGAAACATATAAGACATTATACTTTCTCTTGTCCAGTATTGGATTATAGACTGCACTTAGTTTTTCGTAATGAAGTACAGACAAAGCCATAACATCTGTCAAACTATATATTGTCCTATAATATTGTCTGATACAAAACAGTCTAGAAATATTCTGACAGGGAAATAGCAAATGTATTAATTTAACTTACCTTGCAATCTCTCTTAATGGAGCCTTACCACCAGTGTAAGAAATAACTTCTGGGTGTGAATAAGTACACAGTATAAGGTAAACTTTGGTGAAATAGTCAATTCTTTTGTCATTAGTTCCCCCTTCACTCCCAAAGTGTAGCACTTGTCATAGAATCTTTCTTTCTTCATAAAGTCAGTCATTCATTTAGAATTCTGCATTATTGTATGTAGAAAAACAATATTTTACCTATTTTTGTTATATTCAGAATTATATTTCTTTCTAATTTTAAAAAAATGGTTTACCGTATTCATTTTTTTCTGGAACCTTTCTTTTCAGGCATTTCCTGCTTATCCAAATTCACCATTTCAAGTCGCCACTGGATATCAGTTCCCTGTATACAATTATCAGGTAATGTCAGAGGGAGTAAAATGATTTGCTTTTAGGTATTATTGAGGCCTTTAACTTGTTCATACAAATTTCCTGAATAGTTGCTCATTTTAAACTAGTGAATTGTACCTAAAATTTAAGGAAACACTTAGTGTAGAATGAAGACCTCTGTGTTATTTAGAATAATGAGGTAGTATTTTGACAGGAATATACTTGGCAATAACTTTTCTGTAGAACAGATTTCTGAGATTTGGTGTTCTCTTCTTCATTTCTGGATGTAGTTTTCATCTTTACTGTCAAATAGCTAAATGAAACGTCCAAAGTGTCTTTCATGAATTTTCTTAGGGAGATAGACTGAAATAAAATTATGCTGCACTTTTCAGAGCACAGAATCCCAATTACATTTTCATTTTAGCTGGCTGTTTGACGATAGTAATGCTCTGGATCTCTTTTCATAGATACAAGTGTATCTGTGACCCATAATTATATCTACGGTAATAAACTGAAAGAGCTAGTATCTTTGAGGTTTCCACATTGCGAAATCCCGAAAATGTGGAGAGAGCTGAAGTTTCCAATGTAAAAGTAACAAGAATGTCATGGACTAGAAACATAAAGTATTTGAGTTTTCCTTTCTGTTACTTTTATTACAATAAAAAAGGAGACAGCAGGATAAGTACTTTAATATTGTGTTTCTCATGTGTTTTTGAAAATGTGTAGTAATACTTCAATAGTTTTGGTTTCCTTTTATTTATTAATTGATTTTTTAAGATTCCACCTTAGGGGCCTGTTGGGTAGCAAAGGGATTATGTTGTCCTTGACATTAAGGGAATTAGCCAAACATAGACTTCCTGTTCATTCTTGATTTTTTTCCATGTCATATATGCCTACAAATATTTTTAAGTGACTTTTTATGTTAATGTTTTTTTTGTTGTTGTTTCCTTCTTGTTAACCCGATTATAAACTCCCATGGCAGCAACAGTGCCTTTTTTGTCCTCAGGTTTTTATGTGCTTAAGCAATGGCAGGTCTACATAATGATAGACTATATAATCAAAGAAAGGGAGTATTCACGTGACTTTAGAATTAGCATGTGTCTGCACAGAATATGCCTCTGGCTTTACCAGCAGTAGAAAATTTATAGAAGAGAAACAGAAATGCTTTGCTGTTAATGACGCCTAAATAAGAATAGGAGTAAAGGAGAGTATTACCTCCAACTCACCGGAGCTGCTTTCCCCCTTATAAGCAGTTCCTAAAGTGAATGAAAGCAGCTCTCCTTATGTGTCTGCCTACTTTATTCTTCGGTAAGTTTAGCAGTTTATCTAGCTATCCTTTATTTGAAATGATTGCCACATGCCTCCTCATATAAATGGCTGACTTCTGGATATATTCTGGTTCTGGAATGGGCAGATTTCTGACGTGGTTTAGTATATATATATAAACCCGGTGAGTTTCTGGCATGTAATTTCTCTGATCGTGGTTACATTGATATTTAAAGTAGGGTTTGACATAGTGTGTCACTTACTGTTGATAAATATCGTTTATTTTCTTCTTAGTTCATTTCATTGATGTGTTAGCTTAAAAGACATTTTCTTTGACAGAAAATGAAGTAATGAAATAATAGTGAAATCGTTCTGCTGTGTCTCTAATTTGTTGATATTTTCCATGTACTTGAAACATGTATGGTATACCTCTTCTTTTTCCTTCTCTGAACCATGGCTAGAAAAAAAGCCCTACTTGTTTCTCTCGTTTACTGTGAGGCATTAGTGATTCTGGGTGTATTCATGTATGCTGCTAACTGTATGTTTTCAAACAATAAGAATTTGTTGAAACATGTCAGACATTATACTTTTTATTCTCCAGTATTGGAATATAGACTGCAATTAGTTTTTTGGAATGAAATACAGACAAAGCCATAACATCTATAGAACTACATATTACCCTACAATATTGTCTGATACAAAACAGTCTGGAAATATTCTTACAGCGAAATTGCAAATGTATTGATTTACCTTACATTGCAATCTGTCTTAGTGGAACCTTATCACCAGTGTAAGACATAATTTCTGGGTGTGAATAAGTACACAGTATAAGGTAAATTTTGGTGAAGTAGTCAGTTCTTTGTCATTTGTTCCCCCTTCACACCCAAAGTGTAGCACTTGACATAGAATCTTTCTTTCCTCATAAAGTCATTCATTTGGAATTCTGCATTGTTGTATGTAGAAAAAGGATATTTTCCGTTTTGTAATATTTTTCTTATATTGGGAATTATATTTCTTTCTAATTTTAAAATGTGGTTTACCATATTCATTTTTTCTGCAACCTTTTCAGGCATTTCCTGCTTATCCAAATTCACCAGTTCAGGTCACCACTGGATATCAGTTGCCTGTATACAATTATCAGGTAATGTAAGAGGTAGTAAAATGGTTTGCTTTCAGGTATTATTGAGGCCTTTAACTTGTTTATAGAAATTTCCTGAATAGTTGGTCATTTTTAACTAGTGAAGTGTCCCTAAAATTTAAGGAAAGACTTAGTGTAGAATGAAGACCTCTGTCTTATTTAGAAGTAATGAAGTAATATTTTTACAGGAATATCCTTGGCAATAACATTTGTGTAGAAGAGATTTCTGAGATTTGGTGTCCCCTTCTTCATTTGTGGATATAGTTTTCATCTTTGCTGTCAAATAGCTGAATGAAACATCCAAACTGACTTTCATGAATTTTTTTAGGGAGATAGAGTGAAATAAAATTATGATCCACTTTTCAGAGCACAGAATTCCAATTATATTTTCATTTTAGCTGGCTGTTTGACGGTAGTCATTCTCAGGATCTCTTCTCATAGATACAAGTATATCTATGACCCATAACTATATCTATGGTAATAAACTGAAAGAGCTAGTATTTTTGAGGTTTCCACATTGCCAACTCCCAAAAATTTGGAGAAAGGTGAAGATTCAAATTTAAAGTAACAAGAATGTCATGGACAAGAAACATAAAGTACTTAAGTTTTCCTTTCTGTTACTTTTATTATAATAAAAAAGGAGACAGCGGAATAAGTACTTCAATACTGTGTTTCTCATGTGTGTTTGAAAATATGTAGGAATAGTTTAATAGTTTTGGTTTCCTTTTTTTTTTTTTTTTTTTTAAAGATGCCACCTTAGGGGCCTGTTGGGGAGCAAAGGGATTATGTTGTCCTTGACGTTAAGGGAATTAGCCAAACATAGACTTCCTGTTCATTCTTGATTTTTTTTCCATGTCATATATGCCTATAAATATTTTTAAGTGACTCTTTATATTAATGTTTGTTGTTGTTGTTGTTACTTTCTTGTTAACCCGAGTATAAACTCCCATGGCAGCAACAGTGCCTTTTTTGCCCTCAGGGTTTTATGTGCTTAAGCAATGGCAGCTCCACATAATGATAGACTATATAATCAAAGAAAGGTAATATTCACGTGACTTTAGAATTAGCATGTAGCTGCATAGAATCTGCCTCTGGCTTTACCAGCAGTAGTAAATTTATAGAAGAGAAACAGAAATGCTTTGCTGTTAATTATGCTTAAATAAGAATAGAAGTAAAGGAGAGTATTACCTGCAAATCACCAGAGCAGCTTTCCCCCGTATAAGCAGTTCCTAAAGTGAATGAAAGCAGCTCTCCTTATGTGTCTGCCTACTTTATTCTTCCGTAAGTTTAGCAATTCATCTAGCTATCCTTTATTTGAAATGATTTCCAGATGCCTCCTCATATAAATTGCTGACTTCTGGATATATTCTGGTTCTGGAATGGGTAGATTTCTGATGTGATTTAGTATATATATATAAACCGCTTGAGTTTCTGGCATCTAATTTCTCTGATCCTGGTGACATTGATATTTAAAGTAGGGTTTGACATACTCTATCACTTACTGTTGATAAATAACGTTTATATTCTTCTTAGTTCATTTCATTGATGTGTTAGCTTAAAAGACATTTTCTTTGATGGAAAATGTAGTAACAAAATAATAGTGAAATAGTTCTGCAGTGTTTCTAATTTGTTGATATTTTCCATGTACTTGAAACATGTATGGTATACCTCTTATTTTTCCTTCTCTGAACAATGGGTAGAAGAAAAGCTCTACTTGTTACTGTCATTTACTGTGAGCCGTTACTGAATCTGGGTGTATTCATGTATGCTACTGCCTGTATGTTTTCAAACAATAAGCATTTATTGAAACATATAAGACATTATACTTCCTCTTCTCCAGTATTGGATTATAGACTGCACTTAGTTTTTTGGAATGAAGTACAGACAAAGCCATAACATCTATAGAACTACATATTACCCTATAATATTGTCTGATACAAAACAGTCTAGAAATATTCTTACAGCAAAATTGCAAATGTATTAATTTAACTTACATTGCAATCTGTCTTAATGGAGCCTTATCACCAGTGTAAGAAATAACTTCTGGGTGTGAATAAGTACACAGTATAAGGTAAACTTTGGTGAAGTAGTCAATTCTTTTTTTTTTTTAAATTATGCTTTAAGTTTTAGGGTCCATGTGCACATTGTGCAGGTTAGTTCCATATGTATACATGTGCCATGCTGGTGCTCTGCACCCTCTAACTCCTCATCTAGCATTAGGTATATCTCCCAGTGCTATCCCTCCCCCCTCCCCCCACCCCACAACAGTCCCCAGAGTGTGATATATCCCTTCCTGTGTCCATGTGATCTCATTGTTCAATTCCCACCTATGAGTGAGAATATGCGGTGTTTGGTTTTTTGTTCTTGCGATAGTTTACTGAGAATGATGATTTCCAATTTCATCCATGTCCCTACAAAGGACATGAAGTCATCATTTTTTATGGCGGCATAGTATTCCATGGTGTATATGTGCCACATTTTCTTAATCCAGTCTATCATTGTTGGACATTTGGGTTGGTTCCAAGTCTTTGCTATTGTGAATAATGCCGCAATAAACATACGTGTGCATGTGTCTTTATAGCAGCATGATTTATAGTCCTTTGTGTATACACCCAGTAATGGGATGGCTGGGTCAAATGCTATTTCCAGTTCTAGATCCCTGAGGAATCGCCACACTGACTTCCACAATGGTTGAACTAGTTTACAGTCCCGCCAACAGTGTAAAAGTGTTCCTGTTTCTCCACATCTTCTCCAGCACCTGTTGTCTCCTGACTTTTAAATGATTGCCATTCTAACTGGTGTGAGATGGTATCTCACTGTGGTTTTGATTTGCATTTCTCTGATGGCCAGTGATGATGAGCATTTTTTCATGTGTTTTTTGGCTGCATAAATGTCTTCTTTTGAGAAGTGTCTGTTCATGTCCTTCACCCACTTTTTGATGAGGTTGTTTGTTTTTTCTTGTAAATTTGTTTTAGCTCATTGTAGATTCTGGATATTAGCCCTTTGTCAGATGAGTAGGTTGTGAAAATTTTCTCCCATTTTGTAGGTTGCCTGTTCACTCTGATGGTAGTTTCTTTTTCTGTGCAGAAGCTCTTTAGTTTAATTAGATCCCATTTGTCAATTTTGTCTTTTATTGCCATTGCTTTTGGTGTTTTAGACGTGAAGTCCTCGCCTATGCCTATGTCCTGAATGGTAATGCCTAGGTTTTCTTCTAGGGTTTTTATGGTTTTACGTCTAACGTTTAAGTCTTTAATCCATCTTGAATTGATTTTTGTATAAGGTGTAAGGAAGGGATCCAGTTTCAGCTTTCTACATATGGCTAGCCAGTTTTCCCAGCACCATTTATTAAATAGGGAATCCTTTCCCCATTGCTTGTTTTTCTCAGGTTTGTCAAAGATCAGATAGTTGTAGATATGCGGCGTTATTTCTGAGGGCTCTGTTCTGTTCCATTGATCTATATCTCTGTTTTGGTACCAGTACCATGCTGTTTTGGTTACTGTAGCCTTGTAGTATAGTTTGAAGTCAGGTAGTGTGATGCCTCCAGCTTTGTTCTTTTGGCTTAGGATTGACTTGGCAATGCGGGCTCTTTTTTGGTTCCATGTGAACTTTAAAGTAGTTTTTTCCAATTCTGTGAAGAAAGGCATTGGTAGCTTGATGGGGATGGCATTGAATCTGTAAATTACCTTGGGCAGTATGGCCATTTTCACGATATTGATTCTTCCTACTCATGAGCATGGAATGTTCTTCCATTTGTTTGTATCCTCTTTTATTTCCTTGAGCAGTGGTTTGTAGTTCTCCTTGAAGAGGTCCTTCACATCCCTTGTAAGTTGATTTCCTAGGCATTTTATTCCCTTTGAAGCAATTGTGAATGGGAGTTCACTCATGATTGGGCTCTCTGTTTGTCTGTTGTTGGTGTATAAGAATGCTTGTGATTTTTGTACATTGATTTTGTATCCTGAGACTTTGCTGAAGTTGCTTATCAGCTTAAGGAGATTTTGGGCTGAGACAATGGGGTTTTCTAGATATATAATCATGTTGTCTGCAAACAGGGACAATTTGACTTCCTCCTTTCCTAATTGAATACCCTTTATTTCCTTCTCCTGCCTAATTGCCCTGGCCAGAACTTCCAACACTATGTTGAATAGGAGTGGTGAGAGAGGGCATCCCTCTCTTGTGCCAGTTTTCAAAGGGAATGCTTCCAGTTTTTGCCCATTCAGTATGATATTGGCTGTGGGTTTGTCATAGATAGCTCTTACTATTTTGAAATACGTCCCATCAATACCTAATTTATTGAGAGTTTTTAGCATGAAGGGTTGTTGAATTTTGTCAAGGGCTTTTTCTGCATCTATTGAGATAATCATGTGTTTTTTGTCTTTGGTTCTGTTTATATGCTGGATTACATTTATTGATTTGCGTATATTGAACCAGCCTTGCATCCCAGCGATGAAGCCCACTTGATCATGGTGGATAAGCTTTTTGATGTGCCGCTGGATTCGTTTTGCCAGTATTTTATTGAGGATTTTTGCATCAATGTTCATCAAGGATATTGGTCTAAAATTCTCTTTTTTGGTTGTGTCTCTGCCTGGCTTTGGTATCAGAATGATGCTGGCCTCATAAAATGAGTTAGGGAGGATTCTGTCTTTTTCTGTTGATTGGAATAGTTTCAGAAGGAATGGTACCAGTTCCTCCTTGTACCTCTGGTAGAATTCGGCTGTGAATCCATCTGGTCCTGGACTCTTTTTGGTTGGTGAGCTATTGATTATTGCCACAATTTCAGCTCCTGTTATTGGTCTATTCAGAGATTCAACTTCTTCCTGGTTTAGTCTTGGGAGAGTGTATGTGTCGAGGAGTTTATCCATTTCTTCTAGATTTTCTAGTTTATTTGCGTAGAGGTGTTTGTAGTATTCTCTGATGGTAGTTTGTATTTCTGTGTGATCAGTGGCGATATCCCCTTTATCATTTTTTATTGCGTCTATTGGATTCTTCTCTCTTTTTTTCTTTATTAGTCTTGCTAGCGGTCTGTCACTTTTGTTGATCCTTTCAAAAAACCAGCTCCTGGATTCATTAATTTTTTGAAGGGTTTTTTGTGTCTCTATTTCCTTCAGTTCTGCTCTGATCTTAGTTATTTCTTGCCTTCTGCTAGCTTTTGACTGTGTTTGCTCTTGCTTTTCTAGTTCTTTTAATTGTGATGTTACGGTGTCAATTTTGGATCTTTCCTGCTTTCTCTTGTGGGCATTTAGTGCTATAAATTTCCCTCTACACACTGCTTTGAATGCATCCCAGAGATTCCGGTATGTTGTGTCTTTGTTCTCGTTGGTTTCAAAGAACATCTTTATTTCTGCCTTCATTTTGTTATGTACCCAGTAGTCATTCAGGAGCAGGTTGTTCAGTTTCCATGTAGTTGAGTGGTTTTGAGTGAGATTCTTAATCCTGAGTTCTAGTTTGATTGCACTGTGGTCTGAGAGATAGTTTGTTATAATTTCTGTTCTTTTACATCCGCTGAGGAGAGCTTTACTTCCCAGTATGTGGTCAGTTTTGGAATAGGTGTGGTGTGGTGCTGAAAAAAAATGTATATTCTGTTGATTTGGGGTGGAGAGTTCTGTAGATGTCTATTAGGTCCACTTGGTGCAGAGCTGAGTTCAATTCCTGGGTATCCTTGTTGACTTTCTGTCTCGTTGATCTGTCTAATGTTGACAGTGGGGTGTTAAAGTCTCCCATTATTAATGTGTGGGAGTCTAAGTCTCTTTGTAGGTCACTCAGGACTTGCTTTATGAATCTTGGTGCTCCTGTATTGGGTGCATATATATTTAGGATAGTTAGCTCTTCTTGTTGAATTGATCCCTTTACCATTATGTAATGGCCTTCTTTGTCTCTTTCGATCTTTGTTGGTTTAAAGTCTGTTTTATCAGAGACTAGGATTGCAACCCCTGCCTTTTTTTGTTTTCCATTTGCTTGGTAGATCTTCCTGCATCCTTTTATTTTGAGCCTATGTGTGTCTCTGCACGTGAGATGGGTTTCCTGAATACAGCACACTGATGGGTCTTGACTCTTTATCCAGTTTGCCAGTCTGTGTCTTTTAATTGGAGCATTTAGTCCATTGACATTTAAAGTTAATATTGTTATGTATGAATTTGATCCTGTCATTATGATGTTAGCTGGTTATTTTGCTTGTTAGTTGATGCAGTTTCTTCCTAGTCTCGATGGTCTTTACATTTTGGCATGATTTTGCAGCGGCTGGTACCGGTTGTTCCTTTCCATGTTTAGTGCTTCCTTCAGGAGCTCTTATAAGGCAGGCTTGGTGGTGACAAAATCTCTCAGCATTTGCTTGTCTGTAAAGTATTTTATTTCTCCTTCGCTTATGAAGCTTAGTTTGGCTGGATATGAAATTCTGGGTTGAAAATTATTTTCTTTAAGAATGTTGAATATTGGCCCCCACTCTCTTCTGGCTTGTAGGGTTTCTGCCGAGAGATCCACTGTTAGTCTGATGGGCTTCCCTTTGAGGGTAACCCGACCTTTCTCTCTGGCTGCCCTTAACATTTTTTCCTTCATTTCAACTTTGGTGAATCTGACAATTATGTGTCTTGGAGTTGCTCTTCTCGAGGAGTATCTTTGTGGTGTTCTCTGTATTTCCTGAATCTGAACGTTGGCCTGCCTTGCTAGATTGGGGAAGTTCTCCTGGATAATATCCTGCAGAGTGTTTTCCAGCTTGGTTCCATTCTCCCGATCACTTTCAGGTACACCAAGCAGACGTAGATTTGGTCTTTTCACATAGTCCCATATTTCTTGGAGGCTTTGCTCATTTCGTTTTATTCTTTTTTCTCCAAACTTCCCTTCTCACTTCATTTCATTCATTTCATCTTCCATTGCTGATACCCTTTCTTCCAGTTGATCGCATCAGCTCCTGAGGCTTCTGCATTCTTCACGTAGTTCTTGAGCCTTGGTTTTCAGCTCCATCAGCTCCTTTAAGCACTTCTCTGTATTGGTTATTCTAGTTATACATTCTTCTACATTTTTTTTTTCCAAAGTTTTCAACTTCTTTGCCTTTGGTTTGAATGTCCTCCCGTAGCTCAGAGTAATTTGATCGTCTGAAGCCTTCTTCTCTCAGCTCGTCAAAGTCATTCTCCATCCAGCTTTGTTCCGTTGCTGGTGAGGAACTGCGTTCCTTTGGAGGAGGAGAGGTGCTCTGCTTTTTAGAGTTTCCAGTTTTTCTGTTCTGTTTTTTCCCCCTCTTTGTGGTTTTATCTACTTTTGGTCTTTGATGATGGTGATGTACAGATGGGTTTTTGGTGTGGATGTCCTTTCTGTTTGTTAGTTTTCCTTCTAACTGAGAGGACCCTCAGCTGCAGGTCTGTTGGAATACCCTGCCGTGTGAGGTGTCAGTGTGCCCCTGCTGGGGGGTGCCTCCCAGTTAGGCTGCTCGGGGGGTCAGGGGTCAGGGACCCACTTGAGGAGGCAGTCTGCCCGTTCTCAGATCTCCAGCTGCGTGCTGGGAGAACCACTGCTCTCTTCAAAGCTGTCAGACAGGGTCATTTAAGTCTGCAGAGGTTACTGCTGTCTTTTTGTTTGTCTGTGCCCTGCCCCTAGAGGTGGAGCCTACAGAGGCAGGCAGGCCTCCTTGAGCTGTGGTGGGCTCCACCCAGTTGGAGCTTCCCTGCGGCTTTGTTTACCTAATCAAGCCTGGGCAATGGCGGGCGCCCCTCCCCCAGCCTCGTTGCCGCCTTGCAGTTTGATCTCAGACTGCTGTGCTAGCAATCAGTGAGACTGCGTGGGCGTAGGACCCTCCGAGCCAGGTGCGGGATATAATCTAGTGGTGTGCCGTTTTTTAAGCCCGTCGGAAAAGCGCAGTATTCGGGTGGGAGTGACCCGATTCTCCAGGTGGCATCCGTCACCCCTTTCTTTGACTCAGAAGGGAACTCCCTGACCGCTTGCGCGTCCCAAGTGAGGCAATGCCTCGCCCTGCTTCCGCTCGCACGCGGTGAGCCCACCCACTGACCTGCGCCCACTGTCTGGCACTCCCTAGTGAGATGAACCCGGTACCTCAGATGGAAATGCAGAAATCACCCGTCTTCGGCGTCGCTCACGCTGGGAGCTGTAGACTGGAGCTGTTCCTATTCGGCCATCTTGGCTCCTCCCCCACCCCCCTTTTTTTTTCAAGATGCCACCATAGGGGCCTGTTGGGGAGCAAAGGGATTATGTTTTCCTTGATGTTAAGTGAATTAGCCAAACATAGACTTCCTGTTCATTCTTGGTTTTTTTCCACGTCGTATATGCCTATTACTATTTTTAAGTGATTTTTATATCAATGTTTTAGTTTATTTTTTTACTTTCTTGTTAACCCGATTATAAACTCCCATGGGAGCAACAGTGCCTTTTTTGCCCTGAGGTTTTTATTTGCTTAAGCAATGGCAGGTCCACTTAATGATAGACCATATCATCAAAGAAAGGTAGTATTCATGTGGCTTTTGAATTAGCATGCATCTGCGTAGATTCTGCCTCTGGCTTTACCAGCAACAGAAAATTTGTAGAACAGAGACAGAAATGCTTTGCTGTTAATTGCGCTTAAATAAGAATAGGAGTAAACGAGAGTATTACCTCCAAAGCACCAGAGCTGCTTTCCTCCTTATAACCAGTTCCTAAAGTGAATGAAAGCAGCTCTCCTTATGTGTCTGCCTACTTCATTCTTCGGTAAGTTTAACAGTTCATCTAGCTACCCTTTATTTGAAATGATTTCCAGATGCCTCCTCATATAAATTGCTGACTTCTGGATATATTCTGGTTCGGGAATGGGTAGATTTCTGATGTGGTTTAGTAGGTATATAAATCCCGTGAGCTTCTTGCATCTAATTTCTCTGATCCTGCTTACACTGATATTTAAAGTAGGTTTTGACATACTCCATCACTTAATGTTGATAAAGGACGTTTATATTCTTCTTAGTTCGTTTTATTTATGTGTTAGCTTTAAAGACATTTTCTGTGACGGAAAGTGAAGTAACAAAATAATAGTCGAATAGTTCTGCCGTGTCTCTAATTTGTTGATATTTTCCATGTACTTGAAACATGTATGGTACACCTCTTCTTTTTCCTTCTCTGAACAATGGCTAGAAAAAAAACCCTACTTCTTTCTGTCATTTACTGTGAGGCATTACTGAATCTGGGTGTATTCATGTATGCTGCTACCTGTATGTTTTCAAACAATAAGAATTTATTGAAACATATAAGACATTATACTTTCTCTTCTCCAGTATTGGATTATAGACTGCACTTAGTTTTCCGGAATGAAGTACAGACAAAGCCATAACGCGTGTACAACTACACATTGTCCTATAATATTGTCTGATAAAAAACAGTGTAGAAATATTCTGACAGGGAAATAGCAAATGTATTAATTTAACTTACCTTGCAATCTCTCTTAATGGAGCCTTATCACCAGTGTAAGAAATAACGTCTGGGTGTGAATACGTACACAGTATAAGGTAAACTTTGGTGAAGTCGTCAATTCTTTTGTCATTTCTTCCCCCTTCACAGCCAAAGTGTAGCACTTGACATGGAATCTTTCTTTCTTCATAAATCAGTCATTCATTTGGAATTCTGCATTGTTGTATGTAGAAAAACGATATTTTCCCTTCTGTAATATTGTTGTTATATTGGGAATTATATTTCTTTGTAATTTTAAAAAGTGGTTTACCATATTCATTTTTTTCTGCCAACCTTTCTTTTCAGGCATTTCCTGCTTATCCAAGTTCACCATTTCAGGTCACCACTGGATATCAGTTGCCTGTATATAATTATCAGGTAATGTAAGAAGGAGTAAAATTATTTGCTTTCAGGTATTATTGAGGCCTTTAACTTGTTTATACAAATTTCCGGAATAGTTGGTCATTTTAAACTAGTGAAGTGTACCTAAAATTTAAGGAAACACTTAGAATTAGTGTAGAATGAAGACCTCTGTCTTATTGAGAAGTAATGAAGTCGAATTTTGACAGGAATATACTTGGGAATAACTTTCCTGTAGAACAGATTTCTGAGATTTGGTGTCCCATTCTTCATTTCTGGATGTAGTTTTCATCTTTACTGTCAAATAACTGAATGAAACATCCAAACTGACTTTCATGAATTTTCTTAGGGAGATAGAGTGAAATAAAATTATGACCCACTTTGCAGAGCACAGAATTCCAACTATATTTTCATTTTAGCTGGCTGTTTCACGATAGCAATTCTCTGGGTCTCTTTTCACAGATACAAGTACATCTATGCCCAATAATTATATCTATGGTAATAAACTGAAAGAGCTAGTATCTTTGAGGTTTCCACATTGCCAACTCCCGAAAATGTGGAGAAGGGTGAAGTTTCTAATATAAAAGTAACAAGAATGTCATGGACTAGAAACATAAAGTACTCAAGTTTTCCTTTCTGTTACTTGTATTATAATAAAAAAGGAGACAGCAGGATAAGTGCTTCAATATTGTGTTTCTCATGTGTTTTTGAAAATGTGTAGGAATATTTTAATAGTTTTGGTTTCCTTTTTTTTTTTTTTTTAAGATGCCACCATAGGGGCCTGTTGGGGAGCAAAGGGATTATGTTTTCCTTGATGTTAAGTGAATTAGCCAAACATAGACTTCCTGTTCATTCTTGGTTTTTTTCCACGTCGTATATGCCTATTACTATTTTTAAGTGGTTTTTATATCAATGTTTTAGTTTATTTTTTTACTTTCTTGTTAACCCGATTATAAACTCCCATGGGAGCAACAGTGCCTTTTTTGCCCTGAGGTTTTTATTTGCTTAAGCAATGGCAGGTCCACTTAATGATAGACCATATCATCAAAGAAAGGTAGTATTCATGTGGCTTTTGAATTAGCATGCATCTGCGTAGATTCTGCCTCTGGCTTTACCAGCAACAGAAAATTTGTAGAACAGAGACAGAAATGCTTTGCTGTTAATTGCGCTTAAATAAGAATAGGAGTAAACGAGAGTATTACCTCCAAAGCACCAGAGCTGCTTTCCTCCTTATAACCAGTTCCTAAAGTGAATGAAAGCAGCTCTCCTTATGTGTCTGCCTACTTCATTCTTCGGTAAGTTTAACAGTTCATCTAGCTACCCTTTATTTGAAATGATTTCCAGATGCCTCCTCATATAAATTGCTGACTTCTGGATATATTCTGGTTCGGGAATGGGTAGATTTCTGATGTGGTTTAGTAGGTATATAAATCCCGTGAGCTTCTTGCATCTAATTTCTCTGATCCTGCTTACACTGATATTTAAAGTAGGTTTTGACATACTCCATCACTTAATGTTGATAAAGGACGTTTATATTCTTCTTAGTTCGTTTTATTTATGTGTTAGCTTTAAAGACATTTTCTTTGACGGAAAGTGAAGTAACAAAATAATAGTCGAATAGTTCTGCCGTGTCTCTAATTTGTTGATATTTTCCATGTACTTGAAACATGTATGGTACACCTCTTCTTTTTCCTTCTCTGAACAATGGCTAGAAAAAAAACCCTACTTCTTTCTGTCATTTACTGTGAGGCATTACTGAATCTGGGTGTATTCATGTATGCTGCTACCTGTATGTTTTCAAACAATAAGAATTCATTGAAACATATAAGACATTATACTTTCTCTTCTCCAGTATTGGATTATAGACTGCACTTAGTTTTCCGGAATGAAGTACAGACAAAGCCATAACGCGTGTACAACTACACATTGTCCTATAATATTGTCTGATAAAAAACAGTGTAGAAATATTCTGACAGGGAAATAGCAAATGTATTAATTTAACTTACCTTGCAATCTCTCTTAATGGAGCCTTATCACCAGTGTAAGAAATAACGTCTGGGTGTGAATACGTACACAGTATAAGGTAAACTTTGGTGAAGTCGTCAATTCTTTTGTCATTTCTTCCCCCTTCACAGCCAAAGTGTAGCACTTGACATGGAATCTTTCTTTCTTCATAAATCAGTCATTCATTTGGAATTCTGCATTGTTGTATGTAGAAAAACGATATTTTCCCTTCTGTAATATTGTTGTTATATTGGGAATTATATTTCTTTGTAATTTTAAAAAGTGGTTTACCATATTCATTTTTTTCTGCCAACCTTTCTTTTCAGGCATTTCCTGCTTATCCAAGTTCACCATTTCAGGTCACCACTGGATATCAGTTGCCTGTATATAATTATCAGGTAATGTAAGAAGGAGTAAAATTATTTGCTTTCAGGTATTATTGAGGCCTTTAACTTGTTTATACAAATTTCCGGAATAGTTGGTCATTTTAAACTAGTGAAGTGTACCTAAAATTTAAGGAAACACTTAGAATTAGTGTAGAATGAAGACCTCTGTCTTATTGAGAAGTAATGAAGTCGAATTTTGACAGGAATATACTTGGGAATAACTTTCCTGTAGAACAGATTTCTGAGATTTGGTGTCCCATTCTTCATTTCTGGATGTAGTTTTCATCTTTACTGTCAAATAACTGAATGAAACATCCAAACTGACTTTCATGAATTTTCTTAGGGAGATAGAGTGAAATAAAATTATGACCCACTTTGCAGAGCACAGAATTCCAACTATATTTTCATTTTAGCTGGCTGTTTCACGATAGCAATTCTCTGGGTCTCTTTTCACAGATACAAGTACATCTATGCCCAATAATTATATCTATGGTAATAAACTGAAAGAGCTAGTATCTTTGAGGTTTCCACATTGCCAACTCCCGAAAATGTGGAGAAGGGTGAAGTTTCTAATATAAAAGTAACAAGAATGTCATGGAGTAGAAACATAAAGTACTCAAGTTTTCCTTTCTGTTACTTGTATTATAATAAAAAAGGAGACAGCAGGATAAGTGCTTCAATATTGTGTTTCTCATGTGTTTTTGAAAATGTGTAGGAATATTTTAATAGTTTTGGTTTCCTTTTTTTTTTTTTTTTTAAGATGCCACCATAGGGGCCTGTTGGGGAGCAAAGGGATTATGTTTTCCTTGATGTTAAGTGAATTAGCCAAACATAGACTTCCTGTTCATTCTTGGTTTTTTTCCACGTCGTATATGCCTATTACTATTTTTAAGTGGTTTTTATATCAATGTTTTAGTTTATTTTTTTACTTTCTTGTTAACCCGATTATAAACTCCCATGGGAGCAACAGTGCCTTTTTTGCCCTGAGGTTTTTATTTGCTTAAGCAATGGCAGGTCCACTTAATGATAGACCATATCATCAAAGAAAGGTAGTATTCATGTGGCTTTTGAATTAGCATGCATCTGCGTAGATTCTGCCTCTGGCTTTACCAGCAACAGAAAATTTGTAGAACAGAGACAGAAATGCTTTGCTGTTAATTGCGCTTAAATAAGAATAGGAGTAAACGAGAGTATTACCTCCAAAGCACCAGAGCTGCTTTCCTCCTTATAACCAGTTCCTAAAGTGAATGAAAGCAGCTCTCCTTATGTGTCTGCCTACTTCATTCTTCGGTAAGTTTAACAGTTCATCTAGCTACCCTTTATTTGAAATGATTTCCAGATGCCTCCTCATATAAATTGCTGACTTCTGGATATATTCTGGTTCGGGAATGGGTAGATTTCTGATGTGGTTTAGTAGGTATATAAATCCCGTGAGCTTCTTGCATCTAATTTCTCTGATCCTGCTTACACTGATATTTAAAGTAGGTTTTGACATACTCCATCACTTAATGTTGATAAAGGACGTTTATATTCTTCTTAGTTCGTTTTATTTATGTGTTAGCTTTAAAGACATTTTCTGTGACGGAAAGTGAAGTAACAAAATAATAGTCGAATAGTTCTGCCGTGTCTCTAATTTGTTGATATTTTCCATGTACTTGAAACATGTATGGTACACCTCTTCTTTTTCCTTCTCTGAACAATGGCTAGAAAAAAAACCCTACTTCTTTCTGTCATTTACTGTGAGGCATTACTGAATCTGGGTGTATTCATGTATGCTGCTACCTGTATGTTTTCAAACAATAAGAATTTATTGAAACATATAAGACATTATACTTTCTCTTCTCCAGTATTGGATTATAGACTGCACTTAGTTTTCCGGAATGAAGTACAGACAAAGCCATAACGCGTGTACAACTACACATTGTCCTATAATATTGTCTGATAAAAAACAGTGTAGAAATATTCTGACAGGGAAATAGCAAATGTATTAATTTAACTTACCTTGCAATCTCTCTTAATGGAGCCTTATCACCAGTGTAAGAAATAACGTCTGGGTGTGAATACGTACACAGTATAAGGTAAACTTTGGTGAAGTCGTCAATTCTTTTGTCATTTCTTCCCCCTTCACAGCCAAAGTGTAGCACTTGACATGGAATCTTTCTTTCTTCATAAATCAGTCATTCATTTGGAATTCTGCATTGTTGTATGTAGAAAAACGATATTTTCCCTTCTGTAATATTGTTGTTATATTGGGAATTATATTTCTTTGTAATTTTAAAAAGTGGTTTACCATATTCATTTTTTTCTGCCAACCTTTCTTTTCAGGCATTTCCTGCTTATCCAAGTTCACCATTTCAGGTCACCACTGGATATCAGTTGCCTGTATATAATTATCAGGTAATGTAAGAAGGAGTAAAATTATTTGCTTTCAGGTATTATTGAGGCCTTTAACTTGTTTATACAAATTTCCGGAATAGTTGGTCATTTTAAACTAGTGAAGTGTACCTAAAATTTAAGGAAACACTTAGAATTAGTGTAGAATGAAGACCTCTGTCTTATTGAGAAGTAATGAAGTCGAATTTTGACAGGAATATACTTGGGAATAACTTTCCTGTAGAACAGATTTCTGAGATTTGGTGTCCCATTCTTCATTTCTGGATGTAGTTTTCATCTTTACTGTCAAATAACTGAATGAAACATCCAAACTGACTTTCATGAATTTTCTTAGGGAGATAGAGTGAAATAAAATTATGACCCACTTTTCAGAGCACAGAATTCCAACTATATTTTCATTTTAGCTGGCTGTTTCACGATAGCAATTCTCTGGGTCTCTTTTCACAGATACAAGTACATCTATGCCCAATAATTATATCTATGGTAATAAACTGAAAGAGCTAGTATCTTTGAGGTTTCCACATTGCCAACTCCCGAAAATGTGGAGAAGGGTGAAGTTTCTAATATAAAAGTAACAAGAATGTCATGGACTAGAAACATAAAGTACTCAAGTTTTCCTTTCTGTTACTTGTATTATAATAAAAAAGGAGACAGCAGGATAAGTGCTTCAATATTGTGTTTCTCATGTGTTTTTGAAAATGTGTAGGAATATTTTAATAGTTTTGGTTTCCTTTTTTTTTTTTTTTTAAGATGCCACCATAGGGGCCTGTTGGGGAGCAAAGGGATTATGTTTTCCTTGATGTTAAGTGAATTAGCCAAACATAGACTTCCTGTTCATTCTTGGTTTTTTTCCACGTCGTATATGCCTATTACTATTTTTAAGTGATTTTTATATCAATGTTTTAGTTTATTTTTTTACTTTCTTGTTAACCCGATTATAAACTCCCATGGGAGCAACAGTGCCTTTTTTGCCCTGAGGTTTTTATTTGCTTAAGCAATGGCAGGTCCACTTAATGATAGACCATATCATCAAAGAAAGGTAGTATTCATGTGGCTTTTGAATTAGCATGCATCTGCGTAGATTCTGCCTCTGGCTTTACCAGCAACAGAAAATTTGTAGAACAGAGACAGAAATGCTTTGCTGTTAATTGCGCTTAAATAAGAATAGGAGTAAACGAGAGTATTACCTCCAAAGCACCAGAGCTGCTTTCCTCCTTATAACCAGTTCCTAAAGTGAATGAAAGCAGCTCTCCTTATGTGTCTGCCTACTTCATTCTTCGGTAAGTTTAACAGTTCATCTAGCTACCCTTTATTTGAAATGATTTCCAGATGCCTCCTCATATAAATTGCTGACTTCTGGATATATTCTGGTTCGGGAATGGGTAGATTTCTGATGTGGTTTAGTAGGTATATAAATCCCGTGAGCTTCTTGCATCTAATTTCTCTGATCCTGCTTACACTGATATTTAAAGTAGGTTTTGACATACTCCATCACTTAATGTTGATAAAGGACGTTTATATTCTTCTTAGTTCGTTTTATTTATGTGTTAGCTTTAAAGACATTTTCTGTGACGGAAAGTGAAGTAACAAAATAATAGTCGAATAGTTCTGCCGTGTCTCTAATTTGTTGATATTTTCCATGTACTTGAAACATGTATGGTACACCTCTTCTTTTTCCTTCTCTGAACAATGGCTAGAAAAAAAACCCTACTTCTTTCTGTCATTTACTGTGAGGCATTACTGAATCTGGGTGTATTCATGTATGCTGCTACCTGTATGTTTTCAAACAATAAGAATTTATTGAAACATATAAGACATTATACTTTCTCTTCTCCAGTATTGGATTATAGACTGCACTTAGTTTTCCGGAATGAAGTACAGACAAAGCCATAACGCGTGTACAACTACACATTGTCCTATAATATTGTCTGATAAAAAACAGTGTAGAAATATTCTGACAGGGAAATAGCAAATGTATTAATTTAACTTACCTTGCAATCTCTCTTAATGGAGCCTTATCACCAGTGTAAGAAATAACGTCTGGGTGTGAATACGTACACAGTATAAGGTAAACTTTGGTGAAGTCGTCAATTCTTTTGTCATTTCTTCCCCCTTCACAGCCAAAGTGTAGCACTTGACATGGAATCTTTCTTTCTTCATAAATCAGTCATTCATTTGGAATTCTGCATTGTTGTATGTAGAAAAACGATATTTTCCCTTCTGTAATATTGTTGTTATATTGGGAATTATATTTCTTTGTAATTTTAAAAAGTGGTTTACCATATTCATTTTTTTCTGCCAACCTTTCTTTTCAGGCATTTCCTGCTTATCCAAGTTCACCATTTCAGGTCACCACTGGATATCAGTTGCCTGTATATAATTATCAGGTAATGTAAGAAGGAGTAAAATTATTTGCTTTCAGGTATTATTGAGGCCTTTAACTTGTTTATACAAATTTCCGGAATAGTTGGTCATTTTAAACTAGTGAAGTGTACCTAAAATTTAAGGAAACACTTAGAATTAGTGTAGAATGAAGACCTCTGTCTTATTGAGAAGTAATGAAGTCGAATTTTGACAGGAATATACTTGGGAATAACTTTCCTGTAGAACAGATTTCTGAGATTTGGTGTCCCATTCTTCATTTCTGGATGTAGTTTTCATCTTTACTGTCAAATAACTGAATGAAACATCCAAACTGACTTTCATGAATTTTCTTAGGGAGATAGAGTGAAATAAAATTATGACCCACTTTTCAGAGCACAGAATTCCAACTATATTTTCATTTTAGCTGGCTGTTTCACGATAGCAATTCTCTGGGTCTCTTTTCACAGATACAAGTACATCTATGCCCAATAATTATATCTATGGTAATAAACTGAAAGAGCTAGTATCTTTGAGGTTTCCACATTGCCAACTCCCGAAAATGTGGAGAAGGGTGAAGTTTCTAATATAAAAGTAACAAGAATGTCATGGACTAGAAACATAAAGTACTCAAGTTTTCCTTTCTGTTACTTGTATTATAATAAAAAAGGAGACAGCAGGATAAGTGCTTCAATATTGTGTTTCTCATGTGTTTTTGAAAATGTGTAGGAATATTTTAATAGTTTTGGTTTCCTTTTTTTTTTTTTTTTAAGATGCCACCATAGGGGCCTGTTGGGGAGCAAAGGGATTATGTTTTCCTTGATGTTAAGTGAATTAGCCAAACATAGACTTCCTGTTCATTCTTGGTTTTTTTCCACGTCGTATATGCCTATTACTATTTTTAAGTGATTTTTATATCAATGTTTTAGTTTATTTTTTTACTTTCTTGTTAACCCGATTATAAACTCCCATGGGAGCAACAGTGCCTTTTTTGCCCTGAGGTTTTTATTTGCTTAAGCAATGGCAGGTCCACTTAATGATAGACCATATCATCAAAGAAAGGTAGTATTCATGTGGCTTTTGAATTAGCATGCATCTGCGTAGATTCTGCCTCTGGCTTTACCAGCAACAGAAAATTTGTAGAACAGAGACAGAAATGCTTTGCTGTTAATTGCGCTTAAATAAGAATAGGAGTAAACGAGAGTATTACCTCCAAAGCACCAGAGCTGCTTTCCTCCTTATAACCAGTTCCTAAAGTGAATGAAAGCAGCTCTCCTTATGTGTCTGCCTACTTCATTCTTCGGTAAGTTTAACAGTTCATCTAGCTACCCTTTATTTGAAATGATTTCCAGATGCCTCCTCATATAAATTGCTGACTTCTGGATATATTCTGGTTCGGGAATGGGTAGATTTCTGATGTGGTTTAGTAGGTATATAAATCCCGTGAGCTTCTTGCATCTAATTTCTCTGATCCTGCTTACACTGATATTTAAAGTAGGTTTTGACATACTCCATCACTTAATGTTGATAAAGGACGTTTATATTCTTCTTAGTTCGTTTTATTTATGTGTTAGCTTTAAAGACATTTTCTTTGACGGAAAGTGAAGTAACAAAATAATAGTCGAATAGTTCTGCCGTGTCTCTAATTTGTTGATATTTTCCATGTACTTGAAACATGTATGGTACACCTCTTCTTTTTCCTTCTCTGAACAATGGCTAGAAAAAAAACCCTACTTCTTTCTGTCATTTACTGTGAGGCATTACTGAATCTGGGTGTATTCATGTATGCTGCTACCTGTATGTTTTCAAACAATAAGAATTCATTGAAACATATAAGACATTATACTTTCTCTTCTCCAGTATTGGATTATAGACTGCACTTAGTTTTCCGGAATGAAGTACAGACAAAGCCATAACGCGTGTACAACTACACATTGTCCTATAATATTGTCTGATAAAAAACAGTGTAGAAATATTCTGACAGGGAAATAGCAAATGTATTAATTTAACTTACCTTGCAATCTCTCTTAATGGAGCCTTATCACCAGTGTAAGAAATAACGTCTGGGTGTGAATACGTACACAGTATAAGGTAAACTTTGGTGAAGTCGTCAATTCTTTTGTCATTTCTTCCCCCTTCACACCCAAAGTGTAGCACTTGACATGGAATCTTTCTTTCTTCATAAATCAGTCATTCATTTGGAATTCTGCATTGTTGTATGTAGAAAAACGATATTTTCCCTTCTGTAATATTGTTGTTATATTGGGAATTATATTTCTTTGTAATTTTAAAAAGTGGTTTACCATATTCATTTTTTTCTGCCAACCTTTCTTTTCAGGCATTTCCTGCTTATCCAAGTTCACCATTTCAGGTCACCACTGGATATCAGTTGCCTGTATATAATTATCAGGTAATGTAAGAAGGAGTAAAATTATTTGCTTTCAGGTATTATTGAGGCCTTTAACTTGTTTATACAAATTTCCGGAATAGTTGGTCATTTTAAACTAGTGAAGTGTACCTAAAATTTAAGGAAACACTTAGAATTAGTGTAGAAGGAAGACCTCTGTCTTATTGAGAAGTAATGAAGTCGAATTTTGACAGGAATATACTTGGGAATAACTTTCCTGTAGAACAGATTTCTGAGATTTGGTGTCCCATTCTTCATTTCTGGATGTAGTTTTCATCTTTACTGTCAAATAACTGAATGAAACATCCAAACTGACTTTCATGAATTTTCTTAGGGAGATAGAGTGAAATAAAATTATGACCCACTTTGCAGAGCACAGAATTCCAACTATATTTTCATTTTAGCTGGCTGTTTCACGATAGCAATTCTCTGGGTCTCTTTTCACAGATACAAGTACATCTATGCCCAATAATTATATCTATGGTAATAAACTGAAAGAGCTAGTATCTTTGAGGTTTCCACATTGCCAACTCCCGAAAATGTGGAGAAGGGTGAAGTTTCTAATATAAAAGTAACAAGAATGTCATGGAGTAGAAACATAAAGTACTCAAGTTTTCCTTTCTGTTACTTGTATTATAATAAAAAAGGAGACAGCAGGATAAGTGCTTCAATATTGTGTTTCTCATGTGTTTTTGAAAATGTGTAGGAATATTTTAATAGTTTTGGTTTCCTTTTTTTTTTTTTTTTAAGATGCCACCATAGGGGCCTGTTGGGGAGCAAAGGGATTATGTTTTCCTTGATGTTAAGTGAATTAGCCAAACATAGACTTCCTGTTCATTCTTGGTTTTTTTCCACGTCGTATATGCCTATTACTATTTTTAAGTGATTTTTATATCAATGTTTTAGTTTATTTTTTTACTTTCTTGTTAACCCGATTATAAACTCCCATGGGAGCAACAGTGCCTTTTTTGCCCTGAGGTTTTTATTTGCTTAAGCAATGGCAGGTCCACTTAATGATAGACCATATCATCAAAGAAAGGTAGTATTCATGTGGCTTTTGAATTAGCATGCATCTGCGTAGATTCTGCCTCTGGCTTTACCAGCAACAGAAAATTTGTAGAACAGAGACAGAAATGCTTTGCTGTTAATTGCGCTTAAATAAGAATAGGAGTAAACGAGAGTATTACCTCCAAAGCACCAGAGCTGCTTTCCTCCTTATAACCAGTTCCTAAAGTGAATGAAAGCAGCTCTCCTTATGTGTCTGCCTACTTCATTCTTCGGTAAGTTTAACAGTTCATCTAGCTACCCTTTATTTGAAATGATTTCCAGATGCCTCCTCATATAAATTGCTGACTTCTGGATATATTCTGGTTCGGGAATGGGTAGATTTCTGATGTGGTTTAGTAGGTATATAAATCCCGTGAGCTTCTTGCATCTAATTTCTCTGATCCTGCTTACACTGATATTTAAAGTAGGTTTTGACATACTCCATCACTTAATGTTGATAAAGGACGTTTATATTCTTCTTAGTTCGTTTTATTTATGTGTTAGCTTTAAAGACATTTTCTGTGACGGAAAGTGAAGTAACAAAATAATAGTCGAATAGTTCTGCCGTGTCTCTAATTTGTTGATATTTTCCATGTACTTGAAACATGTATGGTACACCTCTTCTTTTTCCTTCTCTGAACAATGGCTAGAAAAAAAACCCTACTTCTTTCTGTCATTTACTGTGAGGCATTACTGAATCTGGGTGTATTCATGTATGCTGCTACCTGTATGTTTTCAAACAATAAGAATTCATTGAAACATATAAGACATTATACTTTCTCTTCTCCAGTATTGGATTATAGACTGCACTTAGTTTTCCGGAATGAAGTACAGACAAAGCCATAACGCGTGTACAACTACACATTGTCCTATAATATTGTCTGATAAAAAACAGTGTAGAAATATTCTGACAGGGAAATAGCAAATGTATTAATTTAACTTACCTTGCAATCTCTCTTAATGGAGCCTTATCACCAGTGTAAGAAATAACGTCTGGGTGTGAATACGTACACAGTATAAGGTAAACTTTGGTGAAGTCGTCAATTCTTTTGTCATTTCTTCCCCCTTCACAGCCAAAGTGTAGCACTTGACATGGAATCTTTCTTTCTTCATAAATCAGTCATTCATTTGGAATTCTGCATTGTTGTATGTAGAAAAACGATATTTTCCCTTCTGTAATATTGTTGTTATATTGGGAATTATATTTCTTTGTAATTTTAAAAAGTGGTTTACCATATTCATTTTTTTCTGCCAACCTTTCTTTTCAGGCATTTCCTGCTTATCCAAGTTCACCATTTCAGGTCACCACTGGATATCAGTTGCCTGTATATAATTATCAGGTAATGTAAGAAGGAGTAAAATTATTTGCTTTCAGGTATTATTGAGGCCTTTAACTTGTTTATACAAATTTCCGGAATAGTTGGTCATTTTAAACTAGTGAAGTGTACCTAAAATTTAAGGAAACACTTAGAATTAGTGTAGAATGAAGACCTCTGTCTTATTGAGAAGTAATGAAGTCGAATTTTGACAGGAATATACTTGGGAATAACTTTCCTGTAGAACAGATTTCTGAGATTTGGTGTCCCATTCTTCATTTCTGGATGTAGTTTTCATCTTTACTGTCAAATAACTGAATGAAACATCCAAACTGACTTTCATGAATTTTCTTAGGGAGATAGAGTGAAATAAAATTATGACCCACTTTGCAGAGCACAGAATTCCAACTATATTTTCATTTTAGCTGGCTGTTTCACGATAGCAATTCTCTGGGTCTCTTTTCACAGATACAAGTACATCTATGCCCAATAATTATATCTATGGTAATAAACTGAAAGAGCTAGTATCTTTGAGGTTTCCACATTGCCAACTCCCGAAAATGTGGAGAAGGGTGAAGTTTCTAATATAAAAGTAACAAGAATGTCATGGACTAGAAACATAAAGTACTCAAGTTTTCCTTTCTGTTACTTGTATTATAATAAAAAAGGAGACAGCAGGATAAGTGCTTCAATATTGTGTTTCTCATGTGTTTTTGAAAATGTGTAGGAATATTTTAATAGTTTTGGTTTCCTTTTTTTTTTTTTTTTTAAGATGCCACCATAGGGGCCTGTTGGGGAGCAAAGGGATTATGTTTTCCTTGATGTTAAGTGAATTAGCCAAACATAGACTTCCTGTTCATTCTTGGTTTTTTTCCACGTCGTATATGCCTATTACTATTTTTAAGTGATTTTTATATCAATGTTTTAGTTTATTTTTTTACTTTCTTGTTAACCCGATTATAAACTCCCATGGGAGCAACAGTGCCTTTTTTGCCCTGAGGTTTTTATTTGCTTAAGCAATGGCAGGTCCACTTAATGATAGACCATATCATCAAAGAAAGGTAGTATTCATGTGGCTTTTGAATTAGCATGCATCTGCGTAGATTCTGCCTCTGGCTTTACCAGCAACAGAAAATTTGTAGAACAGAGACAGAAATGCTTTGCTGTTAATTGCGCCTAAATAAGAATAGGAGTAAACGAGAGTATTACCTCCAAAGCACCAGAGCTGCTTTCCTCCTTATAACCAGTTCCTAAAGTGAATGAAAGCAGCTCTCCTTATGTGTCTGCCTACTTCATTCTTCGGTAAGTTTAACAGTTCATCTAGCTACCCTTTATTTGAAATGATTTCCAGATGCCTCCTCATATAAATTGCTGACTTCTGGATATATTCTGGTTCGGGAATGGGTAGATTTCTGATGTGGTTTAGTAGGTATATAAATCCCGTGAGCTTCTTGCATCTAATTTCTCTGATCCTGCTTACACTGATATTTAAAGTAGGTTTTGACATACTCCATCACTTAATGTTGATAAAGGACGTTTATATTCTTCTTAGTTCGTTTTATTTATGTGTTAGCTTTAAAGACATTTTCTTTGACGGAAAATGAAGTAACAAAATAATAGTCCAATAGTTCTGCAGTGTCTCTAATTTGTTGATGTTTTCCATGTACTTGAAACATGTGTGGTATACCTCTTCTTTTTCCTTCTCTGAACAATGGCTGGAAAAAAAGCCCTACTTGTTTCTGTCATTTACTGTGCGGCATTACTGAATCAGGGCATATTCATGTGTGCTGCTACCTGTATGTTTTCAAACAATAAGAATTCATTGAAACATATAAGACATTATACTTTCTCTTCTCCAGTATTGGATTATAGACTGCACTTAGTTTTTTGGAATGAAGTACAAACATAGCACTAATATCTATAGAACTACATATTACCCTTTAATATTGTCTGATACAAAACAGTCTAGAAATATTCTGACATTGAAATAGCAAATGTATAAATTTAACTTACATTGCAATCTGTCTTAATGGAGCCTTATCACCGGTGTAAGAAAGAATTTCTGGGTGTGAATAAGTACACAGTATAAGGTAAACTTTGGTGAAATAGTCAATTCTTTTGTCATTTGTTCCCCCTTCACACCCAAAGTGTGGCACATGACATAGACTATTTCTTTCTTCATAAAGTCAGTCATTCATTTAGAATTCTGCATTGTTGTATGTAGAAAAATGATATTTTAACGTTTTTAATATTTTTGTTACATTGGGAATGATATTTCTTTCTAATTTTAAAAAATGGTTTACCATATTCTTTTTTTTCTGCCACCTTTCTTTTCAGGCATTTCCTGCTTATCCAAATTCAGCAGTTCAGGTCACCACTGGATATCAGTTCCATGTATACAATTACCAGGTAATGTAAGAAGGAATGAAATGATTTGCTTTCAGGTATTATTGAGGCCTTTAACTTGTTTATACAAATTTCCTGAATAGTTGGTCATTTTAAACTAGTGAAGTGTACCTAATATTTAAGGAAACACTTAGAATTAGTGTAGAATGAAGACCTCTGTCTGATTTAGAAGTAATGAGGTAATATTTTGACAGGAATGTACTTGGCAATAACTTTTCTGTAGAACAGTTTTCTGAGATTTGACCCTTCTATATTTCAGGATATAGTTTTCATCTTTGCTGTCAAATAGCTGAATGAAACCTCCAGGATGACTTTCATGAATTTTTTAGGGATATAGAGTAAATAAAATTATTACCCAATTCTTAGAGCACATAATTCAAATTATAGTTTCATTTAGTAGGCTGTTTCCCGACAATTGTTGTCTGGTTCTCTTTTCATAGTAGAGAGGACTCTATCTATGACCAATAATCATATGTAGCATAATAAGTTCAAAGTAGTAACATCTTTGAGATTTCCACAATGCCAAATCCAAAAATTGGGGAAAAGGTGTGGTTTCGTATTTGTATGTGGAAGTAACAACAAGAATGTCAGGAATTAGAACCATAAAGTACTTCTTTTTTCCATTGTCTTTCTTTTATTATAATAACAAAGGAGCCAGCATAGGTACTTCAATATTTTATATATCATTTGTTTTTGAAAATGTTTATGAATATTTGAATAATTTTGTTTTCCTATTTTTTTTTTAAGATGCCACCGCAGTGCCCTGTTGGGGAGCAAAGGAGGTAGGTTGTACCTCTGGTAAAGTGAATTAGCCTACCATGTACTTCTGTTCTTTCTGGATTATTTTCCATATCATTTATGCCTTATAAATATTTTAAATGATTCTTTATATTAATGTGTTACATTTTGTTACTTTCTTTTTAACCCAGTTACAATCTCCCATGGGTGCAACAGTGCCTTTTTCTCTCTCAGGTTTTTGTGTGCTTAAGGAGTGGCTGGTCCACATAATAAGTGTTCAGTTACTTGTTGATAGACTGTGTAATCTAAGAAAGATAGTATTAATGTCACTTTAGAATTAGCATGTATCTGCGTAGGGTCTGCCTCTGGTTTTACCAGCCACAAAAAATTTGTTGAAGAGAAACAGAAATGTTTTGCTGTTAATTACTCTTAAATAAGAATAGGAATAAAAAAAGAGTATTACCTCTAAAATACCTGAACTTCTTTCCCCCATTATACCTAGTTCTGAAAACATTTGAAAGCAGCTGTTCTAATGTTTCTGCCTAGTTTATTCTTTAAGGATAGCGATTAATCTAGCTCTTCTTTACTTGCAATGATTTCCAGTTGACTCCTCATATAAACTGCTGACTTCGGGATATATTCTCGGTCTGGAATGTATAGATTTCTGACCTATTTTACTGTACCTATAAATCCTGTGAATTTCTGGCATGTAATTTCTCTGATCCTGATTACTTTGATATTTAAAGTAGGATTTGACATACTCTATCACTTATTGGTGATAAATAACGTCTGTTTTCTTCTTAGTCCATTTTATTTATGTGTTAGTTTAAAAGACATTTTCTTTGATGGAAAATAAAGTAACAAAATAGTAGTGAAATAGTTCTTCAGTGTCTCTCATTTATTGACATTTTCTGTGTACTTGAAATGTGTAGGATATACCTCTTCTTCTTTTTTCTTCTCTGAACAATGGCTAGAGACAAAGCCCTACTTGTTTCTAACATTTACGGTGAGCCATTACTGAATTTGGGTGTATTCATGTATGCTGCTTCCTATATGTTTTCAAACAATAAGTATTTATCGAAACATATAAGACATCGTACTGTCCTTCTCCAGTTTTGGATTGTACACTGCCCTTAGTTTTTCGAAATGAAGTACAGAAAAAAAACATAACATCTGTAGGAGAACTACATATTACCCTGTAATATTGTCAAACACAAAACTATCTGGAAGTATATTGACAAAGAAATAGCAAATGTATTAACTTAACTTACATTGAGATCTGTCTTAATGGAGCCTTACCAGCAGTGTAAGAAACAACTTCTGGGTGGGCATAAGTACACAGTGTCAGTAAGGTGAACTTTGCCTGGTGAAATAGTCACTACTTTGTCATTTGTGTGTTCCCCCGCCCCACCCAAAGGGGCTTAGCACTTGACAGAGAATATTTATTTCTTCCTGAAGTCATTCATTCATTTAGAATTCTGCATTGTTTTATATAGAAAATTAATAAATATTTTAAAGTTTTTCATTTTTTTTATTTTGGGAATAATATTTTTTTCTAATTTAAAAAGATGTTTTACCATATTCATTCTTTCTGTAAACTTACTTTCAGACATATCCTACTTATCCAAATTCACCAGGTCAGGTCACCACTGGGTGTCAGTTGCCTGTATGTAATTATCAGGTAATTGAAGAGGGAGTAAAATGATTTGTTTTCAGATATTATTGAAGCCTTTAACTTGTTTATATGAATTTCCCAAATAGTGTGTCATTTTAAACTAGTGAAATGTACCTAAAATTTAGGAAAACACTTGCAATGGTCTAGAATGAAGCCCTCTGTATTATTTAGAAGTAATGAATTAACATTTTGACAGGGATATACTTAGCAATAACTTTTCTGTAAAACAGTTTTCTGAGATTCGTTGTCCCCTTCTATATTTCAGCGTGTATTTTTTCATCTTTTTCATCTTTTTATCATCCCATTCTTAGAGCACAGAATTCCAATTATATTTTTATTTTAAGCTTGCTGCTTCATGATAGTAGTTCTCTGGGCCTCTTTTCATAGATATGACTACATCTGTGACCCATAATCATATCTATGGTGATAAGTAATAAATTGAAAAAACTAGTATCCTTGAGATTTCCACAATGCCAACTCCAGAAAATTGGGAAAATGGCGAGGTTTTATGTATAAAAGTAACAAGAACATCAGGGATTAGAAACATAAAGTACTTCTTTTTTTTTTTTTACTCTGTTTCTTTCACTTTAATAACAAATGAGCCAGCATGATAAGTGCTTCAATATTGTGTATCTCATGAGTTTTTGAAAATGTGTAGGAATATTTTAATAGTTTTGGTTTCCTTCTTTTTATTTTTTTAAGGTGCTACCGCAGTGGCCTGTTGGGGAGCAAAAGGGGTTATGGAGTAAAGTGAATTAGTGAAACGTATACTTCCTCATCTTTCTTGACTTTTTTCTATGCCATATATGCCTGTAGATATTTTTAAATGGTTCTTTATATTAATGTTTTATGTTTTGTTACTTTATTTTTAACCCAATTATAAACTCCCATGGGAGCAACAGTGCCTTTTTGTCTCTCACATTTTTGTGTGCTGAAACAGTGGCTGGTCCACATAATGATAAGTGTTCAGTTACTTGTTGATAGATTATATAATCCAGGAATGGCGGTATTAACTGGCTTTAGAATTAGCATGTATCTGCCTAGAATATGCCTCTGGCTTTACTAGCCATAAAACATTTGTTGAGGAGAAACCGAAATGTTTTGCTATTAATTACTCTTAAAGAGGAATAGGAATAAAACAAGAGTATTACCTCTAATACAACAGAGTTGCTGTCTTACATCACGATTGGATATTTGAAGGATATAGTAAGTGTTAAAATTCTCAAACACTCCCTTAACTACATTTGTTTCTTAGAATCCTTCTACCTCTGATTATGTTGATACCTGGAAGACGTTTTAAAACAAAAGGCTGCCTTAATGCATTTCAACTTTTCGTTTAAAACAAGGTTTCTGAAGTAACACAATTGAATTTCAACACAACCTACATTGAAACTTTTGATACCAGCTCACCTTTTTGAGGAATAAATAAGTAGCTTTTAAACGTATCTGTATTATCTGTTTAATTACACTTTCATTATTTTAAATATAGGCTTATTCAGCTCTTAACTGTCACTGTAGTGAAGTTGATACAGGAGGTGATGTTGTGCTAAATGAATGCTCAATTCATGAAGCTACCCCACCCTCTGGAAATGGCCCACAAAAGGCAAACATCTAATTTTGAATTTTTTTTACAATATATATTTCATATTTTTTTTCTAATTTGAATGACTTTTTTTGAGAAGCAAACATTTTTGCCCAAATTTAAAAATGTTAGCCATAAATCATGGAGCTTAAATAATGGACTGATAGTCAGCAGTTAATGTAAAGGTTGTTGAAATTTCAGATACCCCAAATTTTCAGTATATACCTAAAGTTTCTGATTCAGCAAGTCCTTTCCTGTATTTCAGTTTCACTAATTTTAAAAAGCCATTCTTTAATAAATACTGTATTAATATGATTTGGCAGAATGCTATGGGAGGGTTTCCTCTAGAATTCTACTCAAAAGAAGAATTAGTACGAATTGTATGTCCCTTTTCTTTTACAACAGTTTTGATCTTAAGCAGTGAAAAATACCATTTAAATAAGCATTCTCTCCATAACATTATATGTGGCAGAAGTTTCCAACAGTGGTGAAGTCAGTAGTAATTATTCAAACACTGAAATAGACAGGGTTGTTTCTTTTTTTTATCATTAGTGCAAATTTCTGTAATAACAGTACTGTCACTCCTGGCGTCACATATGTTCTGTTAGATAGGTGGGCGTGTGGAAGTAGTTGATGTGCTGGTAATATGTATAATACCCAAGAAGTCCCATTGCAGTGTAAATTCCTTGATTTGATATTGGATTTTAAAATGTGAATAAATATGAAAACATAACTCTTACAGTATAATTGTCTGGTTTTGTTCTGAGTATGTTTTCTTGAAACATTGGAATTCACTTAGGGATTTAACAAATTCAGCTTTTTAAACCAGTATTCTATCGCTAAGGTTCTAAAATAATTCTTCGATTTGTCAGAAAACGTACATACTGAGGATATGTGGCAGGAATTATGAATCACATTTTTATGAATTTCTTTTTTTTTTTGAGACAGGGTCTTGCGGTGTCGCCCAGGCTGGAAGTGCAGTGGTGTGATCTCGGCTCACTGCAACTTCTGTCTCCTAGGTTCCAGTAATTCTCCCTGCCTCAGCCTCCCCAATAGGTGGAATTACAGGCACCCGTCACCCAGCTAATTTTTGTATTTTTTAGTGGAGAAGGGGTTTCGCCATGTTGGCCAGGATAGTCTTGAACTCCTGATATCAGGTGATGCGTCCTCCTCGGCCTCCCAAAGTGCTGGGATTAGAGGTGTGAGCCACTGCTCCCAGCCTCTTTTAGCATTTTTGCATTTCTTTGGAAATAAACTGATATGTTCATTAAACCATCAAAAGAAAAACCAAAACACACCCTTATTAAGAGTGAGTGAAAGAAAGAGTTGTCTTTACATTACTGAAAACTTCTGTGTTTCAGAAATCTGTGGACCGAAGCATACAAATGGTGGTATCTTGTCTGTTTAATCCAGAGAAGAGACTGATAAATTCCGTTGTTACTCAAGATGACTGCTTCAAGGTATGAAAGGAATGGCATGCATAATTAAAAAGCACACTTGTTCCCTCTCAAGTTAGCTGTTTTCCTTGTGGCACATGTATTTTGGGCTTTCTTAGAGGAATTTTTTTTCTTTTTTTTTTGTTTTGAGACGGAGTCTCCTCTGTCGCCCAGGCTGGAGTGCAGTGAGTGGCCCCATCTAGGCTCACTGCAAGCTCCACCTCCCAGGTTTACTTAACGCCATTCTCCTGCCTCAGCCTTCCGAGTAGCTGGGACTACAGGCGCCCACCACCACGCCCAGCTAATTTTTTGTATTTTTAGTAGAGACGGGGTTTCACCGTGTTAGCCAGGATGGTCTCGATCTCCTGACCTCGTGATCCACCTGCCTCAGCCTCCCAAAGTGCTGGGATTACAGGCATGAGCCACCGTGCCCGGCCTAGAACATTTAATTGAACTGTTGGCATTTGACTGTAACCCAGTAAACCAGTGTGGGTTTTACCTGGCAGTATATTTTCTGCTGCCGAGCCTTGATATAATGTAGTCAAATTTAGGGAAGAATCCTGCAGCAGAAATTTGTAATTGAAAGGGTTTACTAGAGAAGAGAGTTAGTTGACTACCTTGACCAAATAGTAAAATAAAATTTTAGATACAGAAAGGAGATCTTGGCTGGGTGCAGAGGCTCACGCCTGTAATCCCAACACTTTGGGGGGCTGAGGTGGGTGGATTGCTTGAGCTCAGGAGTTCGAGGCCACCCTGGGTAACAAGGCAAAACACCATCTCTACAAAAAAATACAAAAATCAGCCAGTTGTGATGGTACATGCCTGTAGTGCCAACTACTCCAGAGGAGTCTGAGGCAGGAGGATCGCTTGAGCCTGGGAAGTTGAGGCTGCACTGAGCCATGATTGTGCCGTTGTAGTCCAGCCTGGGCAACAGAGTGAGAGACCTTGTCTCAAAAAAAAAAAAAAAAAAAAAAAAAAGTAGAACTTAATACATGCATATTGGACTAAAGAGAAGAAAAGAAATGATTTACTCAGATGATACACCTGAACAGTGTGAAGGGAGAAAAGGGGTAAAATGAAGCAGTAAAAAGTTGAGTAGAAAGAGAGGTTGATTCAGAGTTGGTGAAGCGGAAGAGAATGTGGCTAGTTGAATTCCAGAAAGATCTGACTTCTGATCCCACTTTCTATCCATGTTGGATAGATAAATCTTTTATTAAGGCTCTAATTCTTACAAGTCTAAAATGAGAAGGTACAGGACTAAAGGTTTCTGGGTCCCTGTGGTTCTAAGTCTATAAATACGAAAAAGAACTAACTTGGTCAGTCCGGTGGGAGAAAAATATTATGGTTAATAAAGGGAAGGTGTTTTTTAAATAACAATTTTATTAAAATAATACCAGTAATACAATTTATGTATTTAAAATGTGCACTTCACTGTTTTTTCATATATTCAAAGTTGTGCAACCATGTCCACAATCAATTTTAGAATATTTAAATCACCTCAAAAATCACCCCCGTACCTTAGCAGTCACCTGCTATTTTCCTGGAACTTGTGTGTATCCCTAGGCAAACACTAATTTACTTTTTTCCTCTAAGGATTTTCCTGTCCTGGAGATTTCTTGTATATGGAATCATACATAATGATGTGGCATTTTGTGACTGGATTTTTTCACTCAGCATAATGTTTGTAAGGTTCATCAATATTCTAGCACGTATCAGAACTTAATCATTTCTTTTTATTTGTAGATATTACCTTATTCTGTTTATGCATTCATCTGTTAAAGACATTTGGATTATTTCCACTTTTTAGCTGTTATAACTAATGCTGTGAACATTCATGTACAAGTTACTGTGGGGACATACGTGCTTACCTCTCTTGCGTATATACTTGGGAATGGAATTGCTAAGTCATATTTAACCTTTAGTGGAACTGCCAGATTTGTCAAAACTGGCTACACACTTTACATTCAAAAGAAAATGTTTAACCATCACTTTGTGTCTTACAACAGAACTAGCTTATTTTTGTCTGTGAATGGATATGGGATGAAGCCTAAGCCTTTTTAAAGGGTTATATTATGAATCTTCTGTATAATGTAGAAGAGTAGAGCCAGATAGCAGAATTAAGTTCTTAACATCTTTGCAACATGGAGTAAATATATTTAAATTTGACATTTGTTCTCTTGTTGCTTCGTTCTATATAGATAGTACAATTTAGAAAAGAAAGAACTGGAATTGTACATCAGCTTATCTTGCCGAAAATTCTGATTACATTGGTGTCTACAGTAGTACTTAAGTGATTTTCAAAGCAGAAGATAGTTTTTTGTGTTTCTTTCTTTCTTTCTTTTTTTTTTTTTTGAGGTGACCTCATTTGGTCATCCAGGCTGGAGTGCAGTGTCGCAATCACAGCTTACTACAACCTCAAACTCCTGCACTCAAGGGATCCTTCTGCCTCAGCGTCCCAAATAGGACGACAGACGTGCACCACCACACTTAGCTAGTTAAAAAGAAATTTTTTTTTTTTTTTTTTGAGACAGAGTCCCACTGTGTCACCCAGGTTGGAGTGCAGTGGTGCGATCTTGGCTCACTGCAAGTTCTGCCTCCCAGGTTCATGCCATTCTCCTGCCTCAGCCTCCCGAGTGGCTGGGACTACAGGTGCCTGCCACCACGCCCAGCTAATTTTTTGTGTTTTTAGTAGAGATGGGGTTTCATCGTGTTAGCCAGGATGGTCTCGATCTCCTGACCTTGTGATCTGCCCGCCTCGGCCTCCCAAATTGCTGGGATTACAGGTGTGAGCCACCGTGCCCAGCCAAAAGATTTTTTTTTAAGAGAGAATCTTACTATATTGCCCTGGCTCGTCTTGAACTCCTGGGCTCAAGTGATCCTCCTGCCTCAGCCTCCCAAAGTGCTGGGATTACAGGCGTATGCCACCATGTCCAGCCCAGAAAATATTTTTTTAAACTTGAGTTCTCACCTGGTGGTAGACAAAAGACTCGCTTTGAAACTTCCAGAGTTTTCTGCTTATTTGGGAGAGGAATCAGAAGTTGGCATCCTGCAGTTGTCTGACATTTAGACCTATTTTAATTGACTGCACGTTGTTATATTGAATTAGAATGCCTGAGATATTTTTGAATGTATTTACAATTTCCATAGCCGATTTCTCTTCATTGTCTTAGTTATCTAGCCCTTTCACAATCTTGTTTCCTACATGACCTCTGAATATACATGTTGGTGACCAGTTTTCTAGATTTTAACCTAAATTGATTATCACTCTTTTGACAGATGAGGTAACTTCCAGAAGCCACTTTTATTTATATGAAAATGAAACTGAAGTCTTAAAAAAAGGGCACAGCTTTGTAGAAAAGGAAATGTTATTACTCGTTCACTCATTCCCATTCCTCCTTGTAAGACCTCTCACTTCTCTCTGCACGTCTGCAGGCAACATAGAGTGAAAAGAAAGTTTTGCATGTATTTTAAAGTTTTATCTTCCTTTCTAAAGAATGATATGTCTTCACAGGTTAATGATATGTTCTTCAAATGCCAAAACTTACATATTTTAATCTAAAAACACGAAATTTCAGATTGGAGAGCAGTTCGCAAGCTGTAGTTGGTATTAAATGCAGTTCAATTAGTGAAAAAAGTATTCTTTACAATTACATTTTCTACCAGCTGTCTTTGGGACATTACTGCAAAATTATTAACTAAGAAGTACATAAAATGATACTGAGTTTAAGTCCTTTTATTTCTCAGTTTACTGGAATTTGTTTTATTTAATTATTGATTTCTTTTTTTAACTGTTTAATAAAACTAGCCATCTTGGTACATTTGTTATCCCAGTGTTCAAATATGCTTCCTGAAAAGAATCATCTTTTTTTCTCATTATTTATAATGTTTAAACCCAAAACAAATGGTTTAAGTTTTGACAACTTTCAGATCCATAGTAGTCATCAGAAATTTTCAGTAAAATAAAAGGACTATTTCTGTCTTTTCCAGGGTAAAAGAGTGCATCGCTTTAGAAGAAGTTTGGCAGTATTTAAATCTGTTGGATCCTCTCAGCTATCTAGTTTCATGGGAAGTTGCTGGTTTTGAATATTAAGCTAAAAGTTTTCCACTATTACAGAAATTCTGAATTTTGGTAAATCACACTGAAACTTTCTGTATAACTTGTATTATTAGACTCTCTAGTTTTATCTTAACACTGAAACTGTTCTTCATTAGATGTTTATTTAGAACCTGGTTCTGTGTTTAATATATAGTTTAAAGTAACAAATAATCGAGACTGAAAGAATGTTAAGATTTATCTGCAAGGATTTTTAAAAAATTGAAACTTGCATTTTAAGTGTTTAAAAGCAAATACTGACTTTCAAAAAAGTTTTTAAAACCTGATTTGAAAGCTAACAATTTTGATAGTCTGAACACAAGCATTTCACTTCTCCAAGAAGTACCTGTGAACAGTACAATATTTCAGTATTGAGCTTTGCATTTATGATTTATCTAGAAATTTACCTCAAAAGCAGAATTTTTAAAACTGCATTTTTAATCAGTGGAACTCAATGTATAGTTAGCTTTATTGAAGTCTTATCCAAACCCAGTAAAACAGATTCTAAGCAAACAGTCCAATCAGTGAGTCATAATGTTTATTCAAAGTATTTTATCTTTTATCTAGAATCCACATATGTATGTCCAATTTGATTGGGATAGTAGTTAGGATAACTAAAATTCTGGGCCTAATTTTTTAAAGAATCCAAGACAAACTAAACTTTACTGGGTATATAACCTTCTCAATGAGTTACCATTCTTTTTTATAAAAAAAATTGTTCCTTGAAATGCTAAACTTAATGGCTGTATGTGAAATTTGCAAAATACTGGTATTAAAGAACGCTGCAGCTTTTTTATGTCACTCAAAGGTTAATCGGAGTATCTGAAAGGAATTGTTTTTATAAAAACATTGAAGTATTAGTTACTTGCTATAAATAGATTTTTATTTTTGTTTTTTAGCCTGTTATATTTCCTTCTGTAAAATAAAATATGTCCAGAAGAGGCATGTTGTTTCTAGATTAGGTAGTGTCCTCATTTTATATTGTGACCACACAGCTAGAGCACCAGAGCCCTTTTGCTATACTCACAGTCTTGTTTTCCCAGCCTCTTTTACTAGTCTTTCAGGAGGTTTGCTCTTAGAACTGGTGATGTAAAGAATGGAAGTAGCTGTATGAGCAGTTCAAAGGCCAAGCCGTGGAATGGTAGCAATGGGATATAATACCTTTCTAAGGGAAACATTTGTATCAGTATCATTTGATCTGCCATGGACATGTGTTTAAAGTGGCTTTCTGGCCCTTCTTTCAATGGCTTCTTCCCTAAAACGTGGAGACTCTAAGTTAATGTCGTTACTATGGGCCATATTACTAATGCCCACTGGGGTCTATGATTTCTCAAAATTTTCATTCGGAATCCGAAGGATACAGTCTTTAAACTTTAGAATTCCCAAGAAGGCTTTATTACACCTCAGAAATTGAAAGCACCATGACTTTGTCCATTAAAAAATTATCCATAGTTTTTTTAGTGCTTTTAACATTCCGACATACATCATTCTGTGATTAAATCTCCAGATTTCTGTAAATGATACCTACATTCTAAAGAGTTAATTCTAATTATTCCGATATGACCTTAAGGAAAAGTAAAGGAATAAATTTTTGTCTTTGTTGAAGTATTTAATAGAGTAAGGTAAAGAAGATATTAAGTCCCTTTCAAAATGGAAAATTAATTCTAAACTGAGAAAAATGTTCCTACTACCTATTGCTGATACTGTCTTTGCATAAATGAATAAAAATAAACTTTTTTTCTTCAAATGTGTTTTTGGCTTTCCGATGTAATAATGTAAAATGGTGGGGAGTTGCGTGGGAACTGTGTAACAAGGTTTAAATTCGTATAACAAGCTTTAGATTCTTAAAATGCAGAAGTATAAAGTTCAGTATACTAATCTGTCTGAGTTAGCCCATAAAAGCAAATGTAGGTACAAAGATAAGTTTAAGAGGTGCATCAACAGCAGTGCAGACTAGGAATGCTGATGAACACATCCGACTCTGCTATCTCACGGCTAAGGTCCCTCACATTTTGGACCCTATGAAGCATTTTGTCTACTGTACACTTTGGGCCTAGTCTCTAGATCATTTATTTCGGGGTATTGCAGTTGCCTAAGGGAGCTTAATTTTTTTATATTGCAGGTACTTCCTGTGGATACCATAAAAAAAAAAAATCAGTACCGCTTCTTCTAGCTTTAGTGTTAGTACTCAGTTCTATAAGCTGAGTCCAGTGGAGAGGAAACTCCTCAGACACTCCTGTATTTCATTAGTTAGTAAGCTTGCTGATTCATAACCAGAAAGTTGACTCCAAGGATACGCAGGATAGCAAACAGTGCTTTCTGCATCACCAAAGATTAAATTGTGATGTTTAGTGTCCAATAATAGGCAAAAAATTAGTAATTCTTTTATGTGCCTATGTGTATATATGTGTACATATGTGTCTATATATGCATATATTTATGGTTATGTACATACTAACGATTATCCAGAATATTTGGTTCTAGCTGATCAAGCTAGTAGGTTTTCAGTATTTTCAGACCCCAAAACTAGACTACATATGGTTTAAGATAGTTGCTTTACACCAGCTTGTTTCTAGTTTCCTATTAAATTATTACCACAAAAATCTTTGGAATTGAAAAATAACAGTTAAGCACTTTTTTGTAAAAAGTTCAAGTTATGGTGAAATCAAGCAGCTCTAAAAAGGTTGGTCACCTCCTTAAGTGTATTCTGCATGTTGGTTTTTTTCTTTTTCTAAAATCAGATTACCTTTAATTCAAAATAACTTCAGAATTGGTAGTACCTGTCTGGCAAGGAAGTCATTGACTCTTAAAAATAAATACTCCACAGCATTTCCCTCTCGTTATAAAGCACCTCTAGCCCCCTCTTCACTAAATTTTTCTTGGCTTTTTTTTAAAGGTAAACTGATAAAAATGGGCTGCCACATTGCTTAATCGCCTTGCCTGCTTTCCTTGCTGTCAGTTGAGGGTAATGAGGAGCAGCAACGATAAGGCAGCGTGCCACCTTGCTTTCACAAAGATGCCAATAGAGAAAGTGGGGAAACATAAGGGAGAAAAAAGTAGCAGTATTTTACATTGACCAAGTCTTGTGAATGGGCCAGCTATTGAGTATGATCATTTGGAATCCCTAGATAAGGATTGCTCCTGTACATATTTTGATAAGTGTAATCTATCCCTTCCCAACATGTGTAGTATGTCTCTGTATGTAACTGATTGTTGTGAGCAATTCCTTGCCACTCACCAAAGACAGAACTTTCCATCTGTAGACAGTACATTTTGTAGTAGAAAACAATAGACATAAGAAGTTCAAACTATAAACATGTTTTTGAATGCTCATGCAAGATAATCTGCATAGCAAAGAAATAATAGACAATTCAACATTGCATTTAGAGTTAAAAACATCTGTCCAGTATGGATGTAGCTGTGGGCCAATCCTAAGTAAACGCAAAAAAAAAAAAAAAAAAAAAATTGTCTCTTGGTACAGAAGTTGAAACTACCACTCTACCACTGTACAATTAAACTCTATGGTCGCTGTATTTTACGTTTTTAACTGGTCTGAAACAGTTCTCTAGTTAAGTCTGTAGTTCGTTTTCCCAAGACAAGGCTTTGTATCTTACGTGCACCTTCATTAATGCTGCATGCCAGGAATTCCACATGAAACTTCAAGATGCCGGTTCACTAGGTCTTTTCCACATGAAACTTCAAGATACCGGTTCACTAGGTCTTTAACAATAGAACAAATACTTGCATGACTGGGATATTCAGGTCATGAACACTCCTTATAAATTTGAAGCAATAGTAACATTTTAAGCACTTTGGAAAATTGGAGGTTTCATAACCCTCAATCAGATCTTTTTATAGAATAACAAAAATACACTAAGGTTCTAATCACATCTATTGTCTTTGCCCAAAATAACATGGATAGAGACACACTCCATTCTGGCTCAATCTTAGATGAAACTCCAGAAGAAAGGCAGTTGATAATGATACAGCCAGGCCAGCTGTTTAAGTGGACGTGTCCCCTCTGCCCTTGTACATTTGTTTAAAAATTTTGATAGGACTCTTCCCGCCTCCTTCACACCCTCCATAAATCTGACTAGGCCCATAAGAATGGAGAGAGGTAATTTAAAAGGCAGAGGACATTTTTCTCCTTGTTTTTACCTATGCTGATCCCCTACCTGGTGTTGGAGCAGCTTCACTGTGAGTAAAATCTGAACAGTGTTTAAGCAGTAAACCCACTATATTGAGGAAAGCGTGACCTGCACTTTTTTTTTTTTTTTTTTTCCTGAACATGACTTGGTTGTTGCTCATCATTTTGGTTGGTGATGGGTCTTTGACAAACCGATATGCTCACCATCCAAAGTTGTGTCCATGTTTAGATCAGCGCAGTATTCGATAGGGCACGTTTCCTCAAGATACCAATTTTACAGGGAAGTCAAAGAGCATCAGAGCTATCATAAGGGGTGTTTTTCAGAAGCCAAATCCTGGGCCCCATTCTCAGATGCTCTTATTCTAATGCTCTGGATGGGCCCAGTAATCTGCATTTTTAACATGTGCCCCAGGTGATTCTGACCACCGTAACATACTTTGAGAAATATGGCCTCAGCTGGGGAGCTCTCATTAGATCATCTCAAGCTACCCCTGGATTTAGGATAGAAACAGCCCTGTCAGGTCAACTATGACTTTCATAAAGGATTCCGTTGGCTTAATTCACCGAATTCATCTTTCCCTGCCAAGCCCGTGCCTGGGAATGCCAGCTGTCCACAGGCAAGAGTGACTCATGAATGGGCTGAAATAGATTGAATAGAAAGTTTGAAAACCAAGACTTGTGGCCAGAAATCAGTGACAGGAGGGAGTGACTACAGAGGCAAAGCTGGATTCCAAGGCCAAGAGCAGGCAAGCCAAGGGTGAGGGACTAGGCTCGAGTGGGAAAGGGCAGAGTGGATATCCTGGGGACAGAGACACTGTGTTTGCCTCCTGGAGTGAAGAACTATGCCTTTGACTCACTTGACACACTTTACAAATAGTATTACCCATGGTTTTTAGAAAAGTATGGCCTGTCATTGCTCCTTTTCCTGCTGTGGAATTAACTAATACCTCTTAACACCTTTAAGCAAGAATGATAATAACAGATCAATATCAAAAAAATATGTTGAGATCAAGTTCCAGAGACAGCCTTAGGCATTTGATATCCATATTCTTTTTGTATATGTCTGTGTTTTAAAATTTCACATTTAGTTCACTCAAAAGTATAAAAATATTTATTTAAAGAATAATAAATACCCAAGTTGGCTTGAGAAATAGAACATTTCATTAATTAAAAAATATGCCCTCCCTGATCACACCCTCTTCCTCCCCAAGAAGAAGAAACCACCTAAATTGAATTTTGGTTTAATCATCTGCTGAATAAAATGTTTCTTTTCACAATATTTTGAACTTTAAGAGAACATATACTGAAACTATTTTTTTTTTTTTTTTTTTTTTGGCACATTGTTAGACTCATCCGTGTTGACTGGGAGATTCTATTTATTTTCACTGCTTTTTAGTTGTATCAGTTGAATATTTTACGGTTTGTTATTTCCCTTGCTGGGGGACAATTGACTTTTATTTTTTGTTTTAAAATTTTAAATGTAAATTGTGTTGATTCGTTGATTGCTGTTACAAACTATGCTCCTACGAACATTGTTAAATGCCTCTGATCACTTAGGTACTAGAATGTCATAAAAAAGAGTGAACTTTAAATCCCAGCCCCAAATACTTCCTGAGTAAGCTTGGACGAGCTTCTCACTGAGTCTTGGTTTCCTCCTCTGTAAAACAACAATACTAGTATCTACTTTATAGTGTTACTATGAGATTATTTGGGGCAACACATCAATGTGGTTAGCTTCCCATCCACAGATCTACCCACCTGCATCCCACTCAAACCCACCTAAGTTTTCTGCAGCCTTTACATTTCAGTAACTAGAACTTCCCACGTGGTCTGTGTATAGAGCAGCCATGGTTTGGTGAATGACTGTGTCCTGAAATGTAGTCTTTTGCGTATCTTCTTTGGTAGTAGGAAACAGCTCATTATGCTAGGCTCTTCAGGATATTTTCTAGAATAGTTCCCTTTTTTCTGAGAGGGCCTTGAATGAGTAGAACACTAACAAATGAGTGAAATAATGGTACATAGGCCAGCATTCCCTAAGCACAATTTCTGTTTTTCCTTCATGAAATGCTGGAGGTGGCAGGCAGGATTTCATATCCCATTCTTCTCATCACATGCATACTCCCTGAAATTTGTATAGGATTTTAGGGTTTTCAGAGCTACTTCGTATATATGATTTCGTTTGGTCTTCGTCAACTCCTTTGAAGTGCTAGACATGTCTAGGTTTTAGGTGTGATTTTCTTAAATTTACACACCCTGGGATTCAGATAAATAAGAAACTGAGACTTGACATCTGGGCCATTGCTTTTTATACTATCTCATAGATAGCAGACTCTCCAAATCAAAATACAGAAATATTTTTACTAATACATAATAATTATACACATTTATGGGATATCTGTGACAATTTCATGCTTCCATGCAATGTGTGGTGATCAAAACAGGGTAACTGGGATATCCATCACCTCAAACATTTATCATTTCTTTGTGTGGGGAGCATTTTCTACCTATTTGGAACTACACAATAAATTATTGTTAACTATAGTCACCCTCCTGTGCTGTCAAACACTAGAACTTATTCCTTCTAACTGTATTTTTGTATCCAGTAAACAACCTCCCTTAATTCCCGTCCCCCAACCCCAACACTCACTCTCTATAGCCTCTGTTAACTACTGTTCTACACTTTACCTCCATGAGATCAATTATTTTGGCTCCCACATATGAGTGAGAATAAAGACATTTGTCTTTCTGTGCCTGGTTTATTTCACTTAAAATAATGTCCTTGGTTCCATCCGTGTTGCTGCAAATGACCGGACCTCATCCTTTTTAACGGCTCAATAGTACTCCATTGTGTAGATGTACCACATTTTCTTTATGCATTCATCTGTTGACGGATACTTAGGCTGGTTCCAAATCTTGGATATTGTGAACAGTACTGCAATAAACGTGAGAGTGCAGAGATCTCTTCAACATGCCATGCTGTTTTTGTTACTACTACAGTTTTGCAGTACATTTTGAAATTCGCTAGCGTGATGCCTTCAGCTTTATTCTTTTGACTCAGTATTGCTTTCGCTACTTGGAGTCTTTTGTGGTTCCATAGAATTTTATGATTTTTTTTTCTAATTTCTATGAAGAAGTATTTGGCATTTTCACGGGGATTGCATGAAATCTGTAGATCACTTTTGGCAGAATTGGTTATTTTAACAATATTAATTCTTCCAACCTGTGAACATGGGGTTGGGGTGTCTTTCTACTTTTTTGTGTAATCTTTAATTTATTTTGTAAGTTTTTTAATAGTTTTCCTTGTAGAGGTTTTTATCTCATTGGTTAAACTTATTCCTAGATACTTTATTTTATTTTTTATACCTATTATAAACGGGATTGCTTTCTTGATTATTTTTTCCTGCTGGCTGCTTGTTGGTACACAGAAAGTCTAGTGGTTTTTGTATATTAATTTTGTGTACTGCAAATTTACTGAATTCACTTATCACTTCTGAAAGTTTTTTTGGTGGAGTTTTAAGGGTTTTGTGTCTGCAAACAAATTTACTGAATTCATTTATGACTACTGAAAGTTTTTTGGTGGAGTTTTAAAGGTTTTATATCTGCAAACAGGGACAATTTGACTTCTTCCTTTCCAATCTGGATGCTCTTTTTTTTCCCTTGCCTAATTGCTGTGGCTAGAACTTCTGGTACTATGCTGAATAAAAGTTGTGAAGTGGATATTTTTGTCTCTTCCGTATGTTAGAGGAAATCCTTTGAATTTTTCCCTGTTCAGTATGATGTTGGTTGTGGGTTTATTATATATGGCCTTTATTGTGTTCAGATATATTCCTTTTACGTCTGACTTGTGGAGAGTTTTTATCATGAAGCCCTGTTGAATTTTATCAAATGTTTTTTCTGCATCTATTGAGATGATCACATGGTTTTTGTTCTTCACTCTGTCAATGCGATGTATCATATTTAAGTTGGTTTGCATATGTGGAAACATCCTGTCATTTTGTTAATTATTTTCTGGTTGGTTTCTATAACCTTTGTTGATTTCTTTCTTATTGTTTATCATTGCAGTTTAGTATTTTCCTGTAGTGATAAAGTTTGATTGTTTTTCCTTTCTCCCTTGTATATCTGCTCTACTGGGATGAATCCCTTGCATCCCTGGGATAAATCCCACTTGGTCATGGGGAATGATCTTTTTAATGTGCTGTTGGTTTCAGTTTCTTAGTATTTGGTTGAGGTTTTTTGCGTTTCTGTTAATCAGAGATACTGGTCTATAGTTTTCTTTTTTTGTTGTGTCCTTGTCTGGATTTGGTATCAGAGTAATGCTGACCTCAAATAATGAACTTTGAAGAATTCTCTTCAACTTTCTGGAAGGGTTTGAGAAGAATTGCTATTATTTATTTAAATTTGTGGTGTAATTCAGCATTGAAGCCCTCAGTTCCTCAGTTATTTGATGGGAGGCTGTTTATTACAGATTCAATCTTCTTACTCATAATTGGTCTGTTCAGGTTTTCTATTTCTTTTTTTTTTTTTTTTTTTTTTTTTTTTTTTTGAGAGGGAGTCTCTCTCTGTCACCCAGGCTGGAGTGCAGTGGTGCAATCTCGGCTCACTGCAAACTCCTCCTTCCGGGTTCATGCCAGTCTCCTGCCTCAGACTCCTGAGTAGCTGGGACTACGGGCACCTGTCATGATGCCCAGCTAACTTTTTTGTATTTTTAGTAGAGATGGGGTTTCACCGTGTTAGCCAGGATGGTCTCCATCTCCTGACCTCATTATCCGCCCGCCTCTGCCTCTCAAAGTGCTGGGATTACAGCTGTGAGCCACCGTGCCCGGCCCGTGTTTTCTATTTCTTACTGGTTCAATCTTGGTAGGTTTTATGTGTCCAGGAATTTGTCTATTTCTTTCTGCTAGGTTCTCTGATTTTTTGGTGTATAGTTGTTCAGAATAGTCTGTAATGATCCTTTATATTTCTCTGGTAGTCTCCTATTTCATTTCTGATTTTATTTATTTGAGTCTTTTTCTCTTTTATTCTTGGTTTGTGTAGCTAACCGTTTGCAAATTTTGTTTACCTTTTCACAAAACCAACTTTTTCTTTTGTTGATCTTCTGTATTTTTATAGTCCCCATTTTATTTCTGCTCTGATCTTCATTATGTTTTTCTTCTACTAATTTTGGTCATGGTTTGCGCTTACTTTTCTAGTTCCTTGATATGCATCGTTAGGTTTTTAATTTTATTTCCACTTTTCGGATACAGGTATTTATTGCTGTAAGTTTTCCTCTTAAAATGGCTTTGTTGTATCGCATAGGTTTTCAAATGTTGCTGTTTTCATTTGTTTCCAGAAATTTTTAAATTATCGTTTTAATTTTTTCATTTGACTTCTCATTCAGGAGCATGTTGTTTAATTTCCATGTATTTGTGTAATTTCAAAAGTTACTCTTGTTATCGATTTCTAGTTTTATTCCATTGTGATTAAGAGAAGATACTTACCATGATTTCAGTTCATTTAAATTTGTTGAAACTTAATTGTGTGGATGAACATGTGGTCTGTCCCCAAGAACAGTCCATGTGCAGAATTTACTGATGAAAAGCATGTGTATTCTGCAGCTATTGGATGAAATGTTCTAGAAATGTCTGTTAGGTCTGTCTGGTCTCAGATTCATTTCCTGTTAAATGTTTCTTTGTTGGTTTCTGTATATATATATATATATATATGTATATATATAGATATCTGTCTAATGCAGAGAGTGAGTGTTGGAAGTCCCCAACTATTACTATATTGAAGTCTATCTCACCCTTTAGATTTAATAATATTTGGTTTTTATATATCTGGGTGCTCTGATGTTGGGTGAATATATATTCACAATTGTTATATCCTCTGGCTCAATTGGACCCTTTATCATTACATAATGACCTTTTTGGTCTCTTTTTACAGTTTTTGACTTGAAGTCTGTTTCATTTGATATGTATAGCTACTCTAATTCACTTTTGGTTTTGGTTCACATGGAATATCTTTTTCTGTTCCTTCACTTTCAGTCTATGTAATCACACAAGTGTCTTTACAGGTGAAGTCAGTTACTTGTAGGCAGCATCCAGTTGGGTAATTTTTTTTTTTTTTTTTCAATCCATTCTGCTAGCCTAAGTCTTTTATGTGAGGAATTTAATCTGTTTACATTCAAGGTATTACTGATAGGTGAGGACTTACTCCTGTCATTTTGTTAATTATTTTCTTGTTGTTTTGTATATCCTTTGTTCATTTATTTCTGCCTTATTGTTTATCGTTGCAGTTTGGTCATTTCTATAGTGATACGATTTGATTATTATTCCTTTTGTTGTATATCTGCTCTACCAGTGATCTTTATACTTGTATATGTCTCTGTAATAGTGATCATCATCTTTTTACTTCCAGATGTAGGACTTCCTTAACCATTTCTTGTAAGGCCAGTCTAGCACTGATGGACTCCCTCAGTTTTTGCTTGCTTTAGGCAGACTTTATTTCTCCCTCATTTATGAAGGATTGCTTTGCTGGGAATAGCATTCTTGACTGAATTTTCTTTTTTTTTTTTTTTTTTTTTAGCACGTTGAATTATATCATCTCATTTTCTCCTGGCCTGTAAGACTTCTGCAGAGAAATCCACTACTAGTCTAATGGAGATGCCCTTATATGTGACTTGATGCTTTTCTCTTGCTTTTGTAGAGAAAGACTTTCACGTGCATCTGAGTTTTAGTGTGCCAGTTGAGAAGGGTGCAGTGACTCTTTTTCAAGATAGTTGAAGTGGTATGGCCTCATTCAGCTTCTTTGGCTGCATTCAATATCAGCAGTAGCTGTGAGTACCTCAGTTGCCTAGGCCATACAAGTTTGTGGTAGTGATGATGGCATAAGTTGTTAATAACCTCCATATCAAAGGCTTTGGGGGTTTTCTTCATTCTCATTTTCCACACACTGGGGAGATTTAGACAAGAGTATCCTTTCTGGATTCAGGTCTGACATGGCCTATAAGTAGCTATAGCAGTGCTGGGTTCCAGGTTTAGGTGCTCCAAATGGCTATGGTGCTAGGGTCCTAGGCTCAAGGTTTCATGAACTATGTGTGGCACTTGGGTCTTGGGGTGCCTGTTTATTCTCTGTGGTGAGGTTGAATGCAGGTTGCCCAAAGAGCCAGGATCTGTGACTCTGAGGTACCCCCTAGCAGCTTGGTTACAGGGATTTGGGTTGTAGCTGTGATTCTATCCCTAGTGGCCAGGGAGCAGCACTGGACCAACTCTGGAGAAGAAGGGGTGCTCTGGATGTTTGGGCCTAGGGAGCAGGGTAGTGCTGCAATTCAGGAACCCAAGCCAATAGGTATCAGTGGCAATGTGGGTCCCATTGTAGTAGTAGTAGTGGTGGTAGTAGTAGTAGTAGTAGTAGTAGTAGTTGTTGTAGCTGTAGTAGTAGTAGTAGTTGTTGTAGTTGTTGTAGTTGTAGTAGTAATAGTTGTTGTAGTGGCAGTAGTAGTGACTCTAGACCTTGTGATGGTGGAGTCAGCAGTATTCCAGATTCTGTGAGGCCAGGTGTAGCAGTAGCAAGTACCCTGAATAGTGGAGCACAGCTGTCCTTTGGGCCCTGTTAGGCAGGAAACAGCACTGTGATGATTTTACTTTCCAGGGAGAGGGGTGTCTCAGCAGCTCCCGCTCTTGGTGGCTAGTCCAGCTCTCCAGGGAATTAGGATACTAGAGTTGTTTGGCCTGTAGGGCAGACTGTCTCAGTTCAGCCACGGTTTTGCCTCTCTGTGATGCAAGGTACTACAGCAGTTTAGCTCAGCTTGGCCAGGGCACTGATTCCCCAGGTGGCCCAGAGACCATTTTCTGGGATACAGGGCACTGCTAAAACTTAGGCACAGGGAGGCATGACTGCTCAAAGTGACTAAGGTATTGTTTTCTTGGAGGCAGGGTACTGTTTCAGATCTGGCCTGAGGAGTTAGGGGAAGAGTAGGTGGATCAGCTCCACCTCCACTTGGCCCCAGGAGAAGTGTGTAAGAGATGCTTATAGCTCACCTTGGGGATGTTCAGTCACTAGGCTGGGGGTGTTTTGGTGGCAGTTTAGCCTCAGGGATGAAGGGGACCTGTGCCTACTTGAACCCTGAGCACGACACACTCCAGCCGTAGGTCTAGCTGCAAGATGGTATAGCACAGTAGACATGTGGGCCACAGAGGAGAACATAGTGTTAGCTACTTCTCTGAAGGGAGCACAGCTTTGTGAACTCTAGACAGCTCCTTCAGGTGGGCTTAGGTAGTGCCTGTGAGGACCGTAGGGCACCTCTGCCATGGTGAGGTCTGTGGATGTCCAAGGTGTTGATCGGGGTTGCTGGTGTTCTCTTGCTTACCTCCTCACTGTATGAAGAAGTTCCTCTTTGTTCCTAGCTTATCTCAATTTGGGGATGGAGTGGTGAAGGCCTGGCATTTCCTTCCATTCTCTTTGTGGCTGTTCTGTTTCTGTGCTCATCAGGGTTCCTGCTATTCCTCTGAGTTTCTCTGGAACTCTCCTTCAGTTACTCTCATTAAAACGTAGTGTTTTTTTAGTCTTTCTGGCATCTGTGATGGAGACAAGCTCTAGGGGCTTCTAGTCAGCCTTGCTCTTAATTAATCCAAGAGACAGAAATATTTTTGACTGGGCTTTATGAAAGCTATAACTAGGACTATAATGCGAAATGGACAACTTAAAATTGGAGGGAGAAAAAAATTCAGTTAGAATAGGTTGAGCTAAAATTTACCATGTGTCAGCAGGCTCTGTACAAAATTGCATTAAGTAACTCCCCTCATTTAATCCTTACAACACCCTAGTGAAGTTAGATATTGTTCTTATTTTTTATATATGGGAACACAAATACTTACACTATAAAATATCTTACCTAATGTCACAGAGCTAGTTAGCTACAGAGTCAGGGGTCTGACTGCAGAGCCCCGCAGTTTACCACCCTAAATTCCTCTGTCACTTAAACTTCAATCCCATCTCACTCCATGCCCTTTTCTTAGAAGGCAGTGGTTTACACAGAACAGATCTGATTTGTTTAGAATATGGAGAATCTTTTAAAAAAATAATTTGTTGAGGTGAAATTAAAATAATGAAATTAACCATTTTAAAGTAGCACTAAGTAGATTCATAATGTCTTACAAACAGCACCTCTATCTTAGTTCTAAAATGTTTTCATCATGCCGAAGTAAAAATACCTTTAAGCCGTTTTCCCCCATCCCTCTGCAACTGCAATCGCTGGAAACCACCTAGGTGCACTCTTACCTTTTCTGGATATTTCGTATAAATTGAATCATGCAGTATGTGATGTTTTATCTGCTTTCACTTAGCATGTTTTCTTCACTTAGCATACATTGCAGCAGGTATCCAATACTTCATTCCTTTTCATGGTTGAATAATATTCCGTTCCGTGAATATACCACATTATGTTTATCCATTCCCCCTGCTGGACTTTTGGGCTGTTTCTACCTTTTGATTATTGTAAATAGTGCTGCTATGAACATGTGTGCACATGTACTTATTTATGAGTCCCTATTTTCTTCTTTTTTAATACTTTTATTTTAGGTTTGGGGGTACATGTGAAGGCGTGTTACACAGATAAACTCATGTCATGGGAGTGTTTGTTGTACAGATTATTTCATCACCCAGGAATTAAACCCAGTACCCAACAGTTACCTTTTCTGCTCCTCTCTCTCCTCCCACCCTCCTGCCTGAAGTGCGCCTCAGTGCCTGTTGTTTCCTTCTTTGTATTCACAAGTTCTCATCATTTAGCTCCCACTTATAAGTGAGAACATGCAGTATTTGGTTTTCTGTTCCTGCACTAGTTTGCTGAGGATAATGGCCTCCAGCTCCATCCACTTCCTGCAAAAGACATGATCTTGTTCTTTCTGTATGGCTACGTAGTATTTGATAGTGTATACGTACCACATTTGCTTTATCCAATTTGTCATTGATGGGCATTTAGGTTGATTCCTTGTTTTTGCTATTGTGAATAGTGCTGCAATGAACATTTGTGTGCATTTGTCTTTAAGGCAGAATGATTTATATTCCTCTGGGTATATTCCCAGTAATTGGATTGTTGGGTCGAATGGCAGTTCTGCTTTTAGCTGTTTGAGGGATTGCCGTACCGCTTTTCATAAGGGTTGAATGAATTTACACTCCACCAATGGTGTATAAGGGTTCCCTTTTCTCTGCAACCTCACTAGCATCTGTTATTTTTTGTTGAGTTCCGATTTTTAATTCTCTGGGGTGTATACACAGCAATGAACTTAAGGGTCGTATGGTAATTGTGTGTTTAATCATTTGAGAGATTGCCAAACTGTTTTCCACAGCAGCTGAACCATATTACGTTATAACCAGCAATGTACAAGTTCTGATTTCTCACCAGCACTTGTTAATTTTCCATTTAAAAAAAGTATAGCTATCCTAGAGGCTGTGAAGTGATACTTTATTGTGGCCTTTATTTGCATTTCCCTACTGACTAATGGTATTGAACATTTGTAAAACATGTTTGTTTGCCATTTGTATATATTCTTTATAGAAATATCTATTCAGTCCTTTGCTCCTTTTTAAATTGGATTGTTAGGTTTTTTGTAGTTGAGTTGTTAAAAGTTGTTTATATGTATGTTCTCAATACTAGATCTTTATTAAAATATGATTCACAATTATTTTCACCCATTTTGTAGGCTGGATTTTTACTTTCTTGGTAATGTCCTTCCTTTGATGCATAAAATTTTAAAATTTTGACAAAATATAATTTATCTATTTTTGTTTTTCATGCTTTTGGTGTCATATGTAATAATCTATTGCTGAATCCACTTTGAAGAAGATTTACACCTGTGTTTTCTTCGAAGGGGTACAGTTTTAGCTTTTATATTTAGGTTATTGATTCATCTTGAGTTAACATTTTATATAGTATGAAGTAGGGTCTCGACTTTCTTCTTTTGCATTTGGATATTCAGTTGTCCCAGCATCATTAAAGACAATTCTTTCCCCCACTGAAAGGTCTTGGTACCTTTTTGTTTGTTGAATAGTGATTGAAATCACTTTAGCTTAATCCAAACAATCAGTGAGACAAGGAAGTGCTGGGACTCTGCCCCATGTTTTCTTGATATGTCTGTCATCCATGCAGGTTCTTCTCAAGGTTCAAAGAAGAACCCAAGTTCTTCTTTGAACCCAAGGTTCAAAGCCCCATCCCAAGTGTCCTCCTCTCCACTGGCTGCTTCTCCTATTAGTAACAGACTCTAAAGTTGAGGAAGTCACCAGATTCTTCTCCCTAGTCCAGACCCACAAGATGGTTCCTTGTTGTTAGCAAGGATACCAACTGGATGCCATGGGTCTCATTCAGGCCCATTCACAGCCTTGTTGGTTTCACTATTTTTTCCTTCCTCCTTTTAATTTTAACAGGTTCATTGCAATATAATTACTGTACATAAACTGCACATATTAAAATTGTACACCTTGCTGAGTTTTGACATATGTATACAACTGTGAAACCATCACAACAGTGAAGATAAGAAACATTCCCATCATCTCATTGTAATTCATTCCCCAACCCACCCTCAACTAATAATCTGTTTTCTGTCACTATGAATTACTTCAAGCTTTCTAGAAGTTTATATAAATGGAATCATACAGTATATACCCTTTAGTCTGTGAATTCTCTCATTTCTCATAATGATTTTTAGATTCGTCTGTGTTGTTGCATGTATCAATAGTTTCTTCCTTTTTATTGCTGAGTAGTATTTCATAATAAAGATTTTACACAATTTGTGTATCCGTTCTTATACTGATGGTCATTTGGGCTATTTCACGTTTGGGGCTATTGCAAACAAAGGTGCTACTAACATTAGTGTGTAAGTCTTTGTGTAGATGTATGCTTTTATTTCTTTTGGGCAAAGACCCAGGAATTGAACAGCAAGGTCCTATGTTAGGTGCATTTTAAGTTTTTAAAGAAATTTCCACGCATTTTCTGGAAACACACAAGAATAAATTAACATATTCTTATCTCTTGTCATCTTTGTGCTACTATAATATTTGGAGGTTCTTTTAAAAATAAATGTGTACATCTTTGTCTCCTATGCCTTTGATTGCCTGGAGCAGATTTGTTTGTTCTTTTTTGCACCTTCAATTCCTAAGACAGTCCTTTGCATAAAAGGATGGTTAATCAGCTTTGGATGAACGAATGTCAGATAATGGCTTATCTGAACCAAAATGAATGAGAGGGCAAAATTGGAGAGGATGAGAGGAGTAGAATAGGTAAATAAATAAAATAACACTGTCTTTTAAAATTATGCACATAATTCATGATGGAAAAAGATCCAAAAATAAAGAGTAGCTTAAAGAAGAAAATAAAAATCATCCATGATCCTTCATAGTCACTCTTTAAAAAATTATTTTGTTGTTTTATTTTCTCCCCAATATTCTCTTAAAGTTAAGGCCACTAGTTCTCAACTCTTCCTACACATCAGACTACTCAGGAAGCTCTTTTAAATAGGTCCAATGTCTGGATTCCATTAGAGATTCTAATTTTAATTGGTCTGAGGTGGAATCTGGGTGTCAATAGTTTTTTTTTTTTTAATCAATCTTTCAAAGGTAGTGATTTACATACAACAAAATGCATTTATTTTAAGTGTACAGTTCAATGAGTTTTGACAAGTATGTATCCTCCCTATAAACACTGCTCTAATCAAGTATACAATATTTCCATCATCTTCAAATACCCCACATTTCATCCCAGGCAACCCCTGATCTGGCTTGTTACTATAGATTAATGGTGATTATTCAAGAATTTCATATAAACAGAACCTAACAGTCTGGCTTCTTTCACTCAGCATGTTTATCAGAGTCATCATATTGTTACATATATCCATAGTTTATTCTTTTTCACTACTGATTAGTATTTCATTGTATGGAGGTACCACATTTTGTTTATCCATTCACCTCTTGATGGACATCTGGGCTGTTTGCACGTATTGACTGTTAGGAATAGAGCTTCTATGTGCGTTCTTATAAGTCTTTGTGTGGAGATATGTTTTCATTTCTCTTGGGTAAATGTGTAGGAGTAGAATTGCTGGGTCTTATGGTAAGTGTCTGTTTAACTTTATAAGAAATTTACAAATCATTTTTCTTTTTTTCTTTTTTTTCCAAGACAGAATCTTGTTCTGCCTCCCAGACTTGAGTGCAATGGCGCGATCTCGACTCACTGCAACCTCGGCCTCCCAGGTTCAAGCAATTCTCCTGCCTCAGTCTTCTGAATAGCTGGGATTACAGGCACGTGCCACCATGCCCGGGTAATTTTTGTGTTTTTAGTAGAGGCGTTGTTTTCACCATGTTGGCCAGGCTGGTCTCCAACTCCTAACCTCGTGATCTACCCTCCTCGGCCTACCAAAGTGCTGGGATTACAGCCATGAGCCACTGTGCCTAACCTCCAAACCATTTTTCAAAGTAGTTGTACTATTTCACACATCCACCAGTGATGTGTGAGTGTTCAGTTGTCCTACATTTTTGCCACACCACCAATATTGTCAGTATCTTAAATTTAAACCATTATAGGGGTCATTAGCAGTTTCTAAAAGCTCCCCTAGAAATGTGTACTTCTCTGTATATAATACATAGTAAAAAGTGAAGAAAAAATAACTCTCGAAATGATTGTAATGTGCAGTCAATATTGAGAACCACTGAGAACCACTGAGCAAGACTAGACCGACAAGTCCCAAGTATTTAAATAATGACATATTTTCATTTGTGCGTTATTTTTTTCTTACCCATTCATTTATTCAAAAATAACTATACTAGCTCTATACTAAGTGTTGGCAACATAGAGATCTACAACAATATTTTTCTGCCCTCAAGAAGCTGACAAATTTCTTTTTTCTCTTAAGAAAACAAAATTTCACCTGTGTGACCACAGTCATTTCAGACAATTTAGTTTTTAATTGGTCTTTCTCAGTATTGTGCAGCCCAGGCCTTGAGTCGATCTTGATGAGGGGGAAAAAGTAACGGGATCATTCATGGTATTTGAGATGTTGCTTTCTTGATTTTACTCTTTTCCTTCCCTGCTTCCTGTCTCCCGTATTTGCTTTCATACATAATTCAGCTTTGGGAACAGTGTCTTTAAATGAAGTCACCACATGAGCCATAACAATATAAATAAAACAAAAATACTTTGCCTCTGGAATTGGCACTTTGGTGACTGCACTCCATAGAGGCTATGGCTGATTTCTAATTTTTGTATTTTATTTTTCTCCTTTGTTTCTTTGATATAGGAAATCTTCAGTAAAAAGCATATTCTAATAAAAATAAGACTAACTAGTGTAACATTATAAAATCCTCTCCAGAAGCCTATTAAATAAGTATAGTAGATGGGTAAAAAATAATATGGCCCATAAACCCTACAAAACTCACAAGTAAAATTATGTAATCAAATTGTAAAATATTCTCTTATTTGCTATTAAATGTACACTATAAAAAAGACTTTGAAATTGTACAATAATGTTTACCTCCTTGGAATTGTTAGAAATAAGTACATAATACTTAATTTCTGTGCAGAATTTTTTTAATATTCTAAGAATTGTTAAGGTCAGTGTGAGAAGTGTTAACATTGGCTGCCACTTGCTTACAAAAGAGGTTCTACATACAGCAACTGATAGGAGATTCCATTTTCCTTTTTACTGGGGCTTTAGTGATTTCAGAGACTCCAACATTCTTGTGAAAAATTGACTATAGAAGTCCAATAATGAGTAGAAAGTTATTTGTCTAGCTGTCGGTTTAAAGAAATTTCATCCCCAACATAGGTGGCTTTCCATCAAGAAAATATTTTCCAGCACAATCTCAAGCCAATTTAATCCCTTGATTGTATTCTGTACCATGCAGCAAAGCCAGTTTCCATGTTTGCTGTGTTTAATTTTATTTCACTGAACTTTCTTTTCACTGCAATTCTTTCCTTATTTTCATTGTTTTTACACAAATTAGATTCATTGATCAGTTTTTTTGTATCACATTAATTTTTCCTTATTTAGTTTCAACCACTGCAATTTTTGCTTTTGTTTTCCAAATCCAAATCTCTCTGACATCAAATTTTGCAAGTCTAAATGTAAAGAAAATGTCTTTTGCAGCAACTTGGGTGTAACTGGAGGCCATTATTCCAAATGAAGTAACTTAAGAATGGAGATGCAGAAACCATGTGTTCTCAGTTATAAGTGAGAGCTAAGCTATAAGGACACAAAGACATTCAGAGTTATACAATGGACATCAGAGAATCAAAAGGGGGAGAAGGTGGGTGAGGCATGAGGGCTAAAAGCTGCATATTGGGTACGATATACACTACTCAGGTGATGGGTGCACTAAAATTTCAGACTTCACCACTATACAATTCATCCATGTAACAAAAAACCACGTGCACCCCTAAAGCTATCGAAATAAAAAATAAAAACAAAAACAAAAAATAAAATTTGAATGCATTTTATCAAAAGGATGCGAGCCTTCTTTCCATTTTTAATCAATAGCATTGTTGCCATGTGTGGTATCATCTGTTGTCAGTTTTATTTTATGCTGATTATTTCTACCAGCCGTAACAATTGGGAAATAGGCAAAAAGTTGGTTGTATTTATTTCCTAGATAATCAATAACAAACTTCAGAGCAATCTAATGAGACAGAGTTATAGGTGCACAGAAGAAGAAGAAAAGCTACAGTTGTGTGGAGCATGGATGGCTAAACTCCTGGTTAACTCGATGGGGTCAAAAGGACAAATGTGGGGCAGAGTTCAGATCTTTTGACAGGGTCAACGGATCTGGCATCAGTCCCTGGCTGCTCTCTTCTAAGTTTTCAGTCGTGCTCTTCTCCATTCCTCACCAGACCCCTGGCCTCTTTGGAGCTGCCTGGACAGGAGCTCTCCTGGCCTCTGGCAAACTCCTGGCTGGGTTGCGGATGGAAATTCCTGGTACCCTTAGTTGAGTTCATACAAGCTGAACGTTTTCAAAAGGAACTAATTTTACTTGAGCCAACTAAACAAAACTGAAATACACACAGAAAATACAAAAGCACAGAAATAGATGAGGGTTCCATGCCATGGGCATTTTAATCATGTGTATCAAGAACCTTTATAGAGTTCATGTCTGGCCCAGCCAATCCACTTCTAGGAAGTTATCTCAAGGTGATGTACTGGATATGAGTTGAAAGATGTGTATACGACGTATTTATCAACAAAAATTGGAACAAGGTAAATATGTTCTGATAGAGGAATAATTCAAATAGAGTATTTTCATACCATTTAATACTCAGCTACGAAGCAGGGCTGGTAAACTTTTCTGGAAAAGAATAGATAGTAAGTATTGTAGATTTGTGGGCCATATGGTGTCTGTCAGAAATAATCGATTCTGCTATTGTAGCACAGCAATGGGCATAGATAGTACATAAAGGAATCAGCACATTCATGTTCCAATAAAACTTTGTTAATTTACCAAAAAAAAAAAAAAACACAAAACCCAGGTGGAATTGGCTTATGAGCCTTAATTTGCAGACCCCTGGTTTACAGAGATGATATGGATTTGTATTTACTGACAAAGAGAGCTGATTATAATATACTATTGGGCAAAAACAAAAGCAGATACTAGTATAGCATTTATGGTATGATGTCACTTATGCAAAATGAAGATTGATATATATATATATATATATATATATATATATATATATATCAGTAGAGAAGTGTCTAGAAGGATGTTCAGCAAATACTAATGAAGATATTATCACTAGGTTGAAGAATTTGAGATGATTTTTTTCCTTTATTTGTTTTCACATTTTTTCATTACTAGAAAAAATATTTTTATTTAATAATTCATACTCTTTGACAGAGTACTTCCACGGTTGTTGTTGGGGTTGCCGCACAGCTGTGAAGCCTGTGCAGTTGCACACTTCCAGGAGATGCCATCACATGGACTACAATGTGAAGGATTCCCCCAGAGTTGTGTGGCGAGGCAGTCTTCCCACCTCCCATTCTCTGTTCAGCTCTGTCCAATTAATTCAGCAAGCATTTGTTTGTCATCTACTACACTAGACATTGTTCTAGACAGAAATATCGGGAAACAAAGCATACAAAAATGTTTGCCCTTGTAGTGCTTTATGTTCTAGTGAAGGAGAAAGATGATAAGGAGAATAAAGAGTGACACATATGCAAGCTTCCTGGAGGTCAAGTAGCCCAGTTTTTGGCAGAGGGAATAGCCAGTGGGAAGAAGGCAGGCAGGGCAAATATTTACAACCCTCGTTTTACAGAAGAGAACATTGGAACTTAGGGAGGTTTAAGGGATGGCTGAGGGTCAGAACGTGGTCAGCACCAGAAGCAAGGCCTTTCAATTGCAAGGTCAGGGTTCCTTCCACACTGGGACAAGAGGCAGCACCTGCAAGATAAGGTAGAGGTGAATGAACCTAGGTGGCTTTAGTTAGATTCTGCAGACTTTTATGACAGGCCAATGCATATAAATGATAATAGCTGACATCACATTAAGAAAAAGATGCAGCATCTCATGAGATCTACTACATGCTCCTGATTAGGAAAAGGAATGTTGAAAAATAGCACTGAGTTTATAAAAATAGCGTTTAGGGTGTAATTCTCATTTTTTTAGTACATGAATGCTTAAGAAAGATGTTCATCAAATGTTAGCAATGCTTATTACTTGATGGTAGGATTTCAAAGAGTTTTAAATTTTCTTCTTTATTCTTTTCTGAATTGTTTGAGTTTTTTGCAATGAGAGTGTGAAAACAGAAGAAATAAAAAAGTTTGATGTTAGAAAGATACCATTAAGCTAACATTTACACACTCTGTGCTGTTCCACAGCACCTGTAGTACCACTATTTCTTTGTAAATTCTTCCAGGGCAGAGACTGTGTTTTATTCATTCTTCTTTGCCCAGCATGTGGAACCTCCTACAAAACAAGCATTCAACAGGGTTTGTGGAACAAATGCAAAGTGCATTTGCGAACTGCAGCTTATATAATCTACAATAGACACCTAGGGGGGCTCAGGAATGACACGAACAGTTTCCAGCCGAAGGGAATTTCATTTTCTTTTCTAGTTGGAGTTTCCATGGCACCCAGAAGACCAGGGATCCTGGTAAGAAAGTTTTAAAACGCTGAAGTGGTAAGTTTGTAAATTTGTGATACCTGGTGTCAAGTCCTACTTCAGGAATCTACAAAAATTGGGCCTTTTGAATAGAAGTGTTTTAGTGAATAATGAGTGATGTGGCAACTTATTCTGATAATATTTCAATCTAGCTTTTTGCTTTTAATGGTAGTTGCCATTTCTATTGGGCTGCATCATTCCCAGGAAAGCCTTCTTTTAAAATCAGTACAGGATGTGTGCATCCTAATACAAAAATCCCAAATCCAGAAATGCCCCTGAATCTGAAAGTTTTTCAGTGCTAATATGAGATAGTGAAACCTTTGCTTTCAGATGGTTCAGTGTACAAAAACATTGTTTCATAGACAAAATTATTTAAGGTGTTGTATAAAATTACTTTCAGACTATGTGCCTAAGGTATATATGAAACATAAATGAATTCCATGTTTAGATTTGGGTCTCACTCCCAGATATCTCATTATATATATGCAAATATTCCAAAATCAAAATCAAAAACAAACAAACAAAAAAACCGCCAAATCCGAAACACTTCTGGTTTCAAGCATTTTGGAGAAGGGATTTTCAGCCTCTCCCTAGAGATTAATTTGTTTGATGTGGTCAATTGCCTGATTATTCAAACTCCTCAAAAAGTGCAGGTCTTTCCTCCATACCACCTGTTTAGGTTTTGAATAGTTTAGAAAAAAAAATAAGTGACTGTCTTTAAGTCATTGATTAAAAGTTAATAGCCTTAAAATGTTTCCATTCCTATTTTATTACAAAGTATTGCTCGAAACAAGTTTTAATAGTGAGAAGGAAAGTTGTCACCCATAGGTTTAGGCACAATTTTTCAGTCTCCTTTACTCACTTAGCATTAGACTAGAAACACTTTCCCAATGATTTTTTGAATACTTGTGTAGCATTTGAACTTGTAGATGACCACACTGTACAAAACCATTGCAGAATTAGCATACATTCATATTAGTGTTAGTTTTTTAGTGATTTTTAATTGAACAGGGAAATTTTACATATTTGGCTCTATTCTGTAACTACAAGCAAAATTCTAACTGACTTTTCCCTCTTTCAGATTCTTAATTATTAAACTCATCTGACCATTTTTATTTTTATTTATTTAATTGACAAAGAGCGTATATACTCAAGGTGTACAATGCAATTATTTGATATGCCTAAATTAGGTTGGTGCAATTAGTTTGCACCAACCTAATACATTGTATAATTACTACAATCAAATTAATTAATACATACATTATCACCCATGCTATACATTAGATTCTCAGAAATTGCTCATCTTATAACTGAAAGTTTGTCCCCTTTGGTCAAAATCTACCCATTTCCCCCACCGCCATTCCCTGGCAACTGCCATGGTACTCTATGTTTTGATGAGTTCAACTCTCTTATATTCTGCATATAATACACTGTTGACCCTTGAACAGCGTGGAGTTTGAGCACTGACCCCTGCATAGTCGGAAATCAGCATATAACTTTTTCTTAAGGCATGGGGTCTCACTATGTTTCCCAGACTGGGCCTTGAATTACCTTGGCCTTAAAACTTGATTCTCCAAAAGCTTAACTACTAATAGCCTACTATTGACCAATAGCCTTACCAATAACGTAAACACTTGATTAACATGTATTTTGTATATGTATTATATACTGTATTTGTACGCTAAAGTAAACTATAGAAAAGATGGTGTTATTAAGAAAATCATAAGGAAAAGAAAATATATTTACTATTCCTTAAGTCAAAGCGGAGAGGTCTTCATACTCCTTGTGTTCCTATTGGGTAGACTGAGGAAGAGAAGGAAGAGGAGGATTGGTCTTGCTGTCTCAGATGTGACAGAAACAGAAGAAAATTCACATATAAGTGGACCTGTACCATTCAAACTCATGATGTTCTATTAGTCTATGTGTTTGTTTTTATGCCAGTACCATACTCTTTAGATTAACATAGCTTTGTAACATAGTTTGAAATCAGGAAATGTGATGCCTCCAGCTTCGCTCTTCTTTCTCAAGATTGCTTTGGTCAGGTTTTTTTGTGGTTCCATATGAATCTTAGAATTATTTTTTCTCTATCTGTGAAGAATGCTGCCATTGGAATTTTGATAGAGTTTGCAATGAACCTATAGATCACCTTGGGTAGTATGGATATTTTAATAATATTAATTCTGATACATGAACATGTGATGTCTTTCTTTTTATTTGTGTCATCTTCAATTTATTTTCTCAGTGTTTTATATGCTGATATTTAAACTTCTTGGTTAAATGTATTCCTAAGTAATTTTATTGTGCTTGTTGCTATTGTAAGTAGGATTGTTTTCTTTCTTTCTTTTTCAGATAATTTGTTGGTGCTGTATAGAAGTGCAATTCATTGTTCAATTCCCACCAGTGATTGAGAACGTGCGGTGTTTGGTTTTTTGTCCTTGCGATAGTTTGCTGAGAATGATGGTTTCCAGCTTCATCCATGTCTCTACAAAGGACATGAACTCATCATTTTTTATGGCAGCATAGTATTCCATGGTGTATATGTGCCACATTTTCTTAATCCAGTCTATCATTGTTGGAGTTAATGGGTGCAGCACACCAACATGGCACATGTATACATATGTAACAAACCTGCACGTTGTGCACATGTACCCTAAAACTTAAAGTATAATAATAATAATAATAATAATAATAATAATAATAATAATGAAAGAATTGCAATTCAATTTTAATGTTGATTTTGGTATTCTGGAACTTTACTGAATTCTCTTTTTAGGTCTAACAGTTTTTTGGTGGAGTTTCTGTATACAAGGTCATGTCATCTACGGAGACAATTTTGCTTCTTCCTTTCTGATTTGGATATTTTTTATTTCTTTTTCTTGCCTAACTGCTCTAGGTAGCACTTGTGGTACTATGCACAATAGAAGTGGTGAGTGTGGGCACCCTTGTTCCTGATCATAGAAGAAAAGCTTTCTGCTTTTTACCATTGGGTATGATGTTGGCTGTGGGCTTGTCCAATATGGCATTTATTCTGTTGAGGAACATTCCTTGCATACCTAATTTGGTGAGAGTTTTAACAGCATTTTGAAGTATAAGTGACATAAAATAAACAGCATATGTATCTAGTGTACAATTTGATAAGTTTTGACATACGTATATACCCATGAAGCCGATCAATATAGTGAACATAAACATCATCCCAAAAGGTATCCTTGTGCTCCTTTGTAATCTCTCCTTCCTGTCTCTCTCCATGTACCCTCTTCTCAGGCAACCACTGATCTCCTTTCTGTCATACAGATTGGTTTTAATTGTCTAGAGGCATATACCAATGTAATAATACAATAAGTAGTTTATTTTGGTGTGGCTTCTTTTATTCAGCATAATTACTTTAACATTCATTCATATTGTTGTATGTATCCATAGACTTTTTTTTTTTTTTTTTTTTTTTTTTGCTGAATAGTATTTCATTGTATGAATACACCAACATTTCTTTATCTAGTTACCTGTTATGGACATTTGGGTTGTTTTCAGTGTGAGACTTTTACAAATAAAGCTGCTATAAACATTTATATATGAGTCACTTTATGATACGCTTTTAGTTCTCTTGGATATACAAGTGCTGGATCACATAGCAGGAATACGTCTGACTTTTTAAGAAACTGCAGGTTTTCCATTTTTCGTTTCCAACAGTATATCAGTTCTAATTCCTCCACCTCCTTGACAACATTTGGTATTGTCAATCTTTTTAAATTTAGCTATTGTGGTAGGCATATAATGCTTTTAACTTGTATTTTCCTAACTACTAATGATTTTGAACATCTTTTCATATGCTTATTTCCCATCCCTGTATCTTCTTTGTGGAAGTATCTGTTCAAGTATTTTGCCCATTGTTTTATTGTTTTTCTAACTCGATTTTGAGAGTACTTTATACATTCTGGATGAAGGTTGTTATCAGACATATTCTGTGCAAATATTTTCTCCCAGTCTGGCTTGTTTTCTCATTCTCTTAGTAGCATCATCTGAAGAACAGAAGTTTTGAATTTTGATGAAATCCAGTTTATCAGTTTGTTCTTTTATGGATCATGCTTTTGGTGTTACAGCTAAGAAATCTTTGCCCAGTGCAAAGTCACAAAGATTTTCTTTTAGAAATGTTATCGTTTTTGGTTTCTAACTTAGGCCTGTGACCCATTTTTCAGTTCATTTCTAGGTATAGTGTGAAGTATGGATTTTGCATATGGTAACCAATTATTCTAGCACCATTTGTTGAAAAGACTGTCCTTTCTCCACTTAATTACATTTGCACATTTGTAAACACAAACACACAGACAGACAGACAGACACACACACACACACACACACACACACACACACACACACACACCCCATATATATTTAGGTCTCTTTCTGGGCTCTCTATATTTTTTAATGATATCCCTTGTCTATTGTGATGTCAATACCCACTATTTTGGTTACTGTAGCTTAGTAATAAGTCTTGACGTGAGACAGTGTTAATCCGCCTAGTTCTTCTTTTCCCAAATTGTTTTGTCTAGTATGGTTCCTTTTCATTTCCACATTAATCTTAGAGTCAGCTTGTCAATTTCTATAAAATGTCTGCTAGGGTTTTGATTGTGATTCCATTGAATCCATAATTTGGAGATAATTGGCATATTAATAATAATGAGTCTTTTAATCCATAAACATGGTCTATCTCTCCATTTATATAGGTCCTTAATTTCTTTTGGCAATGTATTATAGTTTATAGTGTACACATCTTTCACATTTTATGTCAGATTTATCCCTATGTATTTCATATTTTTATGTTATTCAAAGTATTTTTAAAATTTCAACTTGTGATTGTTCTTTGCTAGTCTGTAGAAATACAGTTGATTTTTTATTGATATTTTATCCTAAAACCTTAGCTAAAATCAATTATTACTTCTAACTTTTTTGTGTTTCTATTAGATTTTCTAGATAGATAGTCATGTTGGCTATATATAAAGACAGTTTTATTTCTTCCATTCTGGATGCATTTTTTTCATGTCTGATTATATGTTCCAGTATCTCCAGCACAAGGTTGAATACAAGTGGTGAGAGCAGACATCCTTGTCTTAGTCCTGATCACAGAGGAAATGCATTCAGTCTTTTATCATGAAGTAAGTTTTTAGCTATAGATTTTTCATAGATGCTGTATTATTCAGGAGTCTCCAGAGGAACAGAACTAATAGGAGAGATGTGTATATGAAAGGGAATTTATTAAGGAGTATTGACTCACATGATCACAAGGTGAAATCCCATGATAGGCCGTCTACAAGCTGACGAGCAAGAAAGCCCAGTCCAAGCCCCAAAACCTCAAAAATAGGGAAGCCAACAGTGCCGCCTTCAGTCTGTGGCCGAAGGCCTGAGAGCCCTTAGCAAACCACTGGCATCAAGCCTGAGACTCCAAAAGCTGAAAAACATGCACTCCGATGTTTGAGGGCAGGAAGCATCCAGCACAGGAGAAAGATGAAAGCCGGAAGGCTCAGCAAGTCTAGTTCTTCCATGTTCTTCTGCCTGCTTTATTCTAGCTGTGCTGGCAGCTGATTAGATTGTGGCCACCCAGAATGAGGGTGGGTCTGCCTCTCCCAGTCTACTGACTCAAATGTTAATCTCCTTTGGCAACACCCTCACAGACACACCCAGGAACACTACTTCGCATCCTTCAAGCTAGTCAAGTTAATACTCAGTATTAACCATCACAGATGCCCTTTATCAGTTTGAGGAAATGCTTTTCTATGCTTAGTTTGCTGAAAGTTTTTATTTAATAATACATGTTAGATTTTTGTTACCTGCTTTTTCTGTGTCTTTTGAGATGATCATGTGATTTATCTCTTTGCTAACATGGAGAATTGTACTGATTTATTTTCAGTGTAAAATCATCCTGAATTCCTAGGAAGTAAAATCCCAATTTATCATGATATTGTATTCTTTTTATAGATTTTGAATTCAGCTTGCTAAAATTTTAATTTTTTTCTTCTATATTCATGAAGAATCTTGGCCTATAGTTTGCTTTTTTGTTAACATCTTAGTAAGGTTTTTGTGCCATGGTAATTCTGGTCTCTTACAAATATTCCCTGCCTCATAAGTTCTCTGGGATAGTTTGTATAGAATTGGTATTATTTCTTCATTAAATGTTTGGCAGAATTCACTGGCAAAGCTATCTGGGTCTCAAATCTCCTTTGTGGGAAGATTTCTAACTACAAATTGAAAATTTTTACATTTATTTTTATTTGTACATTTATTTATTTTCTGAGATGGAGTGTCTCTCTGTCACCTAGGCTGGAGCCCAGTGGTGCGATCTCAGCTCACTGCAACCTCTGTCTCCTGGGTTCAAGCAATTCTTCTGCCCCAGTCTCCCTTGCAGCTGGGATTACAGGTGTGTGCCACCATGCCCAGCTAATTTGTTTGAATTTTTAATAGAGACAGGGTTTTGCCATGTTAGTCAGGCTGGTCTTGAACTTCTGACCTCAGATGATCCACCTGTCTCAGCCTCCCAGTGTGTTGGGATTACAGGCGTGAGCCACCGTGCACACCCTATATTGATTTTTTTTTTTAAATATAAGGCTATTATCTGTTTCTTTGTGACTGAGCTTTGATATTTTATATGTTTTAGGACATTTGTTAATTTCATTTCCATTGTAAAATTTATGGGCATAAAATTTTACAAGTGATATTCCCTTTTTATACTTTTTAATATCTTAGAAACCACTGATACCCATTCTCTCATTCCTAATGTGAAAAATTTTGATCTCTCCTTTTTCCTAATCAATCTATCTTGAGATTTATCCATTTTCTTTTGCTTTGTTTTTTTTTTTTTTTCCTCTCTGAGATGGAGATTCAGTCTTGTTGCCCAGGCTGCAGTGCAATGGGTTGATCTCGGCTCAATGGGGCAACCTCCGCCTCCTGGGTTCAGGCAATTCTCCTGCGTCAACATCCTGAGTAGTTGGGATTACAGGTGTGCACCACCAAGCCCAGCTAATTTTTGCATTTTTCAGTAGAGATGGTGTCTCACCATATTGGTCAGGCTCATTTAGAACTCCTGACCTCAGGTGATCCACCTGCCCTGGCCTTCCAAAGTGTTGGGATTTCAGGCATGAGCCAGTGTGCCCAACTCCATTTTATTTTTCTTGTCAAGAAACCAACTTTGTTTTTGTTGATTTTCTCTATTTTTGTCTTCTATTTTATTGATTTCTCTTTTGATCTTTATTATTTCCTACTGTCTGCTTCCTTTGAGTTTAATGTGCACTCTTGTTTTTATTATTTATTTCTTGTGATGGATCCTGAGGTCATTGCCTTGAATCATTTTTTTTTTTTTTTGTAAAATAGGTATTTGGTGTTATACAGTTCCATTAGTATTAGTATTAGATGCCAAACATTAGTGGCATCCTACAAATTCTTATATACTGTATTTTCATTTTCACTCACCTCAGAATATTTTGTAATTTCCCTTTTGATTTCTTCTTTGAACTGTGAGTTATTTAGAAGCATGTTATTTAGTTTCTAGATATTTGGGTATTTTTCAGTTATCCCTCTTCTATTGATTTCTAATTTAATTTCACTGTGGTCAAAGAACATATTTGTATGACTTGAATCTTTTTACGTATATTGAGAATGGTTTTATGGCTCAGAATGTAGTTGGTCTTTGTAAATGGCCCATGTGTACTTGAAAATAATATATATTCTGCTGCCATTGGATGGAGTGTTGTAAAAATGTCAATTAGGAGTTGTTTGATAGTATTGTTCAAATCTGTTATATCCTTGCTGATTTTCTGTCCACTTGTTCTATTAATTATCGAGAAAGGATTATTGAAATTCCCAGCTACAATTATGGATGTGTTTATTTCTCCTTACAATCTATTAGTTTTTGCCTCATGTATTTGAAGCACTGTTATGAAGTACCTAAACCCTTAGGATTGTCACATTTTCATTAACTGACCAATTTGTCATGCTGAAATGACTCTCTGCCTACGGTAACATTTTTCACTCTAAGATTTACTTCTTTTAGTATATTAATATAGCCTCTGTCGAGGGCTCAGCTGGAGAGAGAGCTGAGCTGCCAGGTTTTAACGTGGTCAGTTAAGAAAACGGCCAAACTTAAAAAGAAAAAAAAAAAAGAAACCATCAAGACTTTATTCACTTATGCAACAGTATAAGCAAGAAGCAAAAAAGGAAGAAGTGCCAGCTCCCAGAATGTTCCATGTTTTCCCCCATGGAGCAGCTCAGAGGAGGGGAGTTTGGGGTATGGGGATGATCATCTCCCTGCTTAGCGAGACGGACTGCCGAACATGAGCCTCCTGCTATTTCGCTGTTGCTGGGAATTTATGGACCCTGTGGTGAAGGGTGGGAGTTTGGGGAAGGCTAGGAGTGGAAGATACTTAATACTGAGGACCGCGGAGGCGGAGGTTGTTGCAGTGAGCCGAGATCGCGCCACTGCACTCCATCCTAAGCGACAGCATGAGACTCAGTCTCAAAAAAAAAAAAAAAAAAAAAAAAAAGAAGAAGAAGAGGAGGAGGAGGAGGGAGGGGGAGGAGGAGGAGGAGGAGAATGAGAAGAAAAGAAAAAAGAAGAAGAAGAAGAGGAAGAAGGGGAAGAAGAAGAGAAGGAAGCAGAAGAGGAAGAAGAAGAAGGAGAAGAGGAAGAAGAAGAAGAAGCAGAAGAAGAAGAAGAGGAGGAAGAAGAAGAAGAAGAGAGAAAAGCATGTTTTTCAGGTTACCCTCAAGAAGTTGGTGTCTAGTAGAGGCAGCCAAGAAAGACCTCTGCCAGGACCCTCCTGATCCGGGGACCTCTGCATGGACGTATCTGGGCTGGGAATGCAGGTATGTGTAAGAACATAAGTGCGGGGGGACGTGAGTCTTTGATACAACTCCCCTAGGGGACTGTGTGCTCTGGTTCTGGTTGTGCACCGAGGCCGGTGGGGAGGACCCATGGAACAAACTTGTGGTAAGGCCTTTGTAGTGGCTGAAAACTCACACACAGAGTTGGGTTTTGGCTCTCAGAAAACTGCTCAGCCACTCCAGCTTCCTCTTGGCCAGTGTCAGCAATGGCATACCCTTGTCAAAACTTAGACTATTTGGCCAGGCCCCGTGGCTCATGCCTGTAATGCCGGTACTTTGGGAGGCTGGGGCAGGTGGATCCTGAGCGCAGGAGTTTGAGAACAGCCTGGCCTCAAGAAAAGAAAATTTTTTTTCACTTTTAACCCATTTGTGTCTTTATATTTTAAAGTGCATCTCTTGCAGGCAGCACAAAGTTGTCTTGCATTTTTATCCAATCTGACAGTCTGCCTTTTAATGGGGCTAATTGGACTATTTTTATTTAAACTTTTTATCTGTAATGGCTAACTTTCACTCTATCACATTGGCATTTGTTTCTTATTTGTTCCACCTGTTCTTTGTTCCTTTTTTCCTCCCTCTCTGTCTTATTTTAGATTAATTGGATTAATTTAGATTAACTGGATTGATTTGAATTAGTTGAGTATTTTTATGATCCATTTTTATCTCCTTTATAGACTTATTAGCTTTAACTCTTTGTTTTATTATTTTAGTGGTAGCATACATCTTTTCTTATCACGATATATTTTGAGGGATACTATACCTCTTCATATGTGGTATGATATCCTCAAATGGGTATACTTCTATTTCTCCCCCCACCAGCCTTTATGTTATTGTTTTTGTCTTCCAATTTATATAAGTCATAACCCCTATAATACATGGTTATTATTTATGTTTAAATAGCCAATTATCTCTTATTTGGTAATTTTTATTGTGATAAAATATACATAACATAAAATTTACCATTTTAACTGTTATCAGTGGTGAATCCACACAAGACTGCAGCAACCTCAATTCTTACCTCCTTCAGAAGAAAGAATTCAACCAAAGGGAATAAGGCAGAGGGAGAAACTGAGGCAAGCTTAAGGGAAGGAGTGAAAGTTTATTAAGAAGTTTTAGAGCAAGAATGAAAGGAAGTGAAGTACACTTGGAAGAGGGGCAAGCGGGTGACTTGAGAGATCAAGTGCAAGGTTTGACCGTTGACTTGGGTTTTTATGCTTCTGGGGTGATTGTGCCCTTCTCCCCTGATCCTTCCCTTGGGGTGGCCTGCCAGCACTTAGGAGGGGCCACGTGTGCAGTGTGTTTACTAAAGTTGTATTCAGGCCGCCTTGAAACATTTTTCCCTTACCGGTTGAGTATTCCCTAAGGAAGGTGAGGTACCAGTTAATTCCACCATTTTGCCTCTTAGTGTGCATGCTTGAGTTCACTCACCCAACTCCTGCCATCTAATCAGGAAGCTGCTGATCATCAGTTTCAGGTGTTTTCTATCTATTGGGAGACTGCGTTTCCCTGGCGCTGGCTGCAACCAATTATTATTTTAGAGACAGTTTAACAACCACCTCACTATCACCTTATGGTCGCCTGACATTCCTGGTGAAGAGGGCCCTCTCCTTCCCTGCTCATGTCTGCCTAACTACCTATGGTAACAAAAGCTTTTTTTTTTTTTTTTTTTTTGAGGCAAGGTCTTGCTCTGTCACCCCAGGTGTCGTGCAGTGGGGCAATCATGGTTCACTGCAACCTCAACCTCCAGGGCTCAATTGATCCTCCCACCTTAGCCTCCTGAGTAGCCAGGACTACGGGTGTGTGCCACCACACCTGGCTAATTTCTGTATTTTTTGTAGAGACAGGATTTGCCTTGTTGCTTAGGCTGGTCTTGAATTCCTGGGGTCAAGCTATCTGTTGGTCTCTGCCTCCCAAAGTGTTGGGATTATAGGTGTGAACCACTGTGCCTAGACCCCCAAATTATCTTTTTTTCAGAGACAGTGTGATAGTTCTCAAACTATCACCTAACATTCCTGGTAGGAGAGGAAAGATCTCTCTCTTGCCCCAGTCATGCCTGTCTAACTACGTGTAACTAGTTAGCTCAGCTTACTGTTATAATTTTTCTCACTGATAGAATTTTTGCAAAGACACTTTCAATACTACCAAAATAAATAGTAATCAACCACTTGGAAAGCATTTAGAAGTAACTGAAGTCCCTACTTACACCAAATGAGGAAAAGCCAAACTACACTGTGGGACACACTGTAAGTCCCTGCATCAGTCAGCTGTTGCTGTGCAAACACCTCCTCAAGACTCGGCAGGATAAAGCAATGACCATTTATAATTGCTCACATGTCTGCAGGTCAGCTGCTTTTTGGCTGACCGAGGCAGGGCTTAGCTAGGCTGGCTCTGCAGCGTGTGTCTCTCATTCTCCTCCTGTGGCAAACAATGGCAGATGACAATGGCAAATGTGGAAAGCCTTTAAAGAAGAAATCTCATAAGGAGTTCCCTGTCACTCCCATTCATCTCAGTCTTTCAGCCAAAGCAAGTGATATGGCCAAACCCCATATCAAGGGGTGGGGAAATATAATTTGCTTATTTATTAGGAGCAAAGTCACATGGTGGTCATTGCAGAATGGGTTGAATGACATAACCTATCATCAGCCCTGAAGAAACTCATCATTCATTTCCTTCCTCAAGACTCCCCTCATCCGGGCATCTCCAGATCTTACTCTTTCCCACACTCTGTATCAAACAGTCCACTCACACTAGCTACCCTGCTTCCTTTGGCACCCTCTTTCCACTAGATAACCTGTTCACTCAGCATTTCTATTTTCATTTGCATCTCCACCCTTTGCCCATTACCCCAGCAGCTCACAGAGGACCCTGACAGAATAGGCAAAACCCAGAAGTTGGGTGGGTAGATAATGTGTGAAAGCTCACACGGTTCTGACGCCTCCTTGACGCAGCACATTACTAGCGAATGACATGTATAGGGCCTGGGGTGTTTGCAGAACCAAATCAGGTGTGGAGGAAATTATATGTAAATACCTCCATGGGTGTGTGATTGTATCATACCTCACCATAACAAAGCTCAAATGACATTTCATTTCCAAATGTGGCTAGGTTTCCCTGTGTTATATGTCGTTGAAAGCCAGTATAAATAAATATCTGTGAAAGTCCTAGCTGACTGCCTGCTTTGTTTCTGCCACTAAACTGTAAGCTCCTCATGAACAGAGTGTTTCTGTACAATTCACTAGCTGTCTCTATCTTTACCTCACAGCCAATCCACAAATGAACGCTGTCAGCCTTGCCCCCCATCATATCCCAACCATCCATGTCTGGCTACTCCATTGCTAGTCCAACCGAAGCCCCTTGCATCTCATGCCTGGGTTATTTCACAGCCTTCTAGGCTGGTAACTCCCGCTGCTACTGTGCCTGGCTCCAGTCTATTCTGTACATGGTGAAGAGGATCCTTTGAAAAATGGATAAAATGAGTAGCAAATTGTGTTTCTCCTGCACTCAGAATCCTCCTCTGGCTCCTCACTGTAACCTCTGGCTTCAGTAGTTACGGCAAATATTTAAAAGTCAGCCTGCAGGAAGAACCCTGATTTACTGAGTTTTCCAATGTTAGTAGTATAAATACTCATCATGGCCAATTTTAAGCTGGCTTCTTTCCTTCACTCCGTCCCTCCCTCCTCCCCTTCTCCCCTCCTTCTCTTCTCCCCTCTTTCCTTCATTTCCTCCCTCCCTCCCTCATTTCTTCTGTCCTTCTCTCCTTCCCTTCCTTTCCTTCTCACGTCCTTCTTTCCTTTCTTCCCTCCTCCCGTCCTTTCTTCCCTATTCTCTGCCTCCTACTCTAGAATTGACATTTCATGACAGGCAATCCATGTCTGTCTTAGTTATTGCTTAGAAGTACCTGGCACATAATGGAAGGCTCAGTACATATTTCTTGAACAAATAGTTGACTAATTGAATAGATGATCCTTTCTTAATTCTGTACCAGGATTTAAGAATTATTCAAAGAAGATGTCATTGTTTTAAAATGACCAAGTACTGCTCAGCACTTTCAAGTTCACAAAGCATGCCTCATGCATCATCTCTATGATCTGTACCCGGGTGCCATCCTGAGAAGCTGGGAAAGGCTTTTCTCTTCCTCCTCACTTTACAAATGAGGAAACAAAGACTCAGAGGGATGGAGGTTCCCGCTCAAGGCCAAACAGTAAGTATGTATCCACAAGTCTGACTCTCAGTCTGGCAGTCTTCTCAGTGGTCTCCAGGAACTGTTTAGCTCTTGGGGGGATCTCATAAGGGAAGCCTGGAGGCTTCAGGGAGAGCTGTCCCAAGGAAGAGGAGAGAAACACATGGTGGCGAGGAAGGAGGATTGACGACCAGGGAAGGCCTTACGTAGGCCTCTACCAGGCTGAGCCTCTGGTGTCAGGCCAGTAACATAGTAATTCAGGTCCCCAATCCTGATTCTGTCTCTAGATTCCCACTAACCTCCCCACAGACATGGAGCATTGAGCCCCCCTTCCCCACTTATAGAGTACCCCAGATAGCATAGGCTCCACACCTAGCACCCACCTTCTTGCAAGTCTATAGCAATGAGCAGCAGAGCGCCAGCTGAGATCCACAAGCTGAACCTGGTCCCCAGGGATAATTTCTTTAGCCCCTGTAGTGTTTAAAAAATTGGGCCAGCATTTACAAGCAGGATATCCCAAGTGGTTGGTTGATTTTGGTAAACAGAAAGATCTTGCCACACATCCTGGCCATTCTGGGCTGACAGCAGTCATCCACCTGAGACCAGATAAGTGTTGTCCTGTTCAATGCAGCCACTCAAACCAGTTCAATGCAGTCCAGTTCAATGCAGTTTCCTATCACCTCTCCAACTTCCAGGGCAGCCATTGACTGCAGTTTATTTCCATGCTGGAAGTTTTACTTGTGTCAAAAAACATACCTCTGAAACCGAAACTTATACCAAAAGAAGAAAAAATATGTAGGGCTTCATGATTTTACTACATGGACTGACAGAACCCTGAGTTTACGAGCTTTGGGCTATGCCTCAGTTTAAAATACATGCCTGCCTTCCTTCCTTCCTTCCTTCCTTCCTTCCTTCCTTCCTTCCTTCCTTCCTTCCTTCCTTCCTTCCTTCCTTCTTTCCTTCCTTCTTCCCTTCTCTTCCTTCCTCCCTCCATCCCTCCCTTCCTTCCTTTGTTCCCTCCTTCCTTCCTTCCTTCTTTCCTTCCTTTCTCTCCTTCCTTCCTCCTTCTCTCTTCTCTTTTTTCTTTTCTTCCGTGAAAGAGTCTCTCTGTTACCCAGGTATGGTGTATAATACATGCTAACACCACCACACCCAGCTAATTTTTTAATTTCTATTTTGAAGAAATGAGATCTTGCCATCTTGCCCAGGCTGGTCTCTAACTCCTGGCCTCAAGTGATCCTCCTGCTTCAGCCTCCTAAAGCATTGGGATTGCAGGCATGAGCCACCTAGCCCAGTTAAGTACACCTTTTCCTAGTTCTGTCAACAATCTCACAAAGCTGGCATCCAGAACCCTCCTTTAGGTGAGGATCCTTGAGTTAAGAGGCGTTGAGGGACTTGGCCAAGGTTAAATAACTAGAAGTAGACACAGAATGTGAAGATAACATCTCATCCAGCGCAGGCATCCCCATAAATTGCATTCCCACCCACACACCACCAGTGTGTTCATTGTGACAGGATGTGTGACCTGACACAACAGCCCTTGTGTAATCTGACACATTCCCATTAGGTAGCGACATAAACCAACAAAGCTTTCCAGGACAATGCCTTTGTGGAAATTGGTTTTCTTGCATTACTAGGGATTTTAAGGCACAACAGGTTTTCCCCTCTTTCTGTCTCTCAAAAAAAAAAAAAAAAAAAAAAAGTCCTTTCAATACCCAATATTGCATGGCTTTCATGCCAGGCATAAAATGAAATTTGCCATAATCCATTGCCTAGGGAGAAAGTCGTATGTGTGTGTCACAACTGACATCTGTTAAATTAAATAAGCAAGCAATAAGAAGGTCTGAAATATGTTCTTTGTTCAGGAATTCGTGCAGACACTGATCAGCTGCTCTGTACAATTGAGAAGAGAACAAGTGCCTTTTCTTCCCCCAACATGTGCCACTGAAAGCCTCCAAGGAGGACAAAAGCAGAGGATGGATGAACTTGCACACCGTGAAGTTAACACTTCTGTTTGAAGTTCAAGCAAATTGGCTGAGCACAGCAGGAATGACCACATTGCCAGCTCCATCATACCTGCTCCCTCCCCAGGGCTGAACAGGAGCTCAGGCTAGTCCTTCCTTACCTGCTACTTCTTTTGCAAAGTGTAGGAAGGTGTGAGGCTTCATCCAGACTGCCTGATCAGTTTTGACCATCAGCATGTTATTATGGTGGATCTATTCTTAAAATACAGTTGTTCTTTTGTTTTCCTCACTGGCAAGGAATTTTGAACCAATAGCTCCAGAGTTAGCCCTTGTAATTTATTAATCAAGCTTCATTATTAATATGAGAATGAGAACAGATGTAATTCCAATGTGCAGCTGGAATATCAGCCAAGATGTGGTCCTTATAGAGATATACTAGGATCATCAAACGAGAAAGAGAAGCTTTGCCTATGCAACCAATTATAATTGTGGGATGGTGTATTTTGGGTATTGGAATTTTTTTGATAAACATGAGGATAGGCAGAAAGCCCTTCAGTTTCAATCCTTTGTTTTGTCCTTTCCCTCATCCCTAGAAATAGGTTATGTATCTATGACAATAACAGTGAGTGCCTCCCAAAAAACCACACACGTTTTCAAACCTCCCCTGCAGTTGAATTGAACCATGTGGATGGGTTCTGATAAATGGGAAAATATTTACTTATATTTTCTTTGAGTTCTATTGCGGTTTTATTTTTGTGTTTAATCCACGTGGAATTTATTTTAGTATATTAGTTTCAAGGCAGTTGTTCCCGGACTATTTAATTAATCTTTCCTTTTCCTACCGATTGCAAATACCAATCAGTATATGACAAATTCTGATTTCTGGTTCGGTAATCAATTTTCTCATTCCTATGTTGGTATCAAATTCCTAAATTATAGTAATTTTAAAATATATCTTACTATCTAGTAAGAGCTATCCCCTTTAATTTTTTAAATGGGGTCTCACTGTGTTGTCCAGGCTGGTCTTAAACTTCTGGGCTCAAGCAACCTTTCTATCTCAGCTCAGGCTCCAGAGTAGCTGGGACTACAGGCTCATACCACCACACCTGGCTCCTTTAAAAAAATTAATTCAGTTGCTTTTACAAATGTATTCTTTGAGTAGAATTTAAAAATCAGTTTGCTAAGTTAAAAAATTAAAGATTGATTAAATTCACAGGGTGACTGGGAAATAATTGATATCTTGTCAGGCCTGAGCCTGCTCATTCACGTGTGTGATGTTTCCCTTCATTTCATGTCTTCTTCCGTGTCCTTAGGCCGTTTTGTATTTCTTCTGTGTTTGATTCTGAGTATTCTGTGATTTTGGTTGCTTTTGTAAATGGGATATTTTTCTCATTTCCCATCATTTTTTCTAATTTATTATGGCTGAATGTTATTCGACTGTATGTATATATCACAATTTATTTATCCATTCATCCATCAATGGACATGTGGTTTGCTTCCACCTTTTGGCTGCTGTGCTGCTATCAACATGTGTATGCATGTACTTGCATCCCTGTTTTCAATTCTTTTGGGTACAGACGCCTGGGAGTGGAATTGCAGGGTCCTGTGATAATTCTGTGTTGAGTCATCTGAGGAACCACCAACTGTTTCCTGCAGTGGCTGAACCATATTACATTCCCACCAGCAATATACAAATTCCAGTTTCTCCACATCCTCACCAATACTTGCTGTTTTCTGTTTTCTTTTTAAAAAGTCATTACCATCCTAATGGGTGTACAGTGGTGCCTCCTTTTTATTTGCATTTCCCTAATGATGAATGATGCTGAGAATGTTTTCATGTGTTTGTGGGCCATGGCCTCTCTTCTTTGGAGAAATATCCACTCAAGTCCTTTTTCCACTGTTTAAGGGATGGTTTGTGTTTTTGTTGTTAGTTTCCTAACTTTCTGACAGGAAAACATTAACCGAAAGTTGCTGTGTTACATAGGATACTTTCAAAAGCAACAACTAGAAGATGCAACTCAAAATGGCTTAAATGATGAAAGAATGTTAAATGTTTGAGTGATCAGGTATGGTTCTAGCACTGTCCACGTATTAATTCATTTAATTCTAACAAGAATACTACAGGGTAGGTACACAAATCAGAAATATGAGGCACAGAGAAGTCCAAAGTCACACAGCTGGTAAGTGGTAAAGTTGGAATTTGAACCTAGGAAGTCTGACTCCATAGTCTCATCTGTGAGTGACCAGGTAATAAGTCTACAGGGAGGCAGTACTGGCACTGATTGGTTTAGCACATCAACCTAATACGGAGTCTAGATTTGTCAATGTTCCTATTCTGTTACCCTAAGCATGTTGCCTTTGCCTCAGGGTCCTCCCCTCATGGTTGCAAAATGGCCGCAACAGCTCCAAGCATCACATTATCTCCCAGCAACATCCAAATGACAGAAACAGAAAGTCTCTTTGGTTTCTTCTTTTTTAAAAGTAAGGAAAACTCTTCTAGAAGTACCTCTAGCAGACTTCTCATTGATCAGAATTGTGGCACATGCCCCATCGTAAACCAATCACTAACAAGGGACACAGAACTACAATTTTGGACACAGACTAATCAAGGTTGACACCTTGAAACTTCAATGGGGTCCAGATTCTAAAAACTATCTGCTGCTCAGTTCCTGAACAGAAATCATTTTCTGTTAACAAAGAAGAAGGAGGTAATCACTGTTGAGTTGGTGACCAACAGCTGCTGCCACAAGCTGTCATTTACTTCTGTTAGCCTCAAGGTTAGTGATATCTTCTCTGTGGGCTGGTGACTTCTCACCCTTGATTTCTCCTAGGCCATGTGTCTGATATCTTCTAGGCCACAGATGCAACACGTACATGAAAACCTGAATCCCCACCACACATTTGTTTGCAAAACTCTGTTTGCCGTTTCTCTCTACTTCTGACAGCTACCCCTACAGATCACAGGGGCATGCATCTCTTTAGGGTGACCTTTGCATGTTTATGCTAATTGCAGATTAAATCTGTAAGCCCTAACACTCATAATCTCCTAGCTTCCCTCTGTAAAAAGTCCCCCTTAGTGATACTTAATTTCACATGCTTGCCAAATCTTAAATCCAAAAGCAGAAGTCGATTTACCTCTGTACTGAAATTAAAGCTATACAAAGTTTTTGGCTTTGGGGGCACACTTCACTGTTCTCAATGGCCCTTTGTAGGTCAGATTTAAGTTAAGAGTCTCCCTGACATTTCAAAATGTCATCAAATGATCCTGGCTAAAAAGAAATGAAGACGCTTTCTTCCACATTTATGCAAGTCACAGGAAATCTTTCTAAGTGGACAAAGTGAAATAATCTTGGGACAAACATTTTATTCCATGTTTATACAATGAATACACTGCACTGAGCATCAGTGAATTTTTCTGCACATGGCTCCTAATCCAATTTTAATGTATTTCTGGTCACAAAAACAAAAACAAACACACTTAACCTTCAAAAGGGAAGATGAATGACACTGACTTCAGGTTTTTCACAAATATCTGTAAATAGCAGAACAACACAATCTACGTGATGATCTTTCTGCTATTGCTGGATGAGTCAGGTTCTCCCTTCCCATTTACTCTGGAGCTTATGTGAGATGGCTGTGATTTAACCAGAGGAAGCTCAAGTCATAGGGCTTTGTGGTAGTGAGTTTTTCCTCAAAGAAAGGTAGTAAGTTTCCCATAATAGCAAGGATTCAAGCAGAGGGTAGACGACCTTTCAGGATTGTGCATAGTAGAGGTTGAACTTAGAGAACTTATTGAAGGTCTCTTATTGAAGGTCTCTTTCAAAAGGTCCTAAGATAAGTCAGGAAAACAATCCTTATACACCTGTGGTGTTTTACGAATCAGAAAACCCTTAGACACATGCTTTGTCTCATTTAAGTATCAAAACAACCCTATGAGGTAGGTGGGTTGATTATTCTTGTTTTACAGATGATGAAATTGAGGTTCCGGTAGAGGTTAAGCAACTTATCTAGGGTCACACATTTAGGAAGTGAGGTCCTAGGACCTCCAGGTCAGAGATATCTCCATCCTCAGGACAAGGCAGAGAGGAGGCAGGCCCATTCTGCATGGCTGGAGCATTGCTAGGCGGGTGGCTACACTGCTGGGCACAGAGAAGTGGCTGTGGCTGCTCCGGCCTTTCTCTTTCTCCTATACCCTAAGGCTGGTCATCAACAAAGCTCTCTGTCCTCAAGGACCCCTATGTATTCTTTCTCAGCTGCTGCAGGTTGGAGCTGACCTGCCTCCCAAAAGGCAAGTGTGTGAAGCCTGTGATTTACACTTGCTTGGTGTTTCAACCCATGCCCCGAATACACCCTTTTTAAAAGGACCACCGCAGAAACACCTCCAAAGCAGGGGGCTATCAGGCGGGTTCTCTCTCAGCCCACAGTTTTGGCAAGGGAGAAGGGGAACACTTCTGCTCAGTAGGGTCATTCCAGTCATTCCGTACAGGCTACTCCACCTAGTCTGAATTGTGTGAGAACACAAAAGAAAATGCCACTGCTTCGTGGGGAAAGAATGTTGGTGGAGGGGACAGGATGTTCCGTTGCAATCTCCTCATAGTCCCCAGGCTCTGACATAGATGGGAGCACAGAGTTGCTTGTGTGAGGGCCTGGGAGCTGAGCTTTCTTCCACGTAGTTCTCCCAATCACATTGTGCCCTTTTCTGGTAATTGAGTGGGAAACGAATCCACCCAAGAATCTGGGCTGTCCCACAAAAGGAAGGTAAATATCCCAAAGAAAAAAATTATTGCCAATTACAGAGACCATGTGTTCACAGGAATAAACAGGAATACAGCTGAGCGGAAAAATGGGCGTATCACCACACATTCCATCTGAGCAGGCAAGAGCCGGGCCAGAAACGAGTTTCGTATCTTTTTTCATTTGGGTCAGCCAGGAGGGGTATGTATGAAAGGGAATAAAGTATACACAGATAGCTTCAAAAATAATATCTCTAAGCTTTTAGAAAGCCAGCCAGTCTTGCTACTCCTAATGCAACAGGAAGTTGTTGCATTTGCATTGAATCCAGAAGATTTTTCTCTCTCTGCTTGACTGTATTTGACCATACAGGATGAGCCTTGGGCCTGCTGGCAGTATGTTTTCTAACTCTGAGGGCCTGAGGAAACTGATGTTTGGAGAGAGGTCAGTGGCTTGCCCAGGGTTACACAGCTTGGAAATGAGAGGTCAGGACTTTCCCTGTCAGGTGCATCCCACACACCTGGACAAGACCCAGGCATGAGAGGAGCCAGACACCCACTGCACACCAAGGTGATGCGCGGGTCCTGATTTCCTCACTATTTTCACCCCAAGGGCTTTCTCCCATTGGAGCTACACTGGGAGGTATCTGCTGTCTAAAAGGAGGGATGCTGGGGAATATGAAGAGAAACTCATGTTTTCTGTTTCCACACCAAAGGTTTGAGATGCAGGAGCTTAAAACCCTGACCCTTACAGTTCAGGTACTAAGTTGATGCCAGAAGCATTTGACTTGGAAGAGTAAATAAAGTTGGAAGAACTGGTTCTTCTCACTCCAGAGAGCGGGAGAGAACAGAGACTAGGGACCACGAGAGTTTGGCTGTTGGTAAATGTCACTGAGAAAAGGGACTGTGCCTCATTCCTGTCACAGACCTTTCATAGCAGCACCCAAGGGAGATGTGGGAATTGCTGAGATGATTCACTCCAGCCTCAGAAAGCCCTGGCTGATGGGGCTAAGGCAGATGAGGTCTTCGTGGACCAGTGATGGAGAGCATAGGAGAGCAAGGACATCTCGGAGGCACAACAGAGTGGGTGGTGATGGAAACCAGGTGGCCCCTGGGATCATGACTGTCACAAACCCTGGGAGTGATGGAGACAAATTATCATCTGGGCCATATGTAGTTGCAATTTTTATAGTTTAGAAATGATCAAATAGCAGCAATTTCATATTGTTTTGTGTAACATCATGGGAAAGCCTGAACTGCCTGCTATTTCATTTCTACCATGCAGTAGAATAAGAGTTTGAAGTGGAACCAAATTCAGTCTTAGTCAAAGACAATCAGGCTTCTCACCCATCTGCATAGAGGCTATGTGTAGCACTAACCACACTGAAATGCCTCGACACTACCTCGCCACCAAGCAGTTCTTCAGGTGCCTGATGGTTCAGATCTCCTTCCCCAGGAGGATCCTGGGATGTCTTCATAACATTCGACTCTAATTTGAACGGATTCTCCTCCACACCCTGCTGTTTAAGATTTACACATAGTTTCCAGTATTCAGATGGGACGTGCTTGGGAGCTGGGGAAAACTTGTTCTTTCCTCACAATTCAATCCAGTTTTCAGTCTTACCTATGTCACATGCCTGTGAGCACAGGATGAGAGGAATATAGGTAATTTCAGAAAACATGCAGGAGCCTACCATCATCACCTTTACTTTTTAAATGGGTTTGGTTTTGCTTCATGTTGGGAAGCTTGGTTCCTCCTGGCTGAGGAATGGTAGCCAGGAAACTGCTGGTCAAATCATCAGCCCTTTGTCCTCCTGGCATGACACAGGAGCCTGTAAAGGACAGAGGAAGTGACTGCTAGGCAGGTTAGAAGGCATTACTCCTCCAGCACAGCCATATCTAGACATAGCATGGTGACTTGTATGCCATGGTTCTCAAATTGTTGCTGAGGCTCTCTGAGGTGCCTCAGTGAACACATCAGAACACTGCAAGGTAGTTTAGACTTTTGAAGGAAACTCATTAACATCCGTCAGATACTGTGCAAAAACACTGGTTTTGATGGTTTTGCACAGTATCTGAGTTTCAGACAGTTGCTATGATAAAAAAGACGCATTGTGAAAAAAATCAACGTGAAATAGGAAATGAGAATGGCAGTATCCAATCTGAGTCCAAGGTCTGAGTAATTGTTCAGTGCCCAACAGGCACACACCTCACATTATTAAGAAATTGTGGCTGGGCACGGTGGCTCCTGCCTGTAATCCCAGCGCTTTCGGAGGCCGAGGTGGGCGGATCATGAGGTCAGGAGATTGAGACCATCCTGGCTAACACGGTGAAACCCCGTCTCCACTAAAAATACAAAAAAAAAAGAAAAAACAGCCAGGCATGGTGGCCGGCGCCTGTGATCCCAGCTACTCGGGAGGCTGACGCAGGACAATGGTGTGAACCCGGGAGGCGGAGATTGCAGTGAGCCGAGATTGGCCCACTGCACTCCGGCCTGGGCAACAGAGTGAGACTCCGTCTCAAAAAAAAAAAAAAAAAAAAAAAAAAAATTGTGATCATTTGAAAATAAAGTAAATGTATTTTTACTTCAGTCTGTCTGTATTATTTTTTCCTGAAGTGGCCACTGTGTTTTCAGGACATAAATAATTGGTAAATTATTTGGGCCTGACTAATTCATAAACAAATTTTGGGGTATTTATTTTGACCTGTATGTGCCATGAAAAAATTATAGAGATACTAGGGGAGCTGTGAACTGGAAAAACTTGAGAATCTCTGTCTTAGTGAGAGGTGACAGCGTGCTGGCAGCCCTCGCTTGCTCGCGGTGCCTCCCCGGCCCCAGTGCTCATTCTGGCTGCACTTGAGGAGCCCTTCAGCCTGCCGCTGCACCATGGGAGCTCTTCTCTGGGCTGGCCGAGGCTGGAGGCGGCTCCCTCCGCTTGTGGGAGGTATGGAGGGGGAGGCACGGCGGGGGGATCCGGGGCTGCTCCCGGCGCTTGCGGGCCCGCTTGAGTTCCGGGTGGGTGTGGGCTTGGCAGGCCCGCACTCGGAGCAGCCAGCCAGACGGCCCTGCTGTACCCAGGCAGTGAGGTGCTTAGCACCCAGGCCAGCAGCTGTGAGGGTGCACCGGGTCCCCCAGCACGGCTGGCCCACTGGTGCTGCCCTCGATTTCTCGCCGGGCCTTAGCTGCCTCCCCGTGCGGTAGGGCTCCAGACGTGCAGCCCCCCATGCCTGAGGCTCCACACCCGTACCGCCGCCCGCCCTCCGCCGCTGTCCTCACAAAACCGCCCCCCCCAACCGCTCCCACCCACCCAATCCCTCCTGCCACCCCCCTCAGTCCCCGCCATCACCCCCCCTCCCCACCATGGGTTCCTGCCTGGCCTGAGCCTCCCCAGTGAGCACCGCCCCCTGTTCAAGGGCACCCGGTCCCATTGACCACTCAAGGGCTGAGGAGTGTGGGTGCATGGTGAGGGACTGGTGGGCAGCTCCACCTGCCTCCCGGTGTGAAATCCACTGGGTGAGGCCAGCTGGGCTCCTGAATCTAGTGGGGACTTGGAGAACCTTTGTGTCTAGCTAAGGGATTGTGAGTGCACCAATGAGCACTCTGTGTCTAGCTCAAGGTTTGTGAACACACCAGTCAGCACCCTTTGTCTAGCTCAGGGTTTGTGGATGCACCAACCGACACTCTGTATCTAGCTAATCTGGTGGGGACTTGGAGCATCTTTATGTCCAGCTAAGGGATTGTGACTGCACCAGTCCACACTCTGTGTCTAGCTCAAGGTTTGTAAATGCACCAAATCAGAGCTCTGTATCTAGCTAATCTGGTGGGGACTTGGAAAATCTTTATGTCTAGCTAAGGGATTGTGAATGCACCAGTCGGCACTCTGTATCTAGCTCAAGGTTTGTAAATGCACCAATCAGCACTCTGTGTCTAGCTCAGGGTTTGTAAATACACCAATCGACACTCTGTATCTAGCTAATCTAGTGGGGAGGTGGAGAACATTTGCGTCTAGCTCAGGGATTGTAAATGCACCAATCGGCACCCTGTCAAAACAGACCAATCAGCTCTCTGTAAAACAGACCAATTGGCTCTCTGTAAAACAGACCAATCGGCTCTCTCTAAAATGGACCAATCAGCAGGATGTGGGTGGGGTCAGATAACAGAATAAAAGCAGGCTGCCTGAGCCCACAGTGGCAACCTGCTCGGGTCCCCTTCCACTCTGTGGAAGCTTTGTTCTTTTGCTCTTTGCAATAAATCTTGCTACTGCTCACTCTTTGGGTCCACACTGCCTTTATGAGCTGTGACACTCACTGCAAAGGTCTGGAGCTTCACTCCTGAAGCCAGCGAGACCATGAACCCACTGGGAGGAACGAACAACTCCAGACGTGCTGCCTTAAGTGCTGTAACACTCACCGCGAAAGTCTGCAGCTTCACTCATCAGCCAGCGAGACCACAAACCCACCAGAAGGAAGAAACTCCAAACACATCCGCACACCAGAAGGGAAAATCTCCGGACATGCTGCCTTTAAGAACTGTAACACTCACCACAAGGGTCCACGGCTTCATTCTTGAAGTCAGTGAGACCAAGAACCCACCAATTCCGGACACATTTTGGTGACCACGAAGGGACTATCGCCAAGCGGTGAGACTGTCGCCTGTCACCAAGCAGTGAGTACCATCAGACCCCTTTCACTTGCTATTCTATCCTATTTTCCTTAGAATTCGGGGGTTAAATATCGGGCACCTGTCGGCCAGCTAAAAGCGACTAGTGTGGCCACCGGACTAAAGACACGGGTGTCAGGCTTTCTGGAAATGGGCTCTCTAACAACCCCCAGCTCTTCGGAGTTGGGAGCGTTGGTTTGCCTAGAACAAGCTTCTGCTTTTCCTGTACTTCTGGGCTCAGCCGAGGGTCAACAGAGAGGAAAGCCATTCAGCTCCGGGGTCCCGACAACACGTTGGTTGACCCTACGGCCATGAGTGGAACTCTCAAAGGCATGTCGCCCAAGCGAGACTCACCCATCTATCTTATCTATCCCTGACCCTTGCCCTCTGTGTCCAAATGCTTGCCACACAAACTTCCTCTTGACTCTCTTCTCTGAGGTTAGTCCTCCTTCTAAAAATTGTTACCTGTCTCTGGTGCTTTTCTAGTTTCTCCTATAAGAATGATTTCTAGTATAAAGTCCAGGACTCTGTTACTTTCTTCAGGCACCTGGGCTCACCAATCAGAAAGACATAACTTTTGCCCAAAGCCCTGTCGTAGTGGGGACTACCTGGAATTTTAGGATCCCTCCTCCGACTAATAGGCCTAACAAAAACTATTCCTGAAGCTAGGATATGGGGAGCCTCAGAAATTGTATCCTTCCTATTCATGTAAGTGAGGACAAAATGTGTCACTCTTCCACCCTGGAGATCCCCTCCCTCCCTCAGGGTATGGCCCTCCACTTCATTTTTGGGGCATAACATCTGTATAGGACAGGGGTAAAGTCCCAACACTAAAAGGTGAATGCTTAGGACTCTAACAGGTTTTTAAGAATGTGTCGGTAAGGGCCACTAAATCCGATTTTTCTCAGTCTGTCCTCTTTGTGGTCTAGGAGGACAGGCAAGGGTGCAGGTTTTTGAGAATGCATCGGTAAGGACCGACCTTCCTCAGTCCTCCATGTGGTCTGGAAGGAAAGCTAGTGTTTCCGCTGCAGCGTCGGTGAGCACAACTATTCTGACCAGCAGGGTCCAGGGACCATTGTGGGTTCCTGGGCAGGGGTTGTTTCTGCTGATGCGTTGGTGAGTGCAACTATTCTGATCAGCAGGGTCCAGGGACCGTTGCGGGTTCTAGGGCAGGGGGAGAAACAAAACAAACCAAAACCGCAGGCGGTTTTGTCTTTCAGATGGGAAACACTCAGGCATCAACAGGCTCACCCTTGAAATGCATGCTAAACCATTGGGACCAATTTAACCCACAAACCCTGAAAAAGAGGTGGCTCATTTTTTTTCTGCACTACGGCTTGGTCCCAATATTCCCTCTTTGATGGGGAAAAATGGCCACGTGAGGGAAGTAGAAATTACAATACTATCCTGCATCCTGACCTTTTCTGTAAGAGGGAAGGCAAATGGAGTGAAATACCTTATGTCCAAGCTTTCTTTTCATTGAGGGAGAATACACAACTATGCAAAGCTTACAATTTACATCCCACAGGAGGACCTCTCAGCTTACCCCCATATCCTAGCCTCCCTATAGCTCCCCTTCCTATGAATGATAATCCTCCTCTAATCTCCCCTGCCCAGAAGGAAATAAGCAAAGAAATCTCCAGAGGACCACAACCCGCCCCCCAGGCAATCGGTTATGTCCCCTTCAAGCTGTAGGGGGCAGAGAACTTGGCCCAACCCAGGTGCATGTCCCCTTCTCCCTCTCTGATTTAAAGCAGATCAAGGCAGACCTGGGGAAGTTTTCAGATGATCCTGATAGGTACGTAGATGTCCTACAGGGTCTAGGGCAAACCTTTGACCTCGCTTGGAGAGATGTCATGCTACTCTTAGATCAAACCCTGGTCTTTAATGAAAAGAATGTGGCTTTAGCTGCAGCCTGAGAGTTTGGAGATACCTGGTATCTTAGTCAGTAAATGATAGAATGACAGCTGAAGAAAGGCACAAATTCCCTACTGGTCAGCAAGCCATCCCCAGTATGGATCCCCACTGGGACCTTGACTCAGATCATGGGGACTGGAGTTGTAAACATCTGTTGACCTGTGTTCTAGAGGGACTACGGAGGATTAGAAAAAAGCCCATGAATTATTCAGTGATGTCCACCATAACACAGGGAAAGGAATAAAATCCTTCTGCCTTCCTCGAGCAGCTACGAGAGGTCTTAAGAATATATACTCCCCTCTCGCCTGAATCCCTCGAGGGTCAATTGATTCTAAAAGATAAATTTATTACCCAATCAGCCACAGCTATCAGGAGAAAGCTCCAAAAGCAAGCCCTGGGCCCTGAACAAAATCTAGAGGCATTATTAAACCTGGCAAACCTCGTCGTTCTATAATAGGGACCAAGAGGAACAGGCCCAAAAGGAAAAGCGAGGTCAGAGAAAGGCTGCAGCCTTAGTCCTGGCCCTGAGATAAACAAACCTTGGTGATTCAGAGAGGACAGAAAATGGAGCAGTCCAATCACCTGGTAGGGCTTGTTATCAGTGTGGCTTACTAGGACACGTTAAAAAAGATTGTCCAATGAGAAACAAGCTGCCCCCTCGTCCATGTCCACTACACTGAGACAATCACTGGAAGGTGCACTGCCCCAGAGGATGAAGTTTTCCTGGGTCAGAAGCCCCCAACCAGATAATCCAACAACAGGACTGAGGGTGCCCCGGGCAAGCACCAGCTCATGCCATCACCCACACTGAGCCCCGGGTATGTTTAACTATTGAGGGCCCGGAAATTGACTTCATCCTGGACACTGGTGCGGCATTCTCAGTGTTAATCTCTGGTCCTGGACGACTGTCCTCAAGGTCCGTTACCATCTGAGGAATCCTGGGACAACCTGTTACCAGGTATTTCTCCCACCTCCTGAGTTGTAATTGGGAGACTTTGGTCTTTTCACATCCCTTTCTTGTTATGCCTGAAAGTCCCACACCCTTATTAGGGAGGGGTATATTAGCCAAGGCTGGAGCTATTATCTACATGAATATGGGGAAGAACTTACCCATTTGTTGTCCCCTACTTGAGGAGGGAATCAACCCTGAAGTCTGGGCATTGGAAGGACAATTTGGAAGGGCAAAAAATGCCCACCCAGTCCAAATCAGTTTAAAAGATCCCACCACTTTTCCTTATCAAAGACTATCCCTTAAGGCCTGAAGCTAATAAAGGGCTACAGAATATTGTTAAACATTTGAAAGCTCAAGGCTCAGTAAGGAAATGCAGCCATCCCTGCAACACCCCAATCCTAGGAGTAGGAAAAGCAAACGGTCAGTGGAGACTAGTGCAAGATCTTAGACTCATCAATGAGGCAGTAATTCCTCTATATCCAGTTGTACCCAACCCCGATACCCTGCTCTCAAATACCAGAGGAAGCAAAATGGTTCATGCTTCTGGACCTCAAGGATGCCTTCTTCTGTATTCCCCTGCACTCTGACTCCCAGTTCCTCTTTGCCTTTGAGGATCCCACAAACCACATGTCCCAACTTAACATGGACGGTCTTGCCCCAAGGGTTTAGGGATAGCCCTCACCTGTTTGATCAGGCACTGGCCCAAGATCTTGGCCACTTCTCAAGTCCAGGCACTCTGGTCCTTTGGTATGTGGATGATTTATTTTGGCTACCAGTTTGGAAGCCTCATGCCAGCAGGCTACTCTAGATCTCTTGAACTTTCTAGCTAATCAAGGGTACAAGGTGTCTAGGTCGAAGGCCCAGCTTTGCCTAGAGCAGGTCAAATATCTAGGCCTAATCTTAGCCAGAGGGACCAGGGCCCTCAGCAAGGAATGAATACAGCCTCTACTGGCTTATCCCCACCCTAAAACATTAAAACAGTTGCGGGGTTCCTTGGAATTACTGGCTTTTGCCGACTGTGGATCCCCAGATGCAACAAGATAGCCAGGCCCCTCTATACTCTAATCAAGGAAACCCAGAAGGCAAATACTCATCTAGTAGAATGGGAACCAGAGGCAGAAACAGCCTTCAAAACCTTAAAGCAGGCCCTAGTAGAAGCTCCAGCTTTAAGCCTTCCCACAGGACAAAACTTCTCTTTATACTTCACAAAGAGAGCTAGGATAGCTCTTGGAGTCATTACTCAGACTCGTGGGACAACCCCACAACCAGGGGCATACCTAGGTAAGGAAATTGATGTAGTAGCAAAAGGCTGCCCTCACTGTTTAAGGGTAGCTGCAGCAGTGGCCGTCTTAGTGTCAGAGGCTATCAAAATAATACAAGGAAAGGATCTCACTGTCTGGACTACTCATGATGTAAATGGCATACTAGGTGCCAAAGGAAGTTTGTGGCTATCAGACAACCACCTACTTAGATACCAGGTGCTACTCCTTGAGGGACTGGCGCTTCAAATACTCATGTGCATGGCCCTCAACCCTGCCACTTTTCTCCCAGAGGATGGGGAACCAATCGAGCATGACTGCCAACAAATTATAGTCCAGACTTTTGCCGCCTGAGATGATCTCTTAGAAGTCCCTTTAACTAATCCTGACCTTAACCTATATACCGACGGAAGTTCATTTATGGAGAATGGGATACGAAGGGCAGGTTATGCCATAGTTAGTGATGTATCCATACTTGAAAGTAAGCCTCTTCCCCCAGGGACCAGTGCCCAGTTAGCAGCACTAGTGGCACTTACCCGAGCCTTAGAACTGGGAAAGGGAAAAAGAATAAATGTGTATACAGATAGCAAATATGCTTATCTAATCCTACATGCCCATGCTGCAATATGGAAAGAGAGGGAGTTCCTAACCTCTGGGGGAACCCCTGTTAAATGCCACAAGGAAATTATAGAATTATTGCATGCAATGCAAAAACACAAGTAGGTGGCACTCTTACACTGCCAAAGCCATCAAAATGGGAAGAAGAGGGGAGAACAGCAGCATGAGTGACTGGCAGAGGTAGGGAAAGACCAGCAAGAAGGAGAGAAAAAGAAAGTCAGAGAAAGAGAGAGAGAGAGGAAGGAACAGAGGGACAAAGAGAAGGAGTCAGAGAGAAAGAGGGACAGACACAGAAAGTCAAAGAGAGAGTTAAAAAGAGAGGAAGAGACAAAGAAGGAGTTGAAGAGAGAAAGAGAGAGAAAGAAATAGTAAAGAAAAAAAAACAGTGTACACTATTCCTTTAAAAGCCAGGGTTAAGTTCTGTCTACCCAGACAAGGCAGATTCTTCTTATGTGGAACAACGACCTGTATCTGCCTCCCCACTAACTTGACAGGCACCTGCACCTTAGTCTAAGTCCCAACATTATCATTGCCGCAGGAAATCAGACCTTATCAGTACCCCTCAAAGCTCAAGTCTGTCAGTGCAGAGCCATACAACTAATACCCCTCCTTAAAGGGTTAGGAATGGCTATGGCTACAGGAACCAGAATATGTGGTTTATCTACTTCATTATCCTACTACCACACACTCTCCAAGGATATCTCAGACAGTTTGCAAGAAATAGCGAAATCTGTTCTTACTTTATAATCCCAAATAGACTCTTTGGCAGCAGTGACTCTCCAAAACTGCCAGGGGGGATTGAGAGGTGACAGCATGCTGACAGCCCTGGCTCACTCTCGGTGCCTCCTCAGCCTCAGCGCCCATTCTGGCCATGCTTGAGGAGCCCTTCAGCCTTCCACTGCACCATGGGAGCCCTTGTGTGGGCTGGCCGAGGCCGGAGCCAGCTCCCTCAGCTTGCGGGGAGGTGTGGAGGGAGAGGCAGGGGTGGGAGCCAGGGCTGCGTGCAGTGCTTGTGGGCCAGCTAGAGTTCTGGGTGGGTGTGGGCTTGCTGATCCCTGCACTTGCAGTGGCCGGCCAGCCCTGCCAGCCCCAGGCAGTGAGGGACTTAGTACCCAGGCCAGCAGCTGCAGAGGGTGTGCCGGGTCCCCCAGCAGTGCTGACCCACCAGCGCTGTGCTGGATTTCTCACCCGGCCTTAGCTGCCTCCCCACGGGGCAGGGCTTGGGACCTGCAGCCCACCATGCCTGAGTCTCCCCCAACCGCCATGGGCTCCTGCATGGCCTGAGCCTCCTGGACGAGCGCCACCCCCTACTCCATGGTGCCTGGTCCCATCGGCCGCCCAAGGGCTGAGGAGTGCAGGCGCACGGTGAGTGACTGGCGGGCAGCTCCACCTGTGGCCCTGGTATAAGATCCACTGGGTGAGGCCAGCTGGGCTCCTGAGTCTAGTGGGGACTTGGAGAACCTCTGTGTCTAGCTAAGGGATTGTGAGTGCACCAATCAGCACACTGTGTCTAGCTCAAGGTTTGTGAACACACCAATCAGCGCCCTGTGTCTAGCTCAGGGTTTGTGGATGCACCAACCGGCACTCTGTATCTAGCTAATCTGGTGGGGACTTGGAGAGTGTTTATGTCTAGCTAAGGGATTGTGAATACACCAATCAGCACTCTGTATCTAGCTCAAGGTTTGTGAACACACCAATCAGCACCCTCTGTCTAGCTCAGGATTTGTGGATGTACCAACCGGCACTCTGTATCTGGCTAATCTGGTGGGGACTTGGAGAATCTTTATGTCTAGCTAAGGGATTGTGAATACACCAATCAGCACTCTGTATCTAGCTCAAGGTTTGTAAACACACCAATCAGCACACTGTGTCTAGCTCAGGGTTAGTGGATGCACCAATTGGCACTCTGTATCTAGCTAATCTAGTGGGGACTTGGAGAACCTTTATGTCAAGCTAAGGGATTGTGAATGCACCAGTCAGCACTCTGTGTCTAGCTAAAGGTTTGTAAGTGTAGCAATCAGAGCTCTGTGTCTAGCTAATCTGGTGGGGACTTGGGGAATCTTTATGTCTAGCTAAGGGATTGTGAATGCACCAGTTGGCTCCCTGTATCTAGCTCAAGGTTTGTAAATGCACCAATCAGCACTCTGTGTCTAGCTCAGGATTTGTAAATACACCAATCGACACTCTCTATGTAGCTAATCTAGTGGGGATGTGGAGAACCTCTTTGTCTAGCTCAGGGATTGTAAATGCACCAGTCAGCACCCTGTCAAAACAGACCATTCAGCGCTCTGTAAAACAGACCAATCGGCTCTCTCTAAAATGGACCAATCAGCAGGATGTGGGTGGGGCCAGATAAGAGAATAATAACCATGGAAATATCTTGAAAACTGTTGTGCAGATGTAGGTAGTCATTCTTGTTGACACATTGATGAAGATGCTAATAACTCATGAGACCATCTTAAAAGGGGCTGGTTGGTAGGAAGGAAAGCCTGAATTAGTGCAAGGTCTGAATAATCGGGTTTCTTCTTACTTTTTTAAAAAAATCAAACTTAATTGTTCACAGCAGTTTAGAAATACATTTCAAGGGCTGCCACTTAGAGGCGAATTTTAACAAAGAAAGGCCAGGCACAGGGGATCGTGCCAGTAATCCCAGTACTATGGGTGACTGTGATGGAAAGATAACTTGAGGCTAGAAGTTTGAGCCAGGGCAACACAGTGAGCCCCTGTCTCTACAAAAAATAAAAATTAAAAAATTGCCAGATATGGTGGCATGTACCTGTAGTCCTGACTATCTGAGAGGCTGAGATGAGAGGATTGCTGGAGCCTGAGATTTGGAGGCTGCAGTGAGATTTGATCATGTCACTGCACTCCAGCCTGGATGACAGAGCAAGACCCTCTCTAAAAAAAAGAAAGAGAGAGAGAGAGCCAAAATTTCAGTCCCAGTAGCTCACTTACTTAGGTGGTTTGAGTATCATTAAATTCATCAGGGTCACCAAACAGTTAATTAAGTAGATAAAGAGTCCTCCATTTTATTGATACCTTTTGTTTATTAAAAATTTCCTTTTTCTTTTTCAACATTACTGTTAAGCTCTATTCCTTCCCCTGGGTGAGTTCTTGCAATATTAAATTGGTAGGATCTGAATTCATACCTGTTTTGGATAAATCTATCAAATTTAAGAAGGAACCTAGGAAAGAACAACTTGAGAGGTGGCCGTAGAGCAGACAGGAGCCCTGTATGACATTGATCATTTGGAGGCCACCTGGCCTCCACTTCTCTCTGTGACTGCCTCCTCTTGAGGGATTTTCCATTGTGTGGGGCTTTGGGAGGTGAGAACACAGCTGGGGAAGAAGACTCTACCACTTGGGCTCAACTTTCCCTGAAGACTCTGAATCCTGTAAACACGGGGCAAGCAGTGGCCTTGGTACATCTCGGACTGAGGAGAAGCTCAGATCAGGTAGTTCCTATGACAAGGCCCCTCTTCAGGAGCTCCCTGATTCTGGGACACCCCTGGCCTAAAATCAAGTTAGTAAGCCCCAGATATCCTCCAATTACCCTTCTTTTCATTCAGGAGAGCCAAAAATCGGCTTTTATTTGTAAGTAGATAACATGGCTAATAAGGTGTCCTTTTCCAAACAATTTTTCACCTACAAACAATTTTTGTGTGTGTGTGCTAATCTGTAATGTTGCTGAGTGAATTGTTTAACAAGAAGCACATCAGAGTGATTTTAGCAACAAGAGCACTCATTCCTGTCTCGGTCTAGAACTCCTGAGATTTAAGATGGATCTGAAAAATTCTGTGTTCTCTTAAAGTGTAGTCATGTTTTCATAATCGGTGTGTTGTGCCTTTTTCATATTCTTTGTCGGCATGCAGCTGTTCAAATTTAAAGGAAAGTTTCTGTCCCAAAAGCGTAATTCCTCGACAGAAAGTTGTTTGTTGGTTTTTGTTTGTTTGTTTGTAAGTCATAATCATGTTTTTGAGAATGTTTATTTCACTTTACCGTAGCATCATACAATTCAACCTCATGGGCATTCTTTATTCTGACACTTATAACTCTGAGTAAGAACACCATCTCTCTTGGGAGAAAAAGCAAAAGAGAATGTTTCTTTAATAAATATGCTTAATGTTCAATTAAAGTGTGTCTGTGGTGGAGAAGAGGGACAATAGATTTTTTCTTGAAATTTGTAAGAGGCTAAATTATTCAACACAGACAGTCTACCTTGAATAAACTTTATCATCTAAAAACATTAAGAATTTGGGCCTCTGGGCCTCTCAAAAAAAAAAAAAAAAAAAGAAGAAGAATTTGGACCTCTGGATGCTGACATTCTTAACCTTGGATACAAACCCAAGGGAAGTGATTGCAACACCAATTGTTATAATTTGGCTGTAATATTCAGTCTGAAGAGACTAATTGTGAATGCAACTCTGCCTTTTTGTGTGTAAAATTATTTAGCTTACTATCATAATTTTCGATTCAGTTCTCTTTGCTAACCACCCAGTTTAATCCATTCTCTCAAGTGATTTTCTTCTCTCTGCACCATATTGGTTGAGGCTGCCTCATCTCCTGCTCATAGTAACATGGCACATTTTTATCTGATTCTGTCACTCTCTTCTCACTCCAATTCGTCTTCTCCAGTCCATTTTCAATAGCTACAGAGACCTGTTAAAACACAAATCTGGTCACTTTATCTTCTGCCAAAGATTAATGTGCTCCCATTGTTCTTAGGATGAAAACGAAAGTCATTAATTAATATGCTAAGGCCAGCATTATCACTTTATTTTTAACATTAAACAAAACCTAAAAGGTTTGTCATATAATTGATATCTACCATATCCTATAGTCAATTATTTCAAACAAATTAACCAGAGATGGATTTTGAAACTTGAAATCTGCCACAGCTTCATCTTTCCATAACTCTATCAGTAAATAATTGGTCAAATTTCATGCTTTTGGTGGAGAAAAACTGCAAAGCCACAGAAACATCTAGTTTTGCCCAAAAACTAAGCAAAAACATGTAATTTGCCAAAAATTTGAGCCAAGAAACCATGGAGAAAACAGCCAAGCCCATCCATCAGGAAAGGCTTGGTTAGTGCCCATATCCGGACTGGAATATACAATCCCAAGAGTTGAAAAATGTGTGGGCAAAATGTAAGTTTGAGCAATAGTCACTTTCGTTTTCTTTTTTTTTTTATTTAAAGAGGTATGTGCTTGTCAGTGGGAATAAAAATAAAATGACATGCTTTTGGGATAAAATTGCTACGGCTGCAGTATCTTCCTTAGTGGGTAATTGGCCATGCATCATAAAGAATGCGGTACCAGAAGGAGATCTTTAATACCACATCTTTAGTATCACGGCCCTATTAACCTTGACTTCAGATGGATTGGCCATGGGGTTCACTTACTCCAGAGACCCAGCCTACAGAAAAAGACTTATGCAAAACTAGGTTTATTTTTTATTACTCTAGAGGGAAGGGCTGTGTCGAATGTATAAAGATCCACTGCTTTCTCTAGGTAGAGGTTCAGAATTGCAAAATGGTGTGGTTGGAGTTGCAAGATCATTGATCTGTGCTAGGATGTAAAATTCAGAGAGAGCTGAATCAAAAATTAAGATGATAAGCTAAAATTATTTAGCTACAATTATTTAAAATTATTATATATTAGGGACTTCCCATAAGCCACACTGTGCTGTTTTATCTCATTAAATTTTCACAATGTAGCCACAGTTTTCCCCCATTTTACAGGTGACAAGATACAGTCCCAAAGAGAGAAGAGACATCTCTGTCCTCCCCATGCTCAGCATCCTTCGCCCTTTTTCTGGTGCCAGCATCCTGGCTTTCTTTGAGGGACGTGCTTCCTTCCCCTGTGTTGGTAGACAGATGCCTGGAAGCTACCACTCACGGTATCCTGCTCTCCCCTGGCCAGCCGTACCCTCTTCCCAAAGAACCCAATCATGATTAAATAACAGGCAGGGATAAAAGGTTTGAGAAAGATCCATCTCTCCCACAAAGTACCTTCTGCCACCATCCCCCTTCTTCCCTTTCTGTCTTCTGGTTCTTCAGTTTATCTTCCTTTTGGCTTAGGTTTCCCAGAGTGGATTTCTGTTGCTTGCAGTGAGCTAACTGTGGCTGAAATAAGAGGGTTAGTAGCTTTTCTGCACACACACATTCCAACTGCTACTTTCCTCACCCTTTCTGCCTCATCTCCCTGCTGCCTGTGGTAGTGATTGCTGGGCACTGGGTGCTTGATGCATGTGCATCCTGACCCTCCTTCCCACACTAGGATAGCGGAGGAGGTGGTATGCTTTGGTCTCTGGGAAGAAGCAACCCCAACCCAACACTTTGGGTTGCTGTTTCTCTGTACTGCTGGACTGCACAAAAGCCGAGCTTCCGTCTCAGTGTGGTTTGAAGGTGGCCAAATGGCCATTAACTGGGTGCTGCGTCCAGCAGTATCACTCAATTCCACATGTAGAAAAAGTTAGCCAAGGGATAAGAGCTAAAACACCTACAGAATGGGACGAAGATATGTCAAAATACCCTCTGTGGCTCTGGCACAGGCAGGACAGTAGCATCATCAGGCTGCTGGGCCCACCAGTATGCAATAATTCCCTCTTTATTCAGTGTCGTAGCAGAAGTGTAACATCCTCTGTGTGCAAATCGTCAAAATTTTTCTTTGTGGGCACGGTTCAGATAAAAACAGGAGAGTCACATGACCTAAATGCTGTGCTCAGCAATATGTCACAATTCCACCATTTGAAAGGCCCAGGCAGGGAAAGAGAGTCATGTCAGTTAGGTTATGGCCTCAGAGATATGTCCCAGTGTCCCCATTAGGCAGGACTCAGGCAGAAAAGGAGAGTCTTATCACCTAGGTTCTTCTTTAGGTATACGTCACAGTATAAGACATAGACAGAAACCAAGCAGAAGAACCACATCACCCGGGTGTTGGGTCCTGAGATATGTTGCAAGGCTCCCTTAGGATAGAATCAAGGTGAAAGAGTTACATCACCTTGGTGTAGGTTCAACTTTTATGTCACAGTGCCTTACGTGGGTGAGGCCCAAGCTTTGAGTCACATCACCTCGGTAATATGCCCAAAGATATGTCACAATGCCCTGTTTAAAACACAGCCCTGGCAAAAGAGTACCGTCACTTGTGTGCCTGGGCCTAGCAATATGTTACTACCACCTGCTGTGTTCAGGGTCCTTTCCAGAGAGGAGAGTTACATTTCCTAAGTGGTGGACACAGTGATATGTTACAATGATGTCTGCGGAAATGGCGCAGGCAAGAATGTAACATCATCTGGGTGTTAGATCTGGTAATATTTCACAATCCTTAGAGAATGGCAAAGGCAGGATGGTCACATCCTCTAGAAGCTGTAACATCACCTGGGTTTTACATCCAGTGATATGTCACAATCCTGAGAGGACATCCAAGGGAGGAGAGTCATATCATCTAGAAGTTGGCCCAGGTAGAGATCACAATCCCTTATGTGGGCTGAAACCAATCTAGAGGGTCAAATCACACAGATGCTTGCAAATATTTGTATCACATTCACACTGGTAGAACATACCAGAGATGAGATTTATAATACCACACATGTCCTGTTTTCATGAGTGACAATGTGAGATCTGACAGTCCTTACTTTAAGGTGGGTGTGCATGTGAAACTTACAATTTCATCCTTCTGGGTTTTGTTAAGACACTCTCTGTACAAGTCATGGGCTTTATAAAATATCTGAGGCTGTTATAATCTTCTGTGGCCTTTTTACCAGAAAGAGATCCAAGACATCACTCGTGTTTCTAGAGCAAGTTACAAAAGTCAAATTAACTCCTGTTTCTGGGGTCCGCATATCAGAGTCATTATGATGCCTGTGAGCTGTGCCAAGGCATATGTCAAAATTTACTCTGTGGTAATGAAACAGGCATGACAGCCATATAACCTAAATGCCGAGGCAGAAATATTCCAATATTCTCTTTTCAGGCAAGTTCCTGGCAGAAATGTCACATAACTTTGGGGCTACGCCTAACTCTGTGGCACAATGGCCCTTGTAGGCAGTTTCCAGGCAGAAGAGGAGAGTCATATCACCTAAATAATAGGCCCAGAGATATGTCACAATGCCTCCTGTTGAAAGTGGCAGGAACGTATTAACGTATTATTTCTGATTATATCCATCTGAACTGGAGTAATCTGGTATCTTATTGTGGCTTTAATTTGCATTTTTCTAATAATTAATAGTGTTGACCATCTTTGCAGGTACTTGGCCATTTGTATGTCTTCCTTGGAGAAATTTCACTTAAGGTCTCTCATGTATTACTAAATTCTGGTTATTTTTGCTTTTGTGTTTGTTATATATTTTGTGTGATTATCCCTTGTCGTATGTATATTTTGCAAATATATCCTCCCACACTGTAAGTTGTCTCTACTCTATTAATTTATTTTTGCTATGTGATATTTTTTAGATTCTGTTAAATTCACTTGCCTGCTTTTGCTTTTGTTGCCTATGCTTTTGAGTTCTTATTTACATTTTCTTCCTGTCCTATTTTGTAAATCATTTCCCTATGTTTTATTCAAATAGTTTTTAAGATTGAGTTGTACCTTTAAGTCTTCTAATTATATATAATTAAGTTGTTTTAATATGGTAGGTAACCAGTTGACATCTAGTTATATTCATTTAAATAATCAATTTTCCTAGCACCATTCATTGAAAAGATTGTCGTTTCTTAAGTGCATATTCCAAACAGCTTAAAAATTACTTGGCCCTAGGTTTCTGAATTTACTATTGGGATCGCTGCATACTTTGGTCTATGTGTCTGTTTTCTATGCCAGTGTCATGCTCTTTTGCTTGTTGTAGCTTTGTAGGATATTTTAAAGTCAGGTGCTTTGATGCTTTCAGGTTGTTCTTTTTTCATAGGATTACTTTGGCTATTTGGAGAGGTTTTCTTTTGTTTTCTATGAATTTTTGGCCTGTTTTTTCCATTTCTGTGAAAAAAATGTCATTTGGTATTTTATAGAGTTTGCATTGAATCTGTAGATGCCCTTGAGTGGCAAAGCCATTTTAACAATATGTTTTATAACTAATGAGCAAAAATATCTCTCAAACTTTTCATGTCTTACTTTCTTTATAAGTGTTTTATGATTTACAGTGTAGACAGTGTTTATTTCTTAATTAGTTTTACTGCTAGGCACCTTTATTTTTTATTCTAGATGCAAAAAAAGTATTTGGAAAAATCTAACATGCCTTTGTGATTAAAACAACAGAAGAAATTAGGTATAGATGGTATCTACCTGAATACAATTAAGGCAAAATATGAAATTCATTAGCTGATATCACACTGAACAGGAAAATAGGAAAGTTTTTCATTTGAGATCTGGAACAAGACAATGATGTCTACTTTTACCACTTTCATTCAACAGAGTACTGGAATTCTCAGCCTGATCATTTTGCAAGAGAAAGAAATAAAAGACATCCAAATGAAAAAGGAGAAATTCAGATTGTCTCTGATCACAGATCATACAATTTTTTATATAGCAGAACTAAATAGTACACTAAAAATCTTGAGAATTAATAAAGAAATTCAGTAAAGTGGCGTTATATCAAATTCACATACAAAATTAGGAGCATGTTTACATGCCAAGAATGAGCCATCTGAAAGAAAAGTTCAAGAAAAAAATTATTTACAACAGCTATAAAAATAAGTCCTGTTTCATTTTAAGTTCATCCTTGTGGTAAGGTTCAAAAATTGTTTTTTTGTTTGAGTATTCAGTATTCTCTACCTCATTTGTTAAATAAACTGTTCTTTTTTCATGTAAAGTGATAGAGACCAGAGATAGCCAAGGGACCTTTTCTCATTTTGAGTAATAGAGACAGGAGACAGTCAAGAGTCCTGGCCAAAACTCCACTTTTAAGCCTAAAACAGCCTAAAGGCTGATAAATTGAACTGCTGATTTCAGATAAAATCGGCCCTTTCCTGACTGTTTCTCTCTGAGTAATGCCCACACGCGCACTGGGAAAAGGAGGTGGAGCCATGGAAATGTCAAGGAAGGGGACACAAGCAAAGAAAAAAATGGATGCATGAGAGGCCAGTAATTCAATCAGGAAATTGGCAGATTTAAAATCTTATAGGTACTGGGTTTTTCTTCTGCCTGTATGTGTGTAAAAGAGCTCCAATAAATTTACTGAAAAAATGATAAGCACTTGGATCAAATATTTTTGAAGGAAAGATGAAAGATGTGTATGTTTTAGTTCACATGACTTTAATGCTTGAGAAATAAAAACAGCCTTAAGATTATCAGTAAAACACAAATGTCATCAATATGTGAGTAGGTGGACTAAATTATGCAGGTCAGATACTAGGTTTGCTGAATGTTTTAAGGTTATAACTGCTTTTTTGGTTTTTGAAAACAGTTCAACTTTGCTTCACAATTGGTCAAGCCTGAGGAAAAATGGAACTAAACACACCCTTAATTATGGCTGCTCCTAGCACATAATTAGGACAATTTACCTGGCTTTACATTAAAGTTAAAATTGCTAAAATTTACCATGATAATATGTAATTGAAACCACTGGAAGTACATTTCCAGACAAGGTGTGTAAGGACGGTAAAATGTGTTTTTAATACAACATTATAAGAAGGCATGCAAATATAAATTCTTGCCTAGGATCAAACAACCGTTTTGAATTACAGATGATAAAGCTGAAAGTTCAAACAAGTTATGGAAGAATTGTAAAAATAAATCTTTCCAAGAAATTCTGTGTGTGAATATCAATTAAATTCAAGAGGATATTATATGTTTTTTTGTTTTTGTTTTTTGTTTTTTTGTAAATTGAGCATTGAAATGAAAGCACAAAAAGTACTCTTAAGGCACTAATCTGCTCTGAAGGAAAATTTTTAAATAATGTAAAAGTTTCTGCTTTTTTATTTATAGGTCATTATTTTCGTTAAATAAATAATTTATGGTAATCTGGAATTTTATTTTATAACATCAAGCATTTCAAACTCCTAACATGTAATATCCTTCTCAAAATCAAACTTTGATTACAAAATGGTCTTTCCTAATTCCTGGTTTTTGAATGCTAAAGAGGGTGCCTGGAGTATCCACGAGAGCTTTATACAGGATCATACAACGTGTTTAGTTACAAGGAATCCCAAAAATGGTTTTCAATATTCTTTAGATGGCATTTTCATGAATAATACTAATACATGTTCCTAAATTGTATGGAATTTCTAAAATTCTAATGTCTGACATATATGCTGTCAACCACAATTAATGCTGTTATGTTAAGTTATTGCAAACCATAGACATAACCAAAATTTTTGTCAATCATCTTTCTGACTGTAACTACTCTGGATGTTTTGTTAAACACAGACAATTGTCATCTGGTTTTGACATTTTTCCAAAAATGTTTTTTAATCAGCTATAGAACTTTGACTGGTGCTCACAAATGCAGGCTTCTGAAAACTTTGGAGCTGTGACAGGAATACAGGAAAAACCTACCAGGACCCATGAAGAGCTAAAATGTTTATGAATATTAAACAAAACAAGAGTTAACTGAATGGACTGGACTGATAGAAACATGAAGTAATCTTTCCTATTTTTGCTTGTAACATTACTGACTCATGTATTGTTTACCATAGTCAAGGAAACTTATTTTGAGCTGTTTACAGCCTTTAATATTTGAGTAAGGTGTACTCCTGTGAAGAAAATTTGAATCATGTTTATCTCTCTCTTCCTGGCTTCTTCAGAATTTGAAAAATAGTTATGAGTGTTCTTAACTTATGGCAATATAGCTGTTTGAATCAGTGTAATAATAGTCTATTTTATTTGCAACAGGACACAGTTAGAGAAACTGGTTGTTTTATCAAGGCCTTGATTGAAAAGTTCTGCTTCCCTTTAAGCAGTCAAGCTCAACTTGCAGAGCCAATAATAGCCCCTTGGATAAACTGGCCTTATACCTTATCTACAGAGTCCTTGTGCAGGGTTCCAGATCTGTGGTAAGTAAAGAATGACACTTTGGACAGGCCCAGGGGCTCCAAGTTTATTTTGGGACCATAAGAGAAGAGGATAACCCAACTCATAACTAACTGATGGTACAAAACCATGGCTGGGTTTGACTTCAGAAAGTCCTCTCTGAAATTTCTTGTGGAAGAGTTCTATTAAAGCCAATGTAAAATAACTATGTAGGAATAATTTTTCTTGCTGTGCTTTATGTAAATAATGAATCCAAGCATACGACTAAAGCTGATTTCACAAAGAACTCAGTTCTATCATTATTTGTTTCTAACAACAACAACAAAAGAACTGAATGGAAAAGATTATTTGTCAAAACTAATTATATGGTTGTCATTAAATCCTAAACTCATTAGATTTGCATTTTTCCTACATTTTAGAACAAACCGGCTTATTCTTGTAAGCCAATTAGTGATATTCAACTGCAGCTCAGAAGAAATGAAAAGAAACTGGTAAAAATCTGGATTAATATTCTAGTTCTGGGCAATTATCCTGCAAACCCTGCATTGTTATGGGAATAAATAGTGTGCCCACCCAAATCTTAGCAAGCATAACTAGAGCCACGAGATATCTGGGTGTGTTACAAGACATTATTTCTCTCCCTCGTGGAAAGAGGACTCAATCCCACAGCTTCATCTAAAAATTCAGCTAACTATATGGAGTCCATGCAAATCCCTGAGCCACATTTTTGTCCCAACCTCAGTTTCAAGCTTCAGGTTGAAGCCCTAGGAAATAACACCGGATCTGAGAAATCCAGAAGGAGATGATAATGGAGGATAAAAGGCACAGTGCAGGTGAGCATGACAAATTCCAGACAATTAAGCCAAGCCTCCCATTTCATCGATAAAGATTATGCTAGTGTCCTTGGCATAAATAAAGTCTAGTGAACTCCAGAACTACTGACAGCAGAGTAGATAGGGCATACGTGGGTAAGAGCAGACATTTCAACCACCCTAGTTCTCTCCGTTAACATGGGTGAAAGCTGCTTTGACACCCATGGACGGACCTTGTTACAATCACTGGGACTCGGGGATAGAAGAATAGGAGCAGGAAAGAGAAGATTTTTTCTCCTATCCCTCAACATACCCTGGAAATTTGCAAGAAAGAGAAAGGAACCAGGGACAACTGCTTCTCTCTTTCTAGATGAGTAGCCATTTGTCTTCAGTCTATGTGCCTTTTGAATGCAAACTAAACCCTTGGGACTTCTCTGAAAATAATGTTTTTTGTTTTTTCTTTCTCCTCTGTCCTCTATTTACAGATAGGTAATCATGTCTTCATACTATGGGACACTTTCCTCAGATGCATCCTCAAAGCCTGGAAGAGTTAATTTCCCAAAATTTAGACTTGTTTGCTTAGGATCGAACTCAAGGCAAAAGAACCCAGAAGACTGACATGCTGGCCAAACAATTTTTTTTTTCTTCCATTGGAGTTTTTGTCCTTCCTCTTTCTATGGGAAAAGACCTTCCCTTTTCAAGGGAAAAGACCTTGGAAATTTTGAGCTGACCTTGCCATTTGCCCCTTGTTTCATTTCAGTACATGTTTTTTAATAACCCAGTTTGATTCTTTTTATTTTTAGCCTACCAAAGTTCAAAAAGTCACTCAACCAGAGCCTTGAACAGTGGCCCATTTCACTGGGGACAATTAGATAGGCCTCTTAGTGAGATCTGATTGCCATTTTTTTCCAAAAAAAAAAGTGCCCCCTCTCAGCAGGAAGCACTTAAAAGTTGTTTTTGTCCTAATCCTTATCCTTCTTCTAATGGCAGTCAGATGTACTCATTTAAAGGGGGGAAATAACGAGTTAGAAAAGAGCCAAGGGTCCTTGGCAAAACCACACATTCAAGCTTAAAACAGCCTGAAGTCTGAAAAATCAGACTGTTGGCCCCAGATAAAGCCTTCCTTTTTCCAACTGATTTTCTCTCAGTAATATCCACCTGCACAACTGGGGAAGAGAGTGGAGCCATGGAAAGTTCACCTCTTGTGCAGGGAGGAGAAGCCTGGACTCTTCAGTTTCCTGTGATGGTCTGGTGTTCATCAATTTGGGAGGTGGGGGCCTGTAAACAGGTCTCCAACTCATTTTGTTAAAAGTTTTCTTCTTCTTCTTCTTTTTTTTTTTTCCATTTTCCCCAATCAACTCTACTCCTCATCCTTCAGAGCGTCCCTGACTTAATATATTCTAGTCATGTGACCAGAACCCAATTTTTTTTGATGTAAGGAAAGCGTTCTGCAACATGAGGATTTGCAACCGTCGTTTAAGATAAGCTGAGTATACGCATGTGGGTTACTTTCTGGCTTCTCTTATCTCTTTCAACATTTATTTTTCTGTCTTTTTCCCAGCACCACACTGTTTGATTACTGTAACTTTGCAATATGTTTTAAAATAAAAAAATATATGACTCTGACTTTATTATATTTTCCCAGGTTGTTTGTCTATTTGTGGTTTTTGAGCATTTATAAAAATTATAGGGCAATATTTGGTGGCTCACTCCTGTGATCCCAGAACTTTGGGAAGTCAAGGCAGGTGGATTGCTTGAGTCCAGAAAGTTTGAGACCAGCATTGGCAATATGGTGAAACCCTGTCTCTACAAAAACCCCCAAATCTTGCTGACCGTGGTGGCATGCACCTGCAGGCCCAGCTACTTGTGAGGCAGAGGTGGGAGGATCAATTGAACTTCAGAGCTCAAGGCTACATGCAGTGAGCCATGATTAGGACACTGCACTCTAGCCTGGGTGACACAGCCAAATATTGATGCCAACACTTCAGAATATTTTAGTACTTCTGGAAAAACTACCATTGGTTTTTTGAAAGAGGTCTCATTGATCTGTAGATCATTTTGAATACCATAAACGTCTAAAGAAACGTGCATGTTCTAACTCTTTTAAAATAGCGTGCGGAAGAATTTGTCTACTTTTCATATACATGCAGACATGCTAGCTTTCTTTTGGTTTTGAACCTCCAGTTATATTTTACTGTAGTCAGAAGTAATACTTTTTTATAACCATTTGTTCAAATATGCTAAAACTTGCATGCTAGCTAAGAAGTTTGCCTATCTTAGGAAATAAACTGTATGTAATTAGAAATATTATGTATTATGCTATCGTTGCGTGAAATGTTTTGTAGATTATCCCTAGATCTTATTTTTCTTTTTAATCTTTTATTTTTCTGTACATTTGTCTTTGTTTTTATCTTGTTTCTCTTTATTTTTATTTACTTTCATTTTTTCTATTAATTTAATTTTACTTCATTTTTTATTTTTTGTTTTTTCATTATAGTCTCAATTTCAAATTTTCTAGATTTTTGTCGTTTGTAATTTTATTCAATTTCTTGTTTCTTTTATTTATTTCCATGCATATCTCTTTGTTATTTTATTTTTCTCTGCATTTCTTTTTTACTTTCACTTGTCTCTTCTTATTCTTAAAATTTTCTTATTTCTCAATTTTATTGTATTTACTGTTTATCTTCATCTTGATTTTATTTTCACTAATCTTAGTTATATTTTTCTTTACTTTTCTCTATTTTGTTTCAGTTTATTTTATTTGCCCTTACTATTTTCCAATTGCTTTATTTTTAAATTTTATTTCTCTTGAATTATTTTTTCTTTATTTGTCTACATTTTGCTGAGGCAGGGTATAGTCAGGGGCTCCTATCAGAACTGCTGTTATCCCTGGACAGATCTTTTATTGTTACAAGCCCATCTAGCATTCAGTTTTACAGGCCATTTCTACTGCTTTCGAAAGCCCCGTGCAAGCCTCAGTATTGCTAGGCTGAAGCCCTGATTGCCTCTTTATTTGTGTACGAATGGGTTCCCTACACACAATCCAGGGCACTGATTGCTCTTCCTACTTTACAAGGACAGAGCCGCACCCACTCCACTCCAACAAGTAATGTCTGCACCATATGTGAATCTTTTTGCCGTTAAAAAATAAAATTTTGAGACAGAGTCTTGCTGTGTCACCCAGGCTGGAGTGCAGTGACGTGACCTCAGCTCACTGCAACCTCTGCCTTTCAGTTTCAAGTGATTCTCCTGCCTCACCCTCCAAAGTAGCTGGGATTACAGATGCCAGGAATTTTTTTTTTCTTTTTTGTATTTTTAGTAGGGACGGGATTTCACCACGTTGGCCAAGCTGCTTTCAAACACCTGACCTCAATGATCTACCCTCCTCGATCCCCCAAAGTGCTGGGATTGCAGGTGTGAGCCACTGCACCCAGTCAAAAAAATTTGTTTTAAGTTTTAACTTGACATATATTTGATTTATTTTGAATATATTAGCTTTATGGGTAGATACACATTCATATATGTACAAAAATGCAATTGATGTGAGAAGATGAATATTTCTACATTTTATCTTATGATTTCATGGAGTTGCTATTTTACCTTTTCCTTTCTTTATCTTTATATGTTTAATGGGAAGATCCTCAGTGAAGACCCCTCACTGTGATAGACAAAATATTGTACAATAAATCATGGATAGATGCAGTGAAGTAACTTCTGGTTTTTATTTGGAGATCTCATAGCTGGGATTAAAAACTCTGGTGGTAAAAATCACCTGATGAGGACTTTTAATATGCTGTCTTCTTCTGCACATTTTCCCACCATCACAATTTTTTGAATTTCCCAAGAAAAAATGTGGAAAATTATTTCCCTCATACCTACTCATCTCCCTTTTATAGGTTTTCAGGTTATGCTTTGTGCAGATTGCTTAGAAGCTCACGATCACAGACATCATATTTGTCAAGAGAAAGCTTTGTTGAACCAGGATTAAGTGTAGGTGTTTACCTCCTAAGGGCCCATGGTTCCTCTAGAGGTTGGATGGATCTTCAAAACCATTACTGAATCCAGGAACTGAAGACAGAATTTGAGGGCATTGAAAAATGCTCCCTTTTGATTTCCAAGTGTTCGCTGCTTATTCTGGCATTAATCTTGATTGTGACCACGATGTTTCTCTTAGTCATCTTTCCTGGTACACCACTGATTGTGCATCTAAGGAAAAGAGGCCTGAATGAGAGTGTTAAGGAGAACAACAGCATCTTTCTTAGCTGATGCCTCGGTGAGCTTTGAAGCACATTGAGCAGAGTCTGAAATCCTTCCTTAATATAGGATAAGTTGCATCAAATTCAACTCCCATAGAAATGGCACCAGGTTCAAGATGTCAAAGAAGAGACTTAGAACAAGTGAATGAGATACGGAGTTTTACTGGGGACTTAAAAAGAGGGGAAAAAGTCCACTGTCAGTGGGCTTAGCATGATAACCATTCCCACTTACAAAAAGCATGCAGTTTGTATAGCATTGTTATTTAGCACTTTTTTCAACAACTTTTCACCTGTCAGCATTTATTTAACAAAAAAGGAGTGGCCTCAGTCCCCTGTGTGGTCTGTATTCCATGCCACAGGATGGAACAGACCTGGTACTGAGATATTCCTCATAAAGAAAGAATAATTTTCAGGTTAGCCACTACTAGGTTTTTTATCTTGGATCTCTGGGCACTCAGAAGCTTTTTTTTTTTTTTTTTAATACAAGGTCAGTCTCCAGGTATGCCCAAGTCAAGTTAACACTGTCAGTTTCATCCATCATACAGGCTGGTTAAGGCAGTGGAGGGTCTTCTTCCTGAGACTCTAAATTCAAAATGGTTTGATTTTTCTTAAATCCTTGAGTTGACAGTTTACTAAAAGGCCCATTGTGTGTGCACATTGCTGGTATGGTTGTCTAAGATAATGAGATGGCTTCTTAGTTGGTAGGGTGTGTTTCTGTTACAGGTGTGACTGGGTTTGTACAGGCTGCTGAGGTGCCCCTTCTCCAGACTGTCATTGGATCATGACATTCTGGGGTCCCAGTTCCACTATTTTCCAAGGTGGGACACGCTGACGCAGAACCTGAAATTGTGATTCACGGTGACTAGGCTGAGGCTGGCCCTTAAAAGGCAGAACTGCCAGGTCTGTGTCTTATTTTCTTTGTCATTCTAATTTATCTTTTTTTTTTTTTTTTTTTTTTTTTTTTTTTTTTTTTTTGAGACGGAGTCTCACTCTGTCGCCCAGGCTGGAGTGCAGTGGCGGGATCTCGGCTCACTGCAAGCTCCGCCTCCCGGGTTCACGCCATTCTCCTGCCTCAGCCTCCCAAGTAGCTGGGACTACAGGCGCCCGCCGCTACTCCCGGCTAATTTTTTGTATTTTTAGTAGAGACGGGGTTTCACCGTTTTTAGCCGGGATGGTCTCGATCTCCTGACCTCGTGATCCGCCCGCCTCGGCCTCCCAAAGTGCTGGGATTACAGGCGTGAGCCACCGCACCTGGCCAAGTGTCTTCTTTTGAGAAGTGTCTGTTCATATACTTCACCCACTTTTTGATGGGGTTGTTTGTTTTTTTCTTGTAATTTTTGTTTGAGTTCATTGTAGATTCTGGATATTAGCCCTTTGTCAGATGAGTACGTTGCAGAACTTTTCTCCCATTCTGTAGGTTGCCTATTCACTCTGACAGTGGTTTATTTTGCTGTGCGGAAGCTCTTTAGTTTAATTAGATCCCATTTGTCAATTTTGGCTTTTGTTGCCATTGCTTTTGGTGTTTTAGTCATAAAGTCCTCGCCCATGCCTATGTCCTGAATGGTATTACCTTGGTTTTCTTCTAGGGTTTTTATGGTTTTAGGTCTAACATGTAAGTCTTTAATCCATGTTGAATTAATTTTTGTATAAGGTGTAAGGAAGGGATCCAATTTCAGCTTTCTACATATGGCTAGCCAGTTGTTTTCTAGGAAGTCTCTTATTCTCTTTAGATTCTGCCCAGATCATCCCCTTGCAATATTTTATTCCTGATACTCCTCAGATTTCCTCTCCAGAGCTATCTCTTTGTGGCAATTTTTGTCTTAAATTTTAATTATCAGTACTTAATATGTCCAACTCCCTTACAAGATCTTGCTTCAGAACAGAGATTTGGAATAGGTAAAGAAGGGTAAAGTGGTGGCTGGGGATGGTGGCTCATGCCTGTAATCCCAGCACTTTGGGAGGCTGAGGCGGGCGGATCACCTGAGGTCAGGAGTTCGAAACCAGCCTCGCCAACATGGTGAAATCCCGTCTGTACTAAAAATACAAAAAATTAGCCAGGCATGGTGGTGCCTGCCTGTAGTCCTAGCTACTTGAGAGGCTGAGTCGTTTAGACCCAGGAGGCAGAGGTTGCAGTGATCACTGCACTCCAGCCTGGGTGACAGAGCAAGACTCTGTCTCAAAAAAAAGAAAAGAAAGGTAAAATGGGAAACTGGTTGAATAGAATGAACAAAATGAGCGCATGAACCAATACACTGTTGACCAAACTTTAAAAATGGTAAATAAATATGTAGAGAATTAGGGTCAACTCTAAAACAAAACTGAATAGCTCAGATTCTGAATTTCATCCATAACCTTAATTCAGTTCAATAATTGTTTTAGAGTACCAAATAAAGGGTAGGCACAATGCTAAATTTTAATGATGTAATGATGAAGAGTAGTCCCTACCTTCCTAGAACTTCGAGAATGGTGGTTAGTTGTGGGTAGAATAGCACTTTTTTTGTTATAATCTACAGTTTAGTATAGTGGCCAACATCTGACTTAATGAGCTAAGGCAGTTGTTGGTTTATATATTACTTTCTAGTGTGAGAAAATGTCAATGTGTTTCTTCAACAGTGAGTTTTAAAAATAACTATTGGGTAGTAGGCTTAGTACCTGGCTGATGAAATAATCTGCACAACAAACTCTGTGACATGAGTTTACCTATATAAATAAATAAAAAATAAAAGTTAAAAAAAATTTTCCTTAGGCTAGGACTGGGGTGACTACCAAGTAGCATGAGTGAGTTTTGGAGGGTGACAGAATTGTTCTGTATCTTGATTACAGTGACAGAGACTTTATGCATTTGTCAAAACTTGAACTCACAGACCTATTTGCTAAAAAGGACAAATTTTACCATATGTAAACTTACCTCAGGAAACCTGACTCAAAAAAGAAAAAAAAATATGCCACTGAGTCTTAAAGGAATTGGATTCATCTGCAAAGTAGGGTAATTGGAAAGTGAAAATAATGGACTTATTTTAGAGGCTTTCTCTGAAGATAAATCGAATTTAGGTCTTTTAGGGAGTTCTTTCTTTCTAGATCCTTTCCTTCATAATCTGAGCTAATGGAAAGTTCAGAAATCCCTGAAATTGCTAGCCAAATTTTGTGTATACGTAAGTGCTTTTTTAGGGGTAGGAGATTGCATTTCTTATCTGATTGTTAAAGATGGGTTAGATTTCAATAAAGGTTAAGAACCACAGGTCTAAGAGCTTTTCTGCTTCCCCAGATACCACCCTTTTCCCCCATTGGAGGCCATCCTAGTGATTACAGGAGCTGGAGACCGATTTCTAGGAGTTGGTGAGAGTAGGCGAGTCTGTGAATCTACTGGTCGTAATACAGAGAGTCCACCTATGCTAACACAGGTCTTTTCCTGATTGCCTACTTATGCAAGCTAGAACTCCTTTTTCTACCACATCCGACCTCTATTCTGTCTCTTTGCCCCCTATGGCCGACCAATTTTTTTCTGGCATATTTAGCTTCCTTTAGTATTTAGCATATACTGAGGAGTACCTGTGCTTTCTATATCACTTTGAACTATGGTAATAAAAAAAAGTGTGAAATACAAATACATCTCTTTTATGTATATCTTACTGTTTGGAACAGTCCTTTAAATATTAATGATCATTTTTCAAAGTTAAAAGTTTCTAACCTTTTAAAAAGTTTACAAAATTTCCCACAATAACTGTATTTTAAATAGAAAATAAAAATTGCCCGTATTCTTACCATCAGCAATATCACTGCTAACATCTTTATATATTTTATTTATTTTGAGATCATGCTGTGTATGGCTTTTTCTTTTAAAAGATTATTGGCCAGGTGCAGTGGCTTATGCCTGTAATACTAGCACTTTGGGAGGCAGAGGTGGGAGGATCACTTGCACTCAGGAGTTGGAGACAAGCCTGGGCAACATAGTGAGACCTCATCTCTACAGAGAATTATAAAGAAAAAAAAAATTTAGCCAGGCATGGGAGCCTGTGCCTGTAATCCCAGCTTCTCAAGTGGCTGATGTGGGAGGATCACTTGAGCCCACTTGAGGCTGTAGTGAGCTATGATCATGCCAGCTGTACTCCAGCCTGGGTGGCAGAGCAAGACCTCATCTCAAAAAAAAAAAAAAAAATGAAAACAAAAAGTTACTAAATATCACAAACACCCAATCTCTCCATCTTCTGGTCTGATCAAATCCCAATATTTTGCCATATTTGCTTCAGTTATTAAGAATAAAATATAGCTAAGCTCCTGTGTATCTCTCCTCAGTCTCATCTCTTGACTCTCTCCCTAAAATTAATCACTATCCTGAATTTGCTATTTATCATTCTCAAATTTTTATTACTATTATTTTTCATTTGCATACTTATATAATTCTTTTACATGTTTTAATACTTTATATAAATGGTATAACCTGCACACATCATTCTGAAACTTGCTCTTGTCACTTAGCATTCTGTCTGTTCACTCTAAATGCTTAGTTTAGTCCATTGTACCATTATACCACAGTTTGTTTTTGTTTTTTTCCTGTGCTGATGGACATTTAGGTGTTTAGGTCTTTTTTTTTCTTCCCCTAATACTAATGATGCTGCTGTTTACATTCTTGTTCATGTTTCTTGACACAAACGTGCAAGAGTTTCTCAACAGTATTTATTTCCAAATGGAATTTCTGGGTCTATAGGGTAAGTGCATCTCACTGGACACTGCCTGATTGCTCTCCTCTTCACTCTCACCAGCAATGTATGTGAGTTTCTAATTCTTTACAACTAGGTTAGACTTAAAATGTTTTTGTTTTTTTTTTTTTTGTTGCTGCTTTTTTGGTAATCTAAGGAAGATGAAATCATTTCTCATTTTAATTTGCATTTTTTTTATTACTAGTGAAACAACATTTTCTCTTATGTTTATATGCTTTTCTGGTTTCCTTTTTTGTGAATTTCCTGATTATGTATTTTGTTGATTTTGTTGTTGTCATTAGGTTGGTTCTTTTTAAAAAAATGGGTAAAAGTTTTTTATATATTCCAGATATGAATATTTTGGAACTTACATATATATGGTACTTTTTAGTTTGTCTTTTAATGTCTATAATATTTTATCATATGAACTTTCTTTATTTAACCATTCCCCTTATTGTTTGATATATAGGTTATTTCCATATACATTTTGTGTGTTTAGTTTCTTGGGCTATCTTATTAAAAAAAATTAGTGGTGGTGCTGAATTTGTCTTGGTCTACTTTGTAGTAAATGATAAATATTTGAGACAGTTGGCCAGGTCCAGCTGGTATAGCTGATGTGTGTGAAATAAAGCAGCACTCACTGGCCTTGTTGGTGCTTGAATCTGCCATTCTTACCATCAGTAACACTTGTTCTGACCAGTGAATTAACTGTAGAGTGACCTACATAAGTAAAAGCATTGTCATTGTGCAAGTGGCTTTGGCACTGAGGCTGGCATGTTTTTAATGGAACAAATGTTCACATGGAAAAGAATTCAAGATGATATAGTAGTTATCTAAGGTAGGTCACAGAAACACCAGACTCACACTTTCTCTAAAGCAAAAGGACTTCTCTGAGCCATAGCTTGGTGATATATAACTTAGCGTCTAGAGCAGGGATCAGCAAATGTTTTCTGCAAAGGACCAGATAATAAATATTTTAGACTTTTCAAGCCACATGGTTTCTGTTGCAGCTGCTCCCTTCTGCTGGTGTAGCACAGCAAGCAGTAGTCACACAGCCTTGCCCATTCATTTATGTGTTGTCTGTGACTGCTTTGGCCTCACAACAGAGCTGTTGAGTAGGCCTGCAAAACCTGAAAGATTTACTGTTTGGCCCTTTACAGACAAAATTTGCTGACTTCACCCCCTGCAAACTCAGCACTCTTGACATTTGGGGCCAGTTAATTATAGGTCTAGATTTAAGAAATGCTTAGTTTGGCTGAGGGAAATTCTTTCTTAAAAAATTCTTAATGGAATTGTAGCTTTGATTCGTTGCTTAAACATGAGCTCTGATCTCAGTGTCAGATTAGAGAGGCCAAAAATGGCACATGAGCATTTGAATGCAATTGTCCTAAACTATGAAATCAGATCATATTTTGATATGTGACACATATTAGACCTGGAAATCTTCCTGATCTGTAGCTAGCTTATCAAATTGAGTGGTATGTAAACTCTTTATCTATCTAGGTTTATCCCATTTATAGCAGATATGAAATTTGTTCCTGCATTTCTGTGTGTCAGGTGTTCCTTTTTTATCTATCTGTCTCTTCACAGCTGTTGGCATTTGCCAGCTGGCTATGCCTGAGCCTCAAGTGAGGCAGTATTTACAGCTCAGTTGGATGGATGCAGCAACTAGGGTAGCTCAAGGGCAGATGAAATAGGATCCAGAATGAGAATGCTGCATCTCTCTTTGCTCTGTCTTCTTTCACATGAGGAATAATTTCTCTCTCTCCCCTCCCTGTCAAATGAGAAGTAGTATTGATTGGTTTGGTACAGTGTATAAAACATGTATCTAATTGAATGTTATTTTGGGAACTATTAGCAGCATTGGCTCTGCCGAGGCCCAAGATTTTGCCTTCTTTCCCTTTTCTCCTCCCCTTCCTTCTCCTCCTCCTTAGTAGCAGCTCCTTAGCAAATTGCAAGCTTTGCCTCTGGCTTGCTGTATAGCAGTGGCAGTGCAAGCCTTTTCCAGTGTCCAAGGGAGACCGGGTGCTGAGACTGCAGTCTTTCCCAGCAGCCACTTACCTTTCTGGCTATTCGTTTCCACGCATCTCTTGACCTTCGTTCTGTTATGCAGGCCTGCTCGAGGAGGTAACAGCCTGTTTTCTTGGAGCGCTCTTTGTCAAAGGGGGCAGAGGGAAAGTAGGGTGGTACAGGGAAAGGCGTACAGAGACAGCAGAGTATAAATGCTGCAATTGGGAAAAAGTAGCTCTAAAGTGTGCTGTATCTGTGGGCTTACTCCTATTTGCTATATCTATAGAACTGTTGTAAAGGTGGGAACCCCAGCACTATATGGCACTATTTAAAGTACCACATATAAAAATGTAAGATTACTCTAATACCACCTCCATGAAGCATAGGAGAAAAATGAGAACTTTGAGAAGAAAATGGAATCAATTGCTTTTAAACTTAGCTGACTAACAAATTGCATTTTTTTTTTTTTTGAGACAGAGTCCCACTCTTGTCGCCCAGGCCGGAGTGCAGTGGTGCGATCTCACTGCAACCTCTGCTTCCCAGGTTCAAGTGAATCTCATGCCTCAGCCTCCCCGGTAGCTAGGATTACAGGTGTAGGCCACTATGCAATTTCTTCTGTTTTTAGTAGAGACATGCTTTCACTGTGTTGGCCAGAATGATCTCAAACTCCTGGCCTCAGGTAATCTGCCCGCCTCGGCCTCCTGAAATGCTGGAATTACAGGCATGAGCCACCGTGCCCAGCCACAAATTGCATTTTTGATGAAATTTTGTTAAGTTTAAGTTTTATGAGTTGGATCTGGTTTTCAGGTTTGAGGAGAGGGCTTGATAATATTGTCTTTTAATTGAATTCTCAGGACTTCTAGAGCTGTGGTGTGCAGTATGGTAATCAGTAGCCATGTGTGGCTACTCAAATTTAAATAATTAAAATTAAATTTAAAATTTAGTTCCTCTTTTAACTGCTCAGTGACCACATGTGACTAGTGGCAACCATATTGGGCTGTGCAGGTATACAACATTTCCATTATTACACAAAGTTCTGTTGGTCAGTATTAAAGAAAGTAACCCATGAAATAAAAGAAATGTAGTATTTGGCCAGACTGAGAATAGACATTTGGTGAGCAGACTTAGAGGCCGTTTGTTCAGAATCAGTATAAATATGGATTCATCATGGTTTAAAGCTAAATGGGATCTTTAAAATTTTAGATTTACCCCTTTGTTTTACAGATGAAGAAACTAGAGTTCCAAGAGATTGATTCACTTAAGATCAAACAAGTAATTAATGGCAGAGCTAAAACTAGAATCCAGGTGCCTGTTCTTTCTATTGTACCATAGTATTAGCCTCCCCTTCCCAATTAGGAACAGCAAGGAAAATTTAAACTAAAATTTACCTCATAGTGTCCTAGCAACTGTAGAGTCAACTGCATCCTCCAAAGAAGAATTTATCCCTGATATTTTTAATGTTTATAGTTTGTTCATGGCAGTCTTATACCATGTTGATGGAAATTTCTAGAAATGTAAAAATCATACTTTCCCAAGAATGGAGTGTTGATTATGACAGATTTTTGGGAAATGTCGGGATGCTAGGAGAAGTTTAATGCAAGACATTGTTATCCATTAGTTCCCGATATTGCAGGATTTGCCAGAAGAAATGTCTTGCTACATAAATCTACATAGCTAGAATACCATGGTACTGAGTGGAGGAAACAGTGTTCATTGTGGTGCAATATAAGAAAAACTATACCGGAAGCAGGAGAACATGGTTAAAATCCCTTTAGGTATATAACATTGTTACCTTGGGTGTTTTAGCATCTCCTTAGGCTTTTATTGACTCATCCGTAAAATAAGAATACATTTTTTGTGTCTACCTGAAGTCTTAGAATTAGATCAAATGACATCTTGAATTCATAAAGTCTGTAGGCATAGGTCTGTGATTCCCATGATCCCCCTAAGTCTGTCCCCCTACCCCCGCCCCCAGTAGCTATCCATATTTACTTCCAGGTTGATATTAAAGAAGGTGTTTTTAGGATGTCTGAAGAACTTTTGTGGATGTAATCTTATGTTAATATACAGGACATTGGCCAGGCATCGTGGCTCATGCCTGTAATCCTAGCACTTTGAGAGGCTGAGCCGGGCAGATCACCTGAGGTCAGGAGTTCGAGACCAGTCTCGCCAACATGGTGAAACTCCGTCTTCTCTATTAAAAAATGCAAAAACTAGCTGAGTGTGGTGGCATGCGCCTGTAGTCCCAGCTACTAGGGAGGCTGAGGTGGGAGGATTGCTTGAACCCAGGAGGCAGAGGTTGCATTGAGCCTGAGATTGTGCCACTGCACTCCAGCTTGGGCAACAGAGTGAGACTCTGTCTCAAAAAAAAAAAAAAAAAGGGCATAGTTCAATCAATAATAAACTATCTTATAAGACCATTAGATATTCTGTAATTAATGACCACAGCATCCTCAGTGGTCAGTATTAGACATATACTATAAAATATTTATATAGTATGTCTTTAATTATATTTTTATATATTATAAGCTATATAATATGTAAATATAGTAAATTTTTATGGCCGGGCTGTGGTGGCTTACCCTGTAATCCCATCACTTTGGGAGTCTGAGGCAGGGGATCACTTGAGGTCAGGAGTTTGACACCAGCCTGGCCAATGTGGTGGAAAACCCGCTCTACTAAAAATACCAAAATTAGCTGGGCCTGGTGGCACATGCCTGTATTTCCAGCTACTCGGGAGGCTGAGGCAGGAGAATCACTTGAACCTGGAAGGCAGAGGTTGCAGTGAGCTGAGATCACGCCACTGCACTCCAGCCTTGGAGACGGAGCAAGACTCTGTCTCAAAAAAAAAAAATTTTTAGTAAGACATATACTATAAGAGACATCTATAAAAGCTATATACTCAACTTAGTTCCTTTCCTGTTTGGAGTGAACATGTTTAAATACCATTCTCTCCTCAACAGATTTGAGGTATAGGACTCTAAAGCTACTTCAAAACCCAATTTCCCATTGGATTCCAGACAAAATTTATTTTGTTATCATTCTAGAGAAAGCAGCGTTGTTCTCTCCTTGGAAATTATGATTATTTCTTTTTTCATTCATCTACTTGGAGTAGTTTTATTTTACTTAGGTAACCCTATGAAGCTTCATGGAGAATATTTCAAGGGAATTAAGTCCTCTTCCAAATGAGTTAGCCATACCTGGTAAAAATAATTAAGGGGAACTCTTTGATTTAGATGTGATGAATATTGTAGCACACCTATCCTTTCTTTATTTTCCAAATTATTACTGATGAGCTTTTAATATGACAATGAAAATAATGTAGTAGTAAGAGTATTGGTCATGATGATAGTAGTTCTGGTCATGGTAGTAGCAGCAAACGTGTGCCAGGTTTTATTCTAAGTGCCTTACATGGGTTTGCATTTTATCTTCACAACTCTATTAATATATCTGTATATATCTATTACAACTGCTCATATCTTCATTGTATAAGAAACTTGGGTATAGAGTGCTTAAATAATTTATCCACAATCACCTACCAAGTAAGTTGAGAAGCCATGGTACAAAACCAGGCAGTATGATTTTTATGCCAGGGTACTTTATCACTACACTATACCTGTATAAAAGGTATAGTTTAGGTCTTTTATCATCATTTATTGTGACTTTTAAAATATTCACTGGTGATTTGCTGGATGTTTTGCACAACTTCCTTTTTCTTTTTCTTTTCTTTTCTTTTTTTTTTTTTGAAACAGTCTCTCACTCTGTCACCCTGGGCTACAGTGCAGTGGTGCAGTGATGGCTCACTGCAGCCTTGACTTCCTGGGCTCAAGCAATTCTCCCAAAACAACTTCTTGAGGCAGAATTTGTCCATTTATAGTGTGCGAAGGGGCAGTATAAACTTTAGAGACAAAGTACAAAGTATATCTGTGAAGTCATGCTTAATTCTCTGTAATCAATTATTTGAATGCCACTGATTGTGTAATCTCAATATCATAACAAATACAAAGAAAAATTCTTCCTGCCCTCTAGGAAACATAATAGATAGAGATGGTAATAAGAGGACTTTGGCATCTGAATTCCTTCCCATGCTACTAAACTGTGAGTGTTAGCCTAGTTTTTTCCAGATGCAGGAGGCAAGGGGATAGATGAGAAGCCATGGCTTCCATTATTTTTATTTCTGTTTTGTGAGACTATATCTGTCTTCTTTGAATAGCAATGAAGAATCCTGTAGCATTCAGATTCATGGATGGCTGCAATGCTTCTCAGAAAAATCAAGGAGTTTGGAGTGAGGGCTTGCTCTACATAGGGGTCAGCAATATTTTTCTATAAAGGGTCAGATAGTGATTATTTTGGCCTTTGCAGGCCATGTTGTCTCTGTTGCAGTTACTAAACTCTTCTCTGTGATTCCAATAAAACTTTATTTACAAAAATGTTGCAGGCCAGATTTGGCCCAAGGTCATAGTTTGCTGACCAGCTGGTCTAGATTTTAGAAAGTGTTACAGAAGGACTTAGTCTCTAATGAAAACGTAGTATAGTATGTCCTCAACGCAGCTATAAGTTAGGCACGTTACTTCTCTGATCTTTCGAATGCCCATCTGAGATAAAGAAAAATAAATGAAAATGTTCCTTCAAAAACATTTACAGTTCAAGTACTGGAATTTATGGGTTTTGTTTTTATATATTTTTTCTTAAATAATAAAACTCTCATATATTGACACAGGCTACAGAGTAATATGTGTGATATTCATAGTATATAGTTTTTATAGTTTTATGGTTTATAAAAAACTATATATAGTTTGTATACTATATATTTACATACAATCTGGACTTATATGCAGTAAAATAAAAATGAGATTATCTCCATGTGGTAGAATTTTAGTTGATTTTTATTTTCATATTTTTGCCTGTTTTTTCCCCCTGGCAAAAAAGTAATGTGATTTCACATGTGTGATTTCAAATATTTAAGATTCCAAGTCAAGTAAAATATTCCTGATCTTACCTACCAGGTTTTTATGAGCTCTGTTTCTCTCATTCAAAAAAACTCTCTAGAGTAGACAGTAGGATAAGGGAGCTTGAGCCCTTTTTCTTTCACTGTGCCTTCTGTACTGTATGCAAAGAAGAGATAAAGATCAAGAATTCAGTAAAATAGTGATACTGTATGTTTTGCAGGTAGAAATAACATATGAGTAGGTTTGCTGGTAATCTAGACAGAACTTCATGGGAAGTTAGTTCTCACCAATTCCAGTATCTGGACTACAGCTTTAGTTTTGGGACTTAATTTTTTTAGTTCACTCAGAGGAGAGGAATATATTAAGGAAATATGCAAACCTACCAAACTACAGTATATTGACACATGTATTGGAATTCCAATTTACTAATTTACCTTGAGGGAAAAAATATGAGTATTAAAAACATTGCCTGGTTGGGTACTTCTGCTTCAGTCTGTGGCATATTTTGTTTATGTAAAATCTCCCACTGAGAATAACTAGAAAAAGCTGGATAAATATAAGAAAAAAGTTTTTGAAGGTACTTGAGAGTTACGAAGCAAGTGAGAACTTGAGGGATCAAGATCCTGGAGAGAAGGAAACCTTAAAAGGGTAAACCCAACATTTGGCTCTACTTTTCCCCTTGAGGTATTTGCTGATTAGTAAAGCAGTGGCTATGAGCCTGAGAAACTGAACAAGATTTTGGTAGTCTCATGGGACTCAGGGAATGATTGGAGTTCAGAAAGAGAGCCTAGCAGATACCCCAGACTTTGATTTAGAACCACTGAAGGGCTACATTCTAAGGACTTACCAGAAATAGACCAGCCCTTGAAAAGACTGAAGCCTAGCTTCCAACCAGCTCAGTATCAAAGTGGATTAAGGTACTTTTCCTTAGTCTCTTGTTTCTTAAAGTGTGGTCCCCAGACCAGCAGTGTCATCTGAACTTATTAGAAATGCAGATTCTCAGACCCCTACACCAGACCTGCTGAATCAGGACCTCTGTTGGTGTGGTACTCAGAAATTTGTATTGCATAAGCCCTCAAAGTGGTTCTGATACAAGTGAAAGTTTAAGAACCACTTCCTTAGCCTAACTGCCAGGGGGAAAAAATATTCTCTCTGAAGGGTAGCAACAACAGTCATGAGTTATCACTCACTACGTTTTTTTATTAAATACGCCTGATGTTAATTTAAAAATTAGCATACATACCAAGAAATAAGAGTTACCAAAAGACCAAAAGAAAAAATAGACAATAGGAACAGGTCCAGATACTGATATTATCAGACATGGACTTTAAAATCATTGTGATTAATATGTTCCAGGAAGTAGATAAGAAGTAGAGATTTTCACCAGAGAACTGCAATCTGTTAAAAACAATCAAGTGGAAATTCTAGAAACAAAAAATCACTGAAATCAAGAAACTCAGTTGGTGAGTTTGCAGTAGTAGACCAGATAAAGAAATGATAGTGAACTGAAAGGTTGGACAGTGGAAAATATCCAGAATGAAGCACAGAGAGATAAAAGGATGCAAAATGCAGAAAAAGCATGATAAATCAGTAGAACATGGCCAGTAAGGTCTAACATAAATGATTGGAGTCCCAAGAGAGGGCAGAAACTAGCTTGATTTTTCACAGAACACCGTTTTTTACTTCAAAGCATTACTGATGGTCAAACAATGGTTATTCACACCTGAGTAATTTGGCAGACATTTTCTTGAAAATAGAGTCAAGCCGTTGAGTATTTGTTGCCAATTAAAAATTTAAACTTTCAAGCAGAAATTAGAATTTTAGAAAACTTATATGCCACCATGAGTAATATTACTGACAGCTTCCCAATACTTAAAGACTGTTCTAAGATCAAAGGTGATATTAAATAATTTATTTTTACTATTATTATATAATGTAGTATGTCAATATTGGGAAGATCTGCTTAATGTAGCAATATTTTACAAATGCACCAATATTTTACAAATGACTTATAAAGATATGTTACAAAATCATGCATGAATAAGAAGATTCTTTGAAAGTATAAGATAGACCAAAGGATTTCAATGTAACAGAATATGAAAAATCTATTAATATATTTTAGAGCAGTGTTCTCCAACCTTTTTGGCACCAGGGACTGGTTTTGTGGAAGACAATTTTTCCACAGACTGGTGGAGGCATGGGGTGTGGGGGACGGTGATGGTTTTGGGTAAAACTGTTCTGCAGATCATCAGGCATTAGTTAGATTCTCATAAGGCATGCACAACCTAGATTCCTGGCATGGGCAGCTCACAATAGGGTTCACGTCCCTATGAGAATCTAATGCCGTGGCTGATCTGACAGAGGGCAGAGCTCAGGCATCAATGCTCACTCGCTCACCTCCTGCTGTACAGCGTGGTTCCTAACAGGCCACAGATCAGTCCTGTTCTGCAGCCCGGGAGTTGGGGACCCCTGTTTTAGAGTATACATTGTAATTAACCACCACTTGTGTTGGTGTAGCATCAAAGAAAAATATCTCCCAATTATCTGAGAAAGCTATCACAATACTCCTCGCTTTTCCAACTATGTATTTGTGAAAGACTAGTCTTTATATATTTTAACCAAAACAATATATTGACTGCATAAAGAGATAAGAGGATCCCACTGTCTTCTATTAAACCAACATTAAAGAAATTTATGAAAATGTAAAACAATGCCACTCTTCTAATTTTTTGTTTTGGAAGATATAGTTTTTTTAATAAAAAATAATATTGATGTTAAAATGTATTAGGGCTATTATTTTCTTTTTTATTTTAAAATTTATTTGACACATAACTACATATTTATGGAGGTACAGTTTGATGTTTCGATGCATATCTATGTTGTATAATGATCTAATCAGAGTAGTTAGTATATTCATCATCCATGCATTTATCATTTCCTTGTGGTAAGAACATTCAAAAGCAACTGTTTTACCTATTTTGTAATATACAATATTTTGCTTTTAACCATAGTCACCTTACTCTGCAATAGAACATCAGAATTTATTCCCTCTGTCTAATTATAACTTTGAACCATAAACCAACCTCTCCCCATCCTTCTCTCACCTCTTCCCTCCCCAGTCTCTTGTAACCACTGTTCTACTCTCTGATTTTATGATATCAACTGCCCCCACCTTTTTTTAGATTGCACATATTAGTGAGATCATGCAGTATTTTTTTTTCTGTGTCTGGCTTATTTCACTTAACCTGATATTCTCCAGGTTCATCTGTGTTGTTGCAAATGACAAGATTTTGTTCTTCTTTTTAATGGATGGATACTGTTCCATTCTGGATATAAACATTTTCTTTACCCATTCTTCCATTTTTGAGGACTCAGTTTCATATTTTTGTTAATGTAAATAGTGCTGCCATAAACAGGTAATGCAGATAACTCTTCAATATACTAATTTCCTTTCCTGTAGATGTGTACACAGTAGTGGGATTGCTGAATCATATGGTAGTTCTATTTTTAAGTTTTAAAGGAACCTCCATACTGTTTTCCACAATGGCTGTACTAGCTTACAGTCCCACCAACTTATGTAAGTGTTCCCCTTTTCTTCACATCCCTGCCAAGACTGGTTTTCTTTTGTCTTTTTGATAATGGTCATTCTAAGTCGTGTGAAATGGTACCTATTGTGGTTTTGATTTTCATTTCCCTGATGGTTTGTGATGTTGACCATTTTTTCATATATTCATTAGCCATTTGTATGACTTCTTTTGAGAAGTAAATGTCTGTTAAGGTATTTTGCCCATTTTTAAAATCAGGTTTTTGTTTTTTTGTTTTGTTTGCTGCTAAGTCCCGTATATATTCTGGATATTAACTCCTTGTCAGATGTATAGTTTGCAAGTTTTCTTTCCCATCCTTTAGGTTGTCTGTTTACTCTGTTTAATAGTTTCCTTTGCTATGGAAAAGCATTTTAGTTTGTTGCAATCTCATTTGTCCATTTTTGCTTTTGTTTTCTATGCTTTTGAAGTCTTATTTAAAATATCCTAGCTTAGCCCAATGTCATGAAGCATTTCTCCTATGTTATATTCTAGGTAGTTCCACAGTTTTGGGTTTCCATGTTAAGTCTCTAATCTACTTTGAATTGATTCTTGTATGTGGTGAGAGGTAGGGATTTACTCTCATTCTTCTGCATGTTGATGTCCCACTTTCCCAGCAGCATTTATTGAAGAAACAGTTTCTCCCCTAATGTGTGTTCGTGGCACCTTTGTCAAAAATCAGTTGGCTTTAGGTATGTCAATTTATTTCTGGGCTTTCTATTCTGTTCCATTGGTCTATGTGTCTGTTTTTATGCCAGTACTATTCTGTTTTTGTTATTATACGTTTGTAGTATATTTTTAAGTTATGTAGTGTGATGCTTCCAGCTTTCCACTCAGAATTGCTTTGGCTGTTCTTTTTTTTTTTCTGGTTTCATATGAATTTTAGGATTTTGTTTTATTTTTATGAAGAACACCTTTTTTTTTTTTTTTTGACATGGAGTCTTGCTCTGTTGCCCAGGCCAGAATGCAGTAGGTGCAATCTTGGCTAAGATATTAACAAGAAATTACAAAAGATAGAGAACTGGAAAGACAAACCTATGGAAGAGCTTCTAAGAGAAACCCAAAAAGTATATGAAAAAAGAGAGAAAGACTGACAGAGGGAACAGAGGAAGTCTGCACCCAAAATCCCAGTGAGTAGTTTGGCAGGAACGACGGTTACAGAACAGGTGACTCAGGATGACTCAGGTCAGAGCAGGCGACCAGGGGTGACTCAGGACAGAGCAGGTGATAGAGGCTAGGAGGGGGTTGTGTACTGAAGCTAGAGGCAAGAGGGCGAAGAGAACCAGGAAGTTAAGCTTTAAAATGGAGAATAGAGAATAAGAGAGCTCAATATACTGGCATACTGATTCCTTGAAGAGAAACTTGTAGTTCACTACATTTGACACCTACTGTTATAGTATTACAGTCTATCTCTCCCTTTACCTCTAATAATATTTGCTTTATATATCTGGGTGCTCTGGTCTTGGATGGATGTATGTATTTATAGTTTTTATATCCTCTTGCTTAATTGTACCCTTTATCAATGTCTAATGACTTTCTTTGTCCTCTTTTACAGTTTTTGACTTAAAGTCTGTTTTATCTGACATGGTTACTCCTGCTCACTTGGTTTCCATTTGCATGGAATATCTTTTTCCCTCCCTTTACTTTTAGTCTATGTTTGTCTTTAATGGTTAGGTGAGTCTGTTTTAGGCAGTATATGGTTGGGTCTTGTTTTTAATCCATTCAGCCACTCTGTATCTTTTAAGTGGATAATTTAATCCATTTATATTTAAGCTTATTATTGATAAAGAAGATCTTACTCCTCCCATTTTGTTAATTTTTTTTCTGGTGGTTTTATAGATCCTTCGTTCCTTTCTTCCTCTTTTATTTACTTCTGTGGTTTGGTGGTTTTCTGTAGTACTGAGCTTTGTTTCCTTTCTCTTTCTTGTTTGTGCCACTGCAGTAATTTCTTTCTTTCTTTGTGGCTACCATGGGGCTAACATTAAACGTCTTATAGTAGAATGTTTTAAGCTGATAGCAACTTAACTTTGGTTGCATTAAAATGCTCTAGACTTCTCTTTTTTGTTTCTGTAATTACTTTTTTACCTGTGATTGTGTTCCTTAGCTACTAATTGTAACTGTCAGGAGTTTTGACCATTTTGACTTTAAACCTTCATACTAGAGGACTGAGAGACTTACATAGCACCATTAAATCACTGGGCTAGTCTGAATTTGATTTATGAACTTACCTCTATTGGTGAGTTTTATACTTTTACATCTTTTCATGAAAATAATTATAATCTTTTATTTCCAGTTATACCATTCTCTTAAGTATTTCTTGTAAGGCTAGTCTAGTGGTGATGGTTTTTTCTCAGCTTTTGCTTGTCTGCGAAGGTCTTTATTTTTCCTTCATTGGTGGATGATAGCTCTGCTGGATATAGTAGTCTTGGCTGACAGGTTTGTTTTTTTCCCCCAAACACTTTGAATGTATTATCTCATTCTCTCCTGGCCTACAAGGTTTCTCCTGAGAAATCCAGGGGTACAGCGCTGCTGCTTGACCAACTATCAGGCCAAGCATGGGTACAGCAGGGCCACACAACCCTGCAGTGATCTGTCTTTGGGGCAGGGCTGCTGCTAAACTGGCTGTCAGGCACAGTGGTGTGTGGCCACAGCAGGGCTGGGTGGTTCTGCAGCGGTCTGAGGGGTGGAACCACGGTAGAACTGGTTGTTGGGCTGGATGTGGGTGTGCATAGGTTCAGCTGGCAAGCTAGCTGTGCAGTGCAGGTATGTACCGGTGAGGGGACTGGCCAGCAGTTAGGCAGTTTCCCCCATGTGCAGGTTTGGCTGTTCCTGGGGTTGGGAGGGTATTGTACCACATGGGTTCAAGTGCAGAGGTCTCAGTTGTTGCATCTGACTAGGCTTCAGGCAGCTAGGATTGTAGTGCTACAGGCGCCTGTGTGAACATGGTAGAGTGATGGCAGGGCTACATGAATGGAGAAAGTCCATTCTTGTACCGGACTACAGGGAAGGGCACATTCTAGTAGTAGGTCCAGTTTCAAGATGATACTGAGTAGCAGCAGCTTAGGATGTGAGGGTGGGGGGCAGGGGGTGCTCAAGGTGAGCTCCTACTCTAGGCAAAGTTAACTGTATGAACTCTACTCTCCAAACTGGATTCAGGGCCTTTGAGGACAGAGGGACTCTCCTATAGCAAGAATTTCTGGCATTTATGGTAGCAATGGGGATCACTGGTGATCTCCAGCTTACGTTTTTCCCTTAAGAAGCCCCCTCTGGCTCCAGGCTGATCCTGGTAGGGGAGACAGTGTGGCAGAAGCAGAATACCTTGCTCCCCTCTCTATGGTGCTGCCCTGGGCTTTTGTCTTCCACAGGGATTTTGCTGTTCCCCTGGTGCTCTCCCGAGTACTTCTTTGGTCATTTTAATTGAAATATCGTTGTTTATTCATTGTTTTGGTCCCTTTTTGTGGAGAGGATGGGCTTTAGGTAACTCAATTTGGCCATCCTGCTGACATCACTCCATCTTATCTAGGGCTATTTTAATATTATTATTATTGTTATTGTTATTTGAGACAAGGTCTGGCTCTGTCAACCAGGCTGAAGTGCAGTGGTATATTCTCAGCTCACTACAACCTCTGCCACCCAGGCTTAAGCCGTCCTCCCATCTCAGCCTCATGAGTAGGTGGGACTACAGGCACATGCCACTGCACCTGGCTAATTTTTGTATTTTTTGAAGAGACGAGGTTTTGCCATGTTGCCCAGGCTGGTCTCAAACTCCTGGGCTCAAGCCAGCTACCCGCCTGGGCCTCCCAAAGTGTTGGGATTACAGGCATGAGCTACTGCTCCTGGCTGCTATTATTTTTAAATAAATTAATAAATACATTTTTTAATTTTTAAATTTTAATTTCTAGTAAGATAAATATTAATCCCCATATAAACAAAAGCTTTCTGGGGTTCTCAATAATTTTAAAAAATATTAAAGGATCTTGAGACCAAAACAATTTGAAAGCCACTGCTCTAGATATTAAAATAACAAATGTATTCTAAGGGTATTATTAACAACTTTATGCCACTAAATGTGATAATACAGACAAAATGGAAAATTTCTTAAAAAACAATTACCAAAACAGAAAATTTGAATAAGCCTAACTCTATTAAAGACATTGAACCCTTTATTTAAAACTTTCCCATAAGGGCTGGACACAGTGGCTCACACCTATAAACCAGCACTCTGGGAAGTCAAGGTGGGAGGATCGCTTGAGCTCAGGAGTTCAAGATCAGCCTAGGCAACATAGCGAGACCTCATCTCTACTAAAAATAAAAAAAAGTTAGCCAGGTGTGGTGGCGTGCACCTGTAGTCCCAGCTACTTGCAAAGGCTGAGGAGGGAAAATTGCCTGAGTCCAGGAAATCAAGGCTACAGTCAGCTATGATCACGCCACTGTACTCCAGCATGGGCAACGAAGTAAGACTCTGTCTCAAAAATAAAAAACAAAACCTTCCCACAAGGAACACTGTAAACCCAGATGACTTGATTAGTGAACACTTCCAATCATTTAAGGAGGAAATAACCCAAATCTTACACAAATTCTTACAGAAATAGACATGTAGAGAACACTCACAATTCACATAACCTTAATTCACAAAGCTGACCAGCATATTACAAGAAGGGAAAATTATAAGCCAATTTCTTTCATGAATGTGGTAGAAATTCTAAACTAAATAATAGTGAATATGTTTAAAAATCTATATAAAAAGATGGTACATCTTGACCAAGTTGAGCTTGTCCCAAGAATTCAGTGTTGCTTTATCATTCAAAAATTATTCAATGTAATTCACCTTCCTGACAGAAAAAAGGAGAAAAGCAATCATCTCAATATATGGGGAAGAATAGCATGTGATAAAGTTCAACATACACTAATGATTAAAAAACAACGAGAAACCCTCTTAGCCTGTTTTCTGTAGGAATAGAAGGGAATTGCTTTAATTTGATGAGTGGTATCTGCATAAATCTTACAACAAACATTACACTTAATGAAAAAATGCTGAAAGCATTCTCTTTGATGGCAGGATTACAGAGAATGAAAACTTACTATCATCACTGCTTTTCAGCATGTCCTAGAGATTCCTAGCCAAAGCATTAAGGCAAGAAAAGAAATAAAAATTGGAAGGATGGGAAAGAAGAAATAAAATTCTCATTTTACAGATGACATGATTCTGTGTGAACAGTAATACATTTAAAAACACAATAGTCCCGTTATCCATGGGAGATACATTTCTTTTTTTTTTTTTTTTTTTTTTTTTTTTTTTTTGAGACCTAGTTTCACTCGTCACCCAGGCTGGAGTGCAGTGGTGCAATCTCAGCTCACTGCAACCTCGGCCTCCAAGTTGAAGTGATTCTTTTGTCTCAGCCTCCTGAGTAGCTGGGATTACGGGTGCCCACCAGCACACCTGGCTAATTTTTGTATTTTTAATAGAGACAGGGTTCCAGCATGTTGGTCAGGTTGGTCTCGAACTCCTGACCTGAGGTGATCCTCCTACCTTGGCCTCCCAAAGTGCTGGGATTATAGGTGTGAGCCACCGCACGATACCTTTCAAGACTTCCAGTGGATGATTGAACCTACAGATAGTACAGAACCCTATATAAATACAATTTGTCCTATAAATACATACCTACACTAAAGTTTAATTTATAATTAGGCACAGTAAGAGATTAGCAATAATATTAATAACTAATAATAAAATAGACAGTTATAACAAAATGCCAGCATCACTACTCTTGCACTTTGGGGCCATTATTAAGTAGAATACGGATTAGTTGAACATAAACACTGTGATATCACAACAGTGCATGATTTGCATCTCAGGAGGGACAGAATGGAACAGCATGAAATTTCACCACGCTATTCAGAACAGTGCACAATTGAAAATGTATGAATTGTTTATTGATGGAAGTTTTCATTTAATATTTTCAGACCACAGTTCACCATGGGCTACTGAAACCACAAAAAGCAAAACCACAGATAAGGGGAGCAACTGTAATAACTTGGATTCTGTAATGTTTGCTGATGGTTGATAGCATATCTGTCACTTTGACTTTGCTTAAGTTCATTCCTAGAATGTAGAAATCTCTTCAATACATGGAAACACTTTGTCATTCCTCAAGTATATTCAGCAAAGATCTTCCTTTTGCTATTACTTTTTTTTTCTCTGCAGGTCCTATCTGACTCCTGTACAGGATAAGGAAGCAGAGTTTTAAGGACAGCACGCTCCAGACAAGCTCGGCAGACACGAAGGTCTACTCAAGTGAGTGTGGCTTTTTTTAAAATGTCATTTTGTCTATCTACCCTTCTGTTGGAGGTACAATGAAAACACACTGCTTTCTACATATGGCTAGCCAGTTTTCCCAGCACCATTTATTAAATAGGGAATCCTTTCCCCGTTGCTTGTTTTTCTCAGGTTTGTCAAAGATTAGATAGTTGTAGATATGTGTCGTTATTTCTGAGGGCTCTGTTCTGTTCCATTGATCTATATCTCTGTTTTGGTACCAGTACCATCCTGTTTTGGTTACTGTAGCCTTGTAGTATAGTTTGAAGTCAGGTAGCGTGATGCCTCCAGCTTTGTTCTTTTGGCTTAGGATTGACTTGGCAATGTGGGCTCTTTTTTGGTTCCATGTGAACTTTAAAGTAGTTTTTTCCAATTCTGTGAAGACAGTGATTGGTAGGTTGATGGGGATGGCATTGAATCTGTAAATTACCTTGGACAGTATGGCCATTTTCACGATATTGATTCTTCCTACCCATGAGCATGGAATGTTCTTCCATTTGTTTGTATCCTCTTTTATTTCATTGAGCAGTGGTTTGTAGTTCTCCTTGAAGAGGTCCTTCACGTCCCTTGTAAGTTGGATTCCTAAGTATTTTATTCTCTTTGAAGCAATTGTGAATGGGAGTTCACTCATGATTTGGCTCTCTGTTTGTCTGTTATTGGTGTATAAGAATGCTAGTGATTTTTGTACATTGATTTTGTATCCTGAGACTTTGCTGAAGTTGCTTATCAGCTTAAGGAGATTTTGGGCTGAGACAATGTGGTTTTCTAGATATACAATCATGTCGTCTGCAAACAGGGACAATTTGACTTCCTCTTTTCCTAATTGAACACCCTTTATTTCCTTCTCCTGCCTAATTGCCCCGGCCAGAACTTCCAAAACTATGTTGAAAAGGAGTGGTGAGAGAGGGCATCCCTGTCTTGTGCCAGTTTTCAAAGGGAATGCTTCCAGTTTTTGCCCATTCAGTATGATATTGGCTGTGGGTTTGTCATAGATAGCTCTTATTATTTTGAAATACGTCCCATCAATACCTAATTTATTGAGAGTTTTTAGCATGAAGAGTTGTTGAATTTTGTCAAAGGCCTTTTCTGCATCTATTGAGATAATCATGTGGTTTTTGTCTTTGGTTCTGTTTATATGCTGGATTACATTTATTGATTTGCATATATTGAACCAGCCTTGCATCCCGGGGATGAAGCCCACTTGATCATGGTGGATAAGCTTTTTGATGTGCTGCTGGATTTGGTTTGCCAGTATTTTATTGAAGATTTTTGTGTCAATGGTCATCAAGGATATTGGTCTAAAATTCTCTTTTTTGGTTGTGTCTCTGCCCAGCTTTGGTATCAGGATGATGCTGGCCTCACAAAATGAGATAGAGAGGATTCCCTCTTTTTCTATTGATAGGAATAGTTTCAGAAGGAATGGTACCAGTTCCTCCTTGTACCTCTGGCAGAATTCGGCTGTGAATCCAACTGGTCTGGACTCTTTTTGGTTGGTAAGCTATTGATTATTGCCACAATTTCAGATCCTGTTATTGGTCTATTCAGAGATTCAACTTCTTCCTGGTTTAGTCTTGGGAGAGTGTATGTGTCAAGGAATTTATCCATTTCTTCTAGATTTTCTAGTTTATTTGCGTAGAGGTGTTTGTAGTATTCTCTGATGGTAGTTTGTATTTCTGTGGGATCAGTGGTGATACCCCCTTTATCATTTTTTATTGCATCTATTTGATTCTTCTTTTTTTCTTTGTTAGTCTTGCTAGCGGTCTATCAATTTTGTTGATCCATTCAAAAAACCAGCTCCTGGATTCATTAATTTTTTGAAGGGTTTTTTGTGTCTCTATTTCCTTCAGTTCTGCTCTGATTTTAGTTATTTCTTGCCTTCTGCTAGCTTTTGAATGTGTTTGCTCTTGCTTTTCTAGTTCTTTTAATTGTGATGTTAGGGTGTCAATTTTGGATCTTTCCTGCTTTCTCTTGTGGGCATTTAGTGCTATAAATTTCCCTCTACACACTGCTTTGAATGCGTCCGAGAGATTCTGGTATGTTGTGTCTTTGTTCTCGTTGGTTTCAAAGAACATCTTTATTTCTGCCTTCATTTCGTTATGTACCCAGTAGTCATTCAGGAGCAGGTTGTTCAGTTTCCATGTAGTTGAGCGGCTTTGAGTGAGATTCTTAATCCCGAGTTCTAGTTTGATTGCACTGTGGTCTGAGAGATAGTTTGTTATAATTTCTGTTCTTTTACATTTGCTGAGGAGAGCTTTACTTCCAACTATGTGGTCAATTTTGGAATAGGTGTGGTGTGGTGCTGAAAAAAATGTATATTCTGTTGATTTGGGGTGGAGAGTTCTGTAGATGTCTATTAGGTCTGCTTGGTGCAGAGCTGAGTTCAATTCCTGGGTATCCTGGTTGACTTTCTGTCTCGTTGATCTGTCTAATGTTGACAGTGGGGTGTTAAAGTCTCCCATTATTAATGTGTGGGAGTCTAAGTCTCTTTGTAGGTCACTCAGGACTTGCTTTATGAATCTTGGTGCTCCTGTATTGGGTGCATATATATTTAGGATAGTTAGCTCCTCTGGTTGAATTGATCCCTTTACCATTATGTAATGGCCTTCTTTGTCTCTTTTGATCTTTGTTGGTTTAAAGTCTGTGTTATCAGAGACTAGGATTGCAACCCCTGCCTTTTTTTGTTTTCCATTTGCTTGGTAGATCTTCCTCCATCCTTTTATTCTGAGCCTATGTGTGTCTCTGCATGTGAGATGGGTTTCCTGAATACAGCACACTGATGGGTCTTGACTATTCAATTTGCCAGTCTGTGTCTTTTAATTGGAGCATTTAGTCCATTTACATTTAAAGTTAATATTGTTATGTGTGAATTTGACCCTGTCATTATGATGTTAGCTGGTGATTTTGCTCGTTAGTTGATGCAGTTTCTTCCTAGTCTCAATGGTCTTTACATTTTGGCATGATTTTGCAGTAGCTGGTACCGGTTGTGCCTTTCCATTTTTAGTGCTTCCTTCAGGAGCTCTTTTAGGGCAGGCCTGGTGGTGACAAAATCTCTCAGCATTTGCTTGTCTGTAAAGTATTTTATTTCTCCTTCACCTATGAAGCTTAGTTTGGCTGGATATGAAATTCTGGGTTGAAAATTCTTTTCTTTAAGAATGTTGAATATTGGCCCCCACTCTCTTCTGGCTTATAGAGTTTCTGCGGAGAGGTCAGCTGTTAGTCTGATGGGCTTCCCTTTGTGGGTAACCTGACCTTTCTCTCTGGCTGCCCTTAACATTTTTTCCTTCATTTCAACTTTGGTGAATCTGACAATTATGTGTCTTGGAGTTGCTCTTCTCGAGGAGTATCTTTGTGGTGTTCTCTGTATTTCCTGAATCTGAATGTTGGCCTGCCTTACTAGATTGGGGAGGTTCTCCTGGATAATATCCTGCAGAGTGTTTTCCAACTTGGTTCCATTCTCCCCATCACTTTCAGGTACACCAATCAGACGTAGATTTGGTGTTTTCACATAGTCCCATTTTTCTTGGAGGCTTTGTTCGTTTCTTTTTATTCTTTTTTCTCTAAACTTCCCTTCTCGCTTCATTTCATTCATTTCATCTTCCATCACTGATACCCTTTCTTCCAGTTGATCGCATCGGCTCCTGAGGCTTCTGCATTCTTCACGTAGTTCTCGAGCCTTGGCTTTTAGCTCCATCAGCTCCTTTAAGCACTTCTCTGTATTGGTTATTCTAGTTATATATTCATCTAAAGTTTTTTCAAAGTTTTTAACTTCTTGGCCTTTGGTTTGAATTTCCTCCTGTAGCTCAGAGTAGTTTGATCGTCTGAAGGCTTCTTCTCTCAACTCATCAAAGTCATTCTCCCTCCAGCTTTGTTCCATTGGTGGTGAGGAACTGTGTTCCTTTGGAGGAGGAGAGGCACTCTGCTTTTTAGAGTTTCCAGTTTTTCTGCTCTGTTTTTTTCCCCATCTTTGTGGTTTTATCTACTTTTGGTCTTTGATGATGGTGATGTACAGATGGGTTTTTGGTGTGGATGTCCTTTCTGTTTGTTAGTTTTCCTTCTAACAGACAGGACCCTCAGCTGCAGGTCTGTTGGAGTTTGCTAGAGGTCCACTCCAAACCCTGTTTGCCTGGGTATCAGCAACGGTGTCTGCAGAACCGCGGATTTTCGTGATCCTCTAATGCTGCTGTCTGATCGTTCCTCTGAAAGTTTTGTCTCAGAGGAGTACCCGGCTGTGTGAGGTGTCAGTCTGCCCCTACTGGGAGGTGCCCCCCAGTTAGGCTGCTCGGGGGTCAGGGGTCAGGGACCCACTTGAGGACGCAGTCTGCCTGTTCTCAGATCTCCAGCTGCCTGCTGGGAGAACCACTGCTCTCCTCAACACTGTCAGACAGGGACATTTAAGTCTGCAGAGGTTACTGCTGTCTTTTTGTTTGTCTGTGCCCTGCCCCCAGAGGTGGAGCCTACAGAGGCAGGCAGAACTGCTTGAGCTGTGGTGGGGTCCACCCAGTTCGAGCTTCCAGGCTGCTTTGTTTACCTAAGCAAGCCTGGGCAATGGCGGGCGCCCCTCCGCCAGCCTCACTGCCACCTTGCAGTTTGATCTCAGACTGCTGTGTTAGCAATCAGCGAGACTCCGTGGGTTTAGGACCCTCGGAGCCAGGTGCGGGATATAATCTCCTGGTGCGTCGTTTCCTAAGCCCATCGAAAAAGCGCAGTATTTGGGTGGGAATGGCCCAATTTTCCAGGTGCCGTCTGTCACCCCTTTCCTTGACCAGGAAAGGGAACTAACTCCCTGACCCCTTGAGCTTCCCGAGTGAGGCAATGCCTCGCCCTGCTTCGGCTGGCGTGCGGTGCGCTGCACCCACTGTCCTGCACCCACTATCTGGCACTCCCTAGTGAGACGAACCCGGTACCTCAAATGGAAATGCAGAAATCCCCCGTCTTCTGTGTCGCTCGTGCTGGGAGCTGTAGACCGGAACTGTTCCTATTTGGCCATCTTGGCTCTAGTCCCAAAACACACTGCAATATCCATGTTCAACTGCTGATTTAAACACACAGACACACACACACGCACACGGCTTGGCATGGTGGCTCACACCTGTAATCCCAGCAATTTGTGAGGCCAAGGAGTTGAGACCAAGAGCATTCCTGACTTGAGGTCAGGAGTTCAAGACAAGCCTGGCCAACGTGGTGAATCCCTGTCTCTACTAAAAATATGAAAATTAGCCAGGCATGGTGGTGTGTGCCTGTAATTTCAGTTACTTGGGAGGATGAGGTGGGAGAATTGCTTGAACCTGGGAGGCAGAAGAAGTTCCAGTGAGCCAAGATTGCTCCACTGCCCTCCTGCGTGACAGAGCGAGACTCCATCTCAAAAAAACAAGACAAAGCAAAACACACACATAAAAATGACTGCCCTATTCCAGCCAGTCTTAAAAGCTTTCACTGTGTTGAATCTTATACTACATAGAACCAAATGAATTTACATCTACATCTACCCATTTCACCAATATTCCTCCAGGCTTAGAACAGGTTTATCTCTTTTCCTTCACAGGATTAATTATTTCACTTGTGCTTAAAGACCTTAAGAATCCCTATACATCCCTATATCCCTACTACATTTTAAGAATCCGTAAGGGAAAAGAGTTTGGCAATTCCTCAAAATTTTAAACTTAGAGTTACCATTTGACTCAGCAGTTCTACTCAAGAGAAATGAAAACATATGTTCATATAAAAACTTGTATATAGGTGTTTGTAATAGTATTATTCATAATAGCCAAAAAGTAACAATAAGCCAAATGTCTATTTACTAATGAATGGGTAAACCAAATGTGATAAATCCATACTATTTGGCAATAAAAAAAATGAAGTACTGATACATGTTACAACATGGATGAACCTTAAGAAAACATTATGCTAAGTTAAAAAAGGCCAGACACAAAACACTCCATATATTATATGATTCCATTTATATGAAATGTCCCAAATAGGCAAATCCAAAGAGACAGAAATTAGATTAGTGCCAGGGCTGGGGGGAAGGCAGAATGGTGAGTACGCGGTTTCTTTTTGGGGTGATGAAAATTACGAAATTAGATGTGATAATTTTATAACTCTGTGAATAAACTAAACACCAAGGAATTGTATACTTTCAAATGGTGATTATGATATGAGGATTGTATTTTAATAAAGATGTTACAAAAGGAATCCCTGAAGGAGTCATTGAAGCAGTTTAAGGGAATATGATATAGTCTACATTATAGGTTAGAAAAATCACCCTGCAGATAATTGATGGGAATGGTAGGTAGAGGTATGTTTGCCAAGCCTGGAAGCAAGAAGACTTGCTGGGAACTGTATTGTAGTCCAAGTTGTATTGTAGTCCCAGGAAATTACAAGGGTATGAAATCAAGTTGTAATGGCAGTGAAAATTGAGAGAAGGCTATGAATTTGTTATTTAAAGAAGCAAAGAAAGATAAGCCCATGAAACAGAATGAAAAGAAGCAGCAGGAGCAGTTGAAAAGAAAATCAGAAAATAGTAGCAGCATGGAAGTGAATGAAAAGTCCATTTCCAGTGAAAAGGAGAAGTTCCACAGTTTTAAATACTACAGAGGTCAAGTAGCAAATTTTACCACTGGAAAAGAGACATTATATATGGCAGCAAAAACACCCTTGTTGTCTTTCTTGACTCTCCCAAAGTAGGTCATGTATTCTTCCTTTATTTGTACTTGATGATTATTTGTCTGTTTCCTCCATTAGAATGTAACCCCTAAGAGAACCAAGACTGACTGTTTTTTTGTTTTGTTTTATTGTGGTGAAATATATGTAACATAAAACTTACCAGTTTTACCATTTTTAAGTTTACAGTTTAATGGCATTAAGTACATTTATATTGTTGTATAACTATCGCCACCATTCATCTCTAGAACTTTCTTCCTCTTCCCAAACTGAAACTCTGTATCCATTAAATAATCACTCCCCATTTCCCTCTGGCAATGCTGCTTCCACTTTCTGTCTATGAACTTGACTATGCTAGGAACCTCAAATAAGTAGAATCATATAGTAGTTGTCCTTTTGTGTCGTATTTTACTTAGCATAGTTATCAGGGTTCATCCATATTGTAGCATGTGTCAGAGTTCCTCCCTCCTAAAGGATGAATATTTCAGCCTTTTATGGATACTGCATTTTGTGTATCCATTCATCTGTCAGTAGACATTGGGTTGCTTCCACCTTTTGGCTGTTTAATGCTGCTATGAGAATGGCTATACAAATATCTCCCTGAAACCCTGCTTTCAATTCTTTTCAGTATATACTGAGAAATGGAATTTGCTGGATCATATGGTAATTCAATTTTTAATTTTCTGAGGAACTGCCATACTGTTTTCCTTAGCGGCTGTACCATTTTATGTTCCCATCAGCAGTGCACAAGGGTTCTAATTTTTCCATATCCTCACCAATATTTTTGTTGTTGTTGTTGTTGTTTGCTCTTGTCACGCAGGCTGGGGTGCGATGGTGTGATCTTGGCTCACTGCAACTTCTGCCTCAGGGTTCAAGCAATTCTACTGCCTCAGCCTCCCAAGTAGCTGGGATTACAGGCGCCCATCACCACACCTGGCTAATTTTTGTATTTTTAGTAGAGATGGGGTTTCACCATGTTAGTCAGGCTGGTCTTGAACTCCTGACCCCAAGTGATCTACCCACCTTGGCCTTTCAAGGTGCTGAGATTACAGGTGTTAGCCACCATGCCCAGCCTGTTTTTTTTGGTAATAACCATCCTAATGGGTGTGAAAAAGAAGACTGACTATACTTTTGCTCATCTTTTCCACCATCATACAGTAAATAAATCAATATATATTTATTGAATAAATAAATGAGTGAGAAATAAATGATAGGGGAAGATAAATTGCTGTGGAATGATTTCAAGTTTGTTTATGAAGGAATGGGAGAAGATAGGGAAGTTGCCGGAGAGGGGCATAGAATTGAAGGTGGGAGAGACAGGAACATGGAAACGTCTTAGAGGGAAAGATTCAGCAGAGAGGGAGTGAAGGTCCATGTCAAAACTTGAATAGATCTTTGAACTCCTTGAAATGTGTACATAATTTTTGAGGAGATTTTATTAGATTCTCAGTAGTCTTCATGAGATTCTCAAAGGGACCACCAACTCCCAAAGAAAGTAAAATCTAAGCTTCTTAGCATAGCTTACAAAATCTATTATGACCTAGCCTCTGCCTGCTTTCTTAAAATCACCTATCCTCATTCTCTCTCTCTCTTCCAACTTTCCTTTTTTTGTTGTGGGCTTCATCTTTGCTAAGTTACCTGCAGATTCCTAAATCATCCATGGCCTCTCTCGTTTCCATATCTTTGTACAGGATCCCTCTACCTATAATGCCTTTTCTCCCTCCCCCTACCCAAGTTCTTTTTACTCTTTAAAACCCAGTGTTCGATATTCCTCTTATATACTCTTGTGTTTCTGTTTTAATACTTACATTCTCTCATTATACTCATCTGTTTTCTTACATCTTTTCTGCTAGAATAAAAGGTTCTTGACAGTAACCATTGGATTTGTCTTTGTAGTTCTAGTGCCTAAAGACACCTAATTCTTTATTAACAGAATGAGTAAGTAAATGAATTAATAGTAAAAAAGCTGGGGGTGGGGAGGGGAAGCAAGCTGTGGATACAGTGCCTGATCAACTACCTTCCAGCTTTGGAACTTCCTTCTTCTGAGGACTCATGCACATAACTACTTGAGTTGGAATCAGCTCATGCTCTTTCTAAACTCCTTTTCTCTCTTCTCCTGTAGTTTTGTCATCATTTGCCTTTCTTCTGTCTTGCTGCCCCTGTGACACTGCGGGGGGGAGCATTAATTGTTGGAATATCCCTATATGATTCCTAGAGTTACTTGGGAATTCATATTAAAGAAAAGCTAGTCTAGGAGTTTTAAGAGGTTATGTTGTTGTTATCATAGCCTAGCTCTGAATTTTCATCTTGTTGAGCCAGGTTTTTCTTTTTTTAAGTGAATTTTTTTTCCCGGTATCTGCTGTTTAGGGAATCTCTGTTGGTAACCATTTGATCTTGGGAGGGTAGAGACCTTTCAAATAAAGATACTGAGAACTATTTGGTATGGGAAAAGTACATCTATAACAGGCAGACATCAATGTTGACCTGTTTTCTGGAGATCAAACCAGAAAAAAGAAAGTATTACATTTAAAATGTACCTAGACTCAGGCCCGGGTTCTTTGTACACTGAGATGCTTATTTTAAGCATATATTGCTTGAAGTGGCCTCATTATGCATTTTGAGGGGCTTCATTTTGGAATTTGACAACTATTAGATCTTTTTGGGAATACTTCTGATCAATGAAGAGTTATTCCATGGTTAGTGTGAAACAGCCCTGATCTTGTGATATTTTCCCAGGGTGTCACCCTAGCAGACCTTCAAGAAGCAGAAAGGACATTCAGCCAGTCGAGGGCAGAGAGGCAAGCTCAGGAGCAGCCTCGTGAGAAGCCTACAGACACTGAAGGGCTTGAGGGGAGCCCTGAGAAGCATGAGACCTAAGCAGTTCCTGCAACAGAAGCTGGGGAGGGCCAGCAGCCCTGGGGCAGGAGTCTGGATGAAGAGGTGAGCTCATTTTTGCTCGCATGTAATGTGCTAAAAGCAGGGTAATTAGTTTGGGGAGTATCTTCTTCACTGGTAGTTCAAAGGCTGTGTTCTACCTTGCAATGGACAACTCACTCAGTATGGCTGTCTTTAGTTTGCAAACCTGTGTGACAAAAATTTAGAGGATGTCGGTCCTTAAATGACCATTTTTTTCTTCTGAGAGTTCACTGATGCTCTCAGATGCTTTTGAATAAATGCCCTTCTAGTCTAAAAGGAGAGGTCATAGTATAACAAAATGCAAATAAAAATATAAGCATATATTGAGTGTTTACTTTACTCAATACGTGCTTACTTTATGCCAGGCACTATTTTAAGTACTTCTCATGTATTAATGCATTTAATCCTCATAACAACTCTCTGAGGTAAATATTACTATTTCTATTTTATATATGAGGAAATTGAATCACAGAGGTTAAGGAATTTGCCCATTTCACATAGCCAAGAAGTGGTTAAGCCAGAGTTTGAACATAGGCAGTCTGACTCCACAGCTTGCTCTCTTAACTACTAGTGTATTGTTTTTCAAACTCTTATAAACCTAAGGGGCTTACACAGCACTCATGAGTGTCACTGTTGGGAGGGACATTTTTATTTACGTTTCATTTCTCTAGTGGAGTTGGTAGTCAAAGGTATAAGTTTATATTTAGGGTGAACATAACTCCTGGTTTACCTAAGATGGTTCCAATTACAACTGTTGACTTTATGTAATTATCATTACCACTCCTTTGCATTATCAAAAGTGTCCCCGTTTGGACTGATAAATGTTATGGTCACTGTGGTTATAGAAGAAAGGAATCTCCTTGCTTTGACTCTGAATGGCTAGATTCCATAAACTGAAGTTCTATTTTGTATTTTGTTTGTTTTATAAGCTACTATTTATTGAGTACCTATTACCAGGTATTCTTCTAAGCACCTAATGCACATTTTCTTAATTTAATCCTCATAATCTTCTCTGAAGAAGGTGTTATCTCTGTTTTATAGATGAGGATGTTATGGCCCAGAGAAGCTAAGTAACTTATTCAAGGTCACAGCTAGTAATGCTGAAGCTAGAATTTGAACAAAGATCTGTCTGACTCCAAATTTACTACATTTTATTGTATTATGTCTTTATAAATCACAAAAATGTGTACAATCTCTATGTCATAAATTTAATGTGTAGTAAGGATTTATCTATCTCTGAGTCTTCCATAAACCAAGTTAAGTCTTATTGTTAGGCTCTATCTGTCCTAACTCTCAGGTTTAAAAAAAAAAAAAGACCACAATAGACCAGAATTGCTTGAACCCAGGAGGCAGAGGTTGCAGTGAGCCAAGATTGCACCGTTGCACTCCAGCCTGGGCAACAGAGCAAGACTCCATCTCAAAAAAAAGAAAAGAAAATAGAACAACAACAACAAAACAAAACTACAAAAAGGAAAATGGGAACTTTAGAAAGTTTCAGTAAGCCTGGTTATGGCAAGGTGGTAGAGTATTCAGAACTCGGTAGGATTATCACATTTGTTCTCTGTTCTCAAGTAATCCCTACTTTTTGCTTCTTCATGCTCCTGATCTTTTTGTTTCCCTACATAAACCTTGCCTTTCAGCCCTCCATCTTAAAAAGGCCATCATTCTTATTTTCATTCCAAGATCAAAGGAATTTTTTACATGGTTAATGCTATCTAGTACCCTTTGGTTAATTGATGAATAATTTGCTTGAACTGTTCTCAACATGATGGGATTCTCAGAGTAGGAGTCTAGAAGCTGTTTTTTTTTTCTGTCTAATTAACTAACTTTAGCTTAGTTCATTTATTGAGTACCTATTACCAGGTACTCAATATTGATCATCATCTCCTCAAAAGCCTCTTAATATAGAAAAAAAAACATTTTGTATAAACCTGCTGTCCTTACTCTTTAGATGGACTTGATTTCTAATATCTCATGTTGTGGATTATTTCCAGCCTATCTGTCATCACCTGAGGTGCCCAGCTCAGCCAGACAAACCCACCACGCCAGCATCTCCTTCTACATCAAGACCCTCACTCTACACCAGTTCCCACCTGCTATGGACAAATAGATTTTCAGTCCCTGATTCTGAGAGTTCAAAGACTACCACAAACACTACAACTGCAAAGGAAATGGACAAAAATGGTATGTAGAGCTTCAAAAGACACAGGCCCCTCCACAGTGCACATCCCGCAGATTCTTAAAGTTCATACTTTATTTTATCTCTGGCCAGAGAATGAAGAAGCAGATTTGGATGAGCAGTCCTCTAAGAGGCTGTCTGTCCAAGAGAGGAGGTGGCCCAAGGAACGATGAAGAGGCACAGACATCAATTTCTGGTCAAAGGATGTAAGTAGATTTGTCTGTGCTGAGGCATATCGTATTACTCTTGGTCACCATTCTTACAGTTGAGTTTAAAAGAAAGAGTCCTTCATGGTGCCATGAATCTTGCAGTTTCTCAGGAAGTATTACTGAGGAAAAGAGAAGAAAGACCTAACTAGTGTGGGACTCATTTGGTATGTTCCGGCTAGATTCCCAGTATCTAGTACAGTGCTAACTAAGCACATGGCAGGCACTCAGTAAATAATTGGCAAAGAATTAAAAAACTGGAAATGTACAACAGCCATATAAACAAATATTAACAAATGAATAAGCTTGTTGAGTTTTAGTAGTCCTTCCTAATATTTCCTGAATGTCATGTAGTGAGTCAACAATATCTTAACGCCACATATGAGCAGATTCTAACTAAATATTGTAGGAGTACTACAAGAAGTTCAAGGAACTTAAAACCTCTAAGTAATACAAGTTCACTTAGTTTTACTGTTTTGGAGAAAAAGTGGAACAAATAACATAAAATAGATGAACTTTGGCTTTAAAATAAAGACAGATATGCCAATGTTTACTAACTACAAATACTCATTCAGTAGTTCCATTCATCCTCTTCCATATCTTGTTCTGTAGCCTCATTCAACCTTGTTATTGGCATTTTAAAGAACAAGTGGCCAATAACTTGGACAAGATGACCCTGCCTACCAATGACTCCTTTGAAAATTGGACACACTTTATTCAGTGAGACAAGAAATGAGACAGTAATAGTCATCCATTATAAATTATTTTTAGATAAAAATATTTCATTGTTTTAGGGCCAAATTGACTGATAAGTATTGACAAAGATGAAATTAAGTCTGTCTGTCTGTCTGTCTGTCTGTCTTAAAGATATCCCTTTACCAACTGTGGTCGATTTGACTTTTTAGACTACAGGTGACATTTCTAAGTTGCCTGCCTGTGATGGCTGTGAAAAGTAGCAGTAACAGAGCATCACTTGGAAGTCAATTCTCATTGCCCATGTTTGAAATGCCAAGATGCATAATTGATGGGATCTGACCTTGTTGTTTTCAAGGATGTCTGTGATGATGAGCCTCTTGATTTTCTTCCCTTTTCTTTTTTAGGAGGATGAAACTGATGGCTCTGAAGAGGTCAAAGAAACATGGGTAAGTGACAAGCCAGTGAGGCATGTCTCTTGAGAGCACAGTCTTGCTCTTGTATGTAATTTTAGTAGAAGAAAGGGCAAGACTTATGCAGATTTTAGTTGAGAGGGAGTTTGGAGATAGACATTCCTCTAAGAGATGGAGCAGGTATTAGTTTATGGTACTATTTTCTCATGTGGTGTAACAATGCCTATACTCTTGAACCAGTTTCCTACATTTTTCTATGCCTGCTGCCAGTCTTTCACACTGTTATAGGATCCATCATTTTCTCTCTTGTGACTATGTCATTGGATTATATGAAGTACTTTGAAATCTTTGAATGAAAAGTGAAGAGTGATACCAGTTCCTTTTTGGATCCACACTAATAGAGAGGGACATAAATGTGGAGAATGTAAAACATCAGACAGTCCCCAAGTCGTTTATATTTGACTTTGAGATAAGATTAAACATCTGGCATCTTATATAACTCTCGCCTTTTAAGGCCTGACATCCAACTCTTCCCTGCAGTGAAAGGCCTAAGTTCAGCTTTTCTGAAGACACTCGAGGCTCCTGTAAGCCACTCAGACAAGATTGGTGGTGGTTTTCTTTTCAGTACTGTTTTCCAAGAAGTAAGGAATTTGGTTTTGACTAAATTAATTGAAATACATGTGCTTTTCTATTGAAATTATGTAAAAAGATGACGTTTTGTATCGTATCCTACAACTTATTGGAAGTATGTTCTCAGAGTATATTTGATAACCTGTACTGAAAATTAACATCTAACTCATCTTTAGCAGAGAAGATATAAATAATATATTGTCATTGATCTGCCTATATTTTTGTCTAGATCCAAAACAGACAATAGTAGCCTTCCAGAAAGTAGTGCCTTTAATGACTAATGGTGACATAGGTGAGAATTGCCTGCCCTTGGCTGAAGCTGGGGCTATTTCATAAAGGCAAGCTATGAGGTGTGGAAATAGTATATAGAGGTTCCTTGGGGCAAGAGTGTATGCATGTGTGTACGTGTATGAATTACAGCAACTCTTAGTTTCTTCAAGGGGCTTGGAAAGGCTTTTGGAGATAGGAAGAGTGAATATAGGAAAGTTCCTTTGGGGAATTATAACTCAAAGCATATATAACTTAGGAATAGAGTACTGAAATGGAACATTATCCATACGTAGGCCATTTAAATCCAGGGAATTGCAAAAGGGAAGGCTTTGTTGTCATAAGAATGTCTTTTGCCAGTGAAAATTCTATTTTCTACTTTTCTAAACTCCTTGGCACTGGAAAATCCTAGCCTAGAGGGTACCAAGTAAGGAAAATTAAGATGATCTTGATGCAGTACTTCCTAGGGAATTTTACTTTAGGACTGTTGACTTGAAAGTATGAAGAAAAGCAGAGACCGTTGCAGTTTGATGTGAAAGGCATTTGTCAGACTAAAAAATACTCCACACACCCAATTGCATAAGGCATCTACTAGTGTTTACCATGTGTCAAGAAAACAACAATGTGAATCAGAAAGAATAAACAGCCCCTTATCTGTGGACTGGTACATTTGAATTTATGCAGATAAGCTAAGGTTGCTATAAGAAATATATTCCAAGTGCCAATCTCCAGCCTCGCCAATAGTGCAAGAAGAAAGGCCGATAATGAATCAGCATAGGGTGAGGCATCCTTTTTGTAAAAGTCTTATATTTGCTTGTTTCATTTCTTTCAGTTAAATTCTTAACTTTTTTTCTCCCTTGAGCACTCTCTCCTAATGCTAGCAGGCACGATGCCATTATCTGTATGGGCCTACAGAGCCACATGCCTGATCATGGCCTAGTGTAAATTCCTACATTTCTATTTCAAGACAATCAGTAGCATCTTATGACCACCTCTCTACCCCAGCTCCGTTTTCATCCTTCAGGCAGTACAGTTGACTCAGCTCTGCAACAACAAATGAGCCAGTTAAAGCAGAGGGCATTCTATTGAAATGGTGCTATTAGCTAATCAGCATGGATACAGTTGAGAAGCCAGGGCAGCTCTTTCCCTTCTTGGTTTTTAGTTCAATAAAACTATATCTGCTATTGAGGTCATGCTGGCTTCCTTCTCTTCCCTAGTCCACTCCTTAAGAATGATGATATCTATTATTTTTAAAGTTATCTCTTCCCAAGACTCTAATATCTTGGTTTTTTTAAACTGAAATATAATTTACAATTAGTGCACAGATTTTAAATATACTGTTTGCTGGGTTTTGACACTTGTATGTACCAGTATAACCACTACCCAAATCAAGATATAGAACTTTTCCATCACCTTAAAACGTTTCATCATTAATGCTGAAGAATAAGCGATACTAATCTATGGTGATAGAAATCAGAAGAATGGTTGCCTCTCAGGACAGAGAATTGAATGGAAAAGATAGAAATCAACCAGCAGTAATATTTAATTTTTTTTTTTTTTTGACAGAGGGTCTTGCTCTTTCACCCAGGCTGGAGTGCAGTGGTGTAGTCATGGCCCACTGCGGCCTCAACCTCCCAGGCTCAAGTGATCCTACTACCTCAGCATCCCAAGTAGCTGGGACTACAGGCACAAGCCACCACACCCAGCTAATTTTTGGAGTTTTTCTAGAGATGGGGTTTCACCACATTGCCCAGGCTGGTCTCGAACTCCTGGGCTCAAACAATCCTCCTGCCTTGGCCTCCCAAAATGTTGGGATTATAGGCATGAGCCACAATGCCCAGCCAATAATATTTAATTTTAATGGTAGAAAGGAAGCTTCAATGGTTATTATCTTTATCTTATGCCTCCAGTCAGAGTTAGCCCTAAATGATTCAAAATATCTATGGTTTTTCCCCCCTTCTTAAAGATTTCAAAAGAAGATTGTTTAATACTTCACTTGTATAGCAGTGACAACAACGTGGTTTAAGACCTTTCTGCTGTTTAAACTAAATCTCTGTTGAGGTCATTGAAGTTCATTTCCTTTTTTATATACCAAGAAAAATGTAACCAACATTTATATACAGGTAAGATTTATGGCCAGGAGTGGCCATAATGTTTGCTATCAATAGAATATTTGGTCAGGGAAATGCAAATCAAAACCACAATGAAATAGATCATCTGACCTGTTAGAATGGCTGTTATCAAAAAGACAAAAAATAACAAAACCTAGTGAGGATATAGAGAAAAAGAAACTCTTAATACGCTATTGGTGGGAATATAAATTAATGTAGCCATTATGGAAAACAGTATGGAGGTTCCTCAAAAACTAAAAATTGAACTACCATATGATTCAGCAGTCCCACTACTGGGTATTTATCCAGAGGAAAGAAAAACAGTGTATCAAAGAGATGACGCTCTCTGGTGGTCTAGTGGTTAGGATTTGGTGCTCTCGCTCTCTGGCTCTTGCTCTCTCTCTCTCTCTCTCTCTCACTCTCACTGTCTGTCTGTCTTTCAAAGAGATATCTGCACCCCTATGTTTATTGCAGCACTATTCACAATAGCCAGGATATGGAATCAACTTAAATGTCCATTAACAGATGAACAGATTAATTACATGTGGTATATGTACATAGTGGAATACTATTTAGCCATAAAGAAAAATGAAATTATGTCATTCACAGCAACATGAATGATCCTGGAAGCCATTATGTTAGGTGAAGTAAGTCAGTCACAGAAAAATAAATACCTCATGATCTCTCTCATATGTAGGATCTTAAAAAGTTGAGCTCATAGAAGTAGAGAGTAGGATTGTGGTTACTGGAGTCTGGAAAAGGGAGACAGTCAGAGGTTGGTTAACAGATATAAAATTACAGGTAGGGGGAATAAGTTCTGGTGTTCTATAGCACTAAAGGGTGAATATAGTTAATGATAATTTATTGTATATTTTCAAATAGCTAGAAGAGAGGATTTTGAATGTTCCTAACATAAATTATTTTTGATGCTAGATATGCTGATTACCTTGATTTGATCGTTACATATTGCATATATGTATTGAAATATCACTTTGTACCACATAAATATGTACTATTGTAATGCAACAATTTAAAATTTTTAAAAAGAGAGTATGTGATAGACTAGTCATGCATTGCTATGCTGGGAACAGCAAGGAACATGCTTAGAAGGCTGGGGACCCTACTTAAGCCCAACACAGTGCATAGTTTTAGTCTGAACCCATCTCCACTGGTAAATCCATGAACCAGTGAAACTAGCAATTAATATATAAAATTGACATCTTAGCATCTCCTTGACAGATGTGTTTAAAAACAATTCTGTTTTGTTTATCCACATTAGGTATATGACAGTCTCTGAGAATCTTAATAGATCCCTTGTCTTTCTAAATGAAAAATAATCTGCATCTTAATTTGAGGAATAGGGTTATTCTAATTATATCTGAAAATGCTTTTATATTCAGCAGTGTGTTTGCTGTTTTCTTTACTATAGTAGTAATCACATAGAATGTTTGCCCTGGAGGGAACAAGCATAGGTATGCCACAGAAGATAATGACCTTTTGGATTATTTCCATCTTTTTTTACCTGCATCTTTGACCTGGATTCCATTTTCTTTACATTGAGTTTTATCTGTTGCTTTCTTACGGTTTTCCCTGTTTGCTCTGGAGCTGTTTTCCAAGCCAATCCTGTTGTATAATTGAATTTATCACTAGAGGGCACAAGTGGTCAACAGAAAAGATGTTGGTGAACAGGCAGAATGGTGCACTAAAGAAGCTGAGCAGAAGACAAATTGCTTTTGTTTTTAAGGAATTGTTGAAGGACCCGGTTCAATGTAGTAAAGGTACTTGCCTCCCAACTTTTGGTATCATAGGATTGGAAGAGGATCTAGAGATATCTTGGATTAGGAACCAATTTTATGGTTAAGAAGACTGAGGCTCAGAGAAATTAAGAATTATTTGGGCATGACATCTCTGCTAGGTGAGCAACCTGTACCTTTTTTCAGGGAACCTCTTTGTTTGACTGTAGTGAAGCAAAACTGAAATTAGGACTTACATCCTTTTCTATTCCCTATTCATCCATTTGGTTTTTTTACTCAGCAGGCTACATGTTCGAATTGACTTGCTAGTAGCATCTCACCTCCTTGAGTGAAGGAACGTCTTCTTGAAGGACAACTTAAAAGCCTACTCAGAGTATCAGGATTCAGTGGGTAGAGCATCAGCATTCTTCTGCTATCCTTGACATAGGTGGGTAGTTATGTATGTCAGGAAGTAAGACTTTTCATACTTTTCTTTTCCCCTAGAATCTCTGTTGCTTTTAGATAAATCAGGTGGCACTCAATCTGAACAAAATTACTGAAACCTTACCCTCAAAGTTAGCAATATAGCTGTCCCCATCCAGAATGCAATCAGTAGGTCTGGATTACTAATCATCCCTCAGAACTCATTGGTAAAGGAGATAGTGTTAAAGAGTTACTAAATTATAGATATCAAGGTACCTGCCTTAGATAACTGGGGGTATGCTCGTGGAGAGATCTGTTGGTAAAAGTCTTCTAAAAGAGTCAAGCTATTAAATGCAAAGTTTTCAAACTAAATGAAAGAACACAATTGGAATTTGCTAGCAGAGCTGAGTTTTGAACTTTAACAGAAAATTAATGCCATAGAAATAAATAGAAATATACCAAAAGCCACTAAATGCATTTTCCATTTTGTCCTGCCTTCACTTTTGTAAGCATCTTAATTCAACAAGTGCTTTTAAGCGCCGATTATGATCAAGCACTTTTCTAGATTCTGGGGATGCAACAATGAACAAACAGCCCTGCTCTTATGGAATTTACATTCTAGTGGGGGAGACAGACAACATAAATATGTAAAGTAAATACTATGTTAAAAGGTGATACGTGCTATGGAAAAACCATATAGAGTAGGCTAAGGAGGAATCAGAAGTGCCAACATGGAAGGAGGTTGACATTATAAGTAGGGTGGTCAGGATTGGCCTTACTGAGAAAATATGATTTAAGCCTAGTCTTAAAGGAAGCAAGGTGGGAAACTATGTGGACATGTAGGGTAGAGTGTTATGGGCAGAGGGAATTGCAATTGCAAAGACCCTAAGATAGGTATCTGGCATGCTTGAGAACAGATTAAAAAAAAACCAGTGTGGCTAGAGTGGAATGTGCAAGAAGGCCAAATGGCATAGACTGATAAGTTATAAGAACTTTGGCTTTTGTAGTTTTGAGCAGAAGAGTGACATGATTATACTTATGTTTTAAAGGATTACTGCCTGCTATTTTGGAGAATGTACTCTGGGAGGACGTTAGTGGAAGCAGGGACATCAGTTAGGAGGCCATTATAATACAGTAATCCAGGAGAAAACTGACGGTGGTTTGTACCAGGATAATAGCAAGCAGTAAAGATGCTGAGAAGTTGTCATATTCAGGATATATATTGAAGTTAGAACCAATGAGATTTGCTGTTTTCTTGGATATCAGGTGAGAAAACAGAAGGTCAAGGTTGACACTAAGACGTTTTAGCTAAGGCAACTAAAAGCATGGAATTTTATTAATTGAGATGGAGAATACTACAAGAAGAATACATAATACATTTGGTGGGGGAAAAGTAGACATTTGGTTTTGGTTTTAGAATTGTTAAATCTAATAGGTCTAATTGACATATTTCCACATGGAAATGTCAAGAGGACAGTTAGATATAGGAATCTGCAATTCAGGTTTAAGGGCCAGGATGGAACTACAAATTGGATATCAGTAAACCTAAAGATTGTATTTTAAAACCATGAGATTGAATGTGACCACGAAGAGAATGAATGTAGACAGAGAAGAGGCCGAAAGAGCCCTGGAGCACTCCGAAATTCAAAGTGAGGAGAAGGGGAAGAATCAGAAAGGAAACTGAGCAATCCTGGTACCTGACCCTGAGAATATGGATGCAGTTTCCCCCTTTTTCCAAAACGAAATCAAACAAAACACATGAAACAATAGGCAGTTTTATCATTGTTCTTATTTTACCTTTTTTTTTTTTTCAAGGGCTATTTCCCATGAAATCTGCTCAGTCTGTTTATAAATGGGCCGTGCAATGGTATAGGAGAGCTGGACATTACAGGGCATCTTCTGGTGTCTTTTGAACTAGAAATTTCTTCCTTTCTGCAAACTTGTCTAGAGGCCTTTGGAGTCCAGGGATGTCATAAGACTCTTCTTACTACATCAGAGGGATTCTATTAATTACTATGTCTGCAAATGATCTGTTAACTTACCTCTTGGTCTCCTTTGCCAAATTTTCTTCAGCTCTATTACATCTTTGAATAACTGTCACTTCAATTTCAGTTAAGAAGACTCTTGGGGCCAGCCATGGTGGCTCACACCTGTAATCCTAGCACTTTAGGAGGCCGAGGCAGATGGACCTTGAAGTCAGGAGGTCGAGACCAGCCTGGTCAACAGTGAAACCCCATCTCTACTAAAAATACAAAATTAGCTGGGTGTGATGGCACCCACCTGTAATCCCAGCTACTCAGGAGGCTGAGGCATGAGAATCACTTGAACCCGGGAGGCGGAGGTTGCAGTGAGCCAAGATCGCACCACTGCACATCAGCCTGGGCAACAGAGCAAGACCCTATCCCCCCCAAAAAAAGAAGACTCTTGGAAAAACTTTTATTAGAAATAAAACAACACCTAAAATGTGTTACTGTATATTAAAATTTGATTTCTCTGGGGTGGCTAGAATGACAGTTATAGACTAAATTTAAAGCTAAAAAATACTTTAAAGGCCACCTAGTTAACACTGTCATTTTAAAGTTAACAGCTGAGGCCCAGGAGATTAAGTACCTTGCTAGTGTCACATAGTTGTAGTCCTAGTGCACAGCTGTTGCACTACCTTCCAAATTTGTATCTTTATATCTGTTATATCTCTTATATCACATAATGTTATGACAAATAATACAGCATAATAGTTAAGAGGACACACCCAGGAGGTAGACTCCCTGCATTTAACCCCAGCTTAACCATTTAACTACTTTGGATAGGTTATTTAACCTTTCTATGCCTCAGTTTCCTCATCTGTAAAGTAGGGATAATAATAGTCTACCTCTTAGAATTGTGAAATGAAAATGAGCTAATACATTTAAACAGAGATGATTACAATCCATTTAAATTATTTTCCAAATTTATAAGTTCCTACATCTGGATGAGAGTAAGGCTTTCGGAATACTTTTATTGGCCTTAGGATCATGTGATTTTGAAGTTATTAATTTATCCTTAAAGAATGGATTATTTGGAGAGTCACAGAAGTAGCCCCACATCCTCTATAACTCCAACATGTGTTCTGACACATAACTGAAGAATTTTGAGGAATAAGTTTTAAAGGAGATTGCTGAAGTAGGGGGAAAGAAATGAGTAGAAAGGAAAGGAACAAGAACTAAATGTTTCAAATTGTGTTTGGAACCTGTTGAGCATCTGATCAAGTCAAGTCCCTGCAACTTCTCTGTCAAGCAAGCAGGCTTTCATTTTTATGCCTAAATAACCCATTCCATTTATGCTTCTTTGCCAGTGCTTCCAACAGTCCTAGTTTCAGAGATCTTTACTATTTTTTCCCACCTTCTTCCTTTGAGTAAATAGCAGCCCTTTTTCTCCAATTTTTCACAGCATTGCTTCTGGCTATTTGCTGGATCCTTTCGCTCGAGCAGAATTTTTTAATATTGTTACTTAATCTTGTGAAACCACTTTATCTGCTGGAGGGTATCCAGCAAATTTCTGTCCACTCTCCACCACCAGTCAGTATTTTTGCCATTCTCCTTTTAGGTAAAATCCTAAGTCTGATTCGTTTTCCTCTCTCTCTGGGGCTCGATTGCTTAATATGGTAAGGTATTTCCCAGACAAGATTGCACTGTGGAGTTAGAACAACAGTTTGACTAAGTTTAAAGACATGGTACATGAGCTATCTAATAGTTATTTATGTAGTAAAGTAATATTTTTTGCAGTATATTACATAACAACCAAAATCTATTTTTTAAGCAAGCCTCTGTTGCTTTTAACAGACTTAGAGAGATAATAAAATATAGATTTTTCTCCTCTTAACCTGTTTAATCTTTAGGCAGATTTTTTTTTAAAAAAAGGAAAAGATAGCTCGTCCCCAGAATGAAAGGGTTTTGAAAAGTCTGAGAAATTTGATAACATGATAATGTTCATAAGGATATAAAAGTAAGGGTAAACTTGATAAGCAATGGCTGTTAACAGCCTTTGCTGTTAATAAACCGTCTTGCGGTAGCCAGCTTCTGGGAATTGGCAGGCATTCCACATGTAGAAAAGCAAGCTGTCCTGGATTTCTGCAATTGATGACAATGCGCAGTCCCAGGGAAAAAGATAGAGATTGAGAAATGGCAGCCAACCAACTCAGTATGTGAGAAGCTGCCTGTTATCCAGCATGCACTGAAGAATCTTCTCTAGTGGTTGACTCCACACTGGCCTTGAAGGATCTTTCCTCTCACTGTACATTTGCTCTTGCTTTGCAACTATAGTTTCTTAAAATACTGCAGATGCTGTGATTTTCTATATATGGGTTGTGTCTTGCTGTAGCCCAAGCTGTATAAACCATCTTAAGCACAAAGTTTCTTTTGGCATCTTCCTTTTATGGACTCTATTAATTTTAGGTCGTGCTGTTGCCCAGGAAATCTCCGTAATCAAAGCTCACATGTATTCCTTTGAGACCTTGTAATTTTTTGGAACTAGTGTCCCTTTACATCAGTGAATTCTGCTTTAATCATAAATCTTTTTTAAGATAGAATAAATTGTTCTTTGAGGTATCTGTTTGGACTTCTCTCATGCATCTCATCCAAAGATGTGAAAGGTTTATCCAGCTACTAAGGATAGTATACTTAACTTCTTGACCTTTTCTTTTTTTGATTTCTTCTGCCTCCAATTGCTTTCAAGATATTAGTTTGTGTTAGTGACTTGTGACCTTATGTCTTTTTATTATAGGAACACAGATGAGCTTAAAACTCTGCCAGAGCTTTTTTTAAAAAAAAGTTTATAAAAGATAGTAAATTTCATTAAAGAAAATTCATGAAGTATAGAAAAATATAAAGCAGTAGCTCTCAAAAGCAGCAGGAGAATTGCTAGAGGAAGTTGTAAAAATTCATAGGGCTACTTTCAGGGAATACAGCGATGGGGGATGTTCTGCATGCATTAAATGGAAAGGGTGAGAGATGCTAGATATCCTAAAATGCCCCATATCAAACAAGTATCCTGAAGCTTGCTTGACTTTTGACTGTCTCCCTTGACAGTCATAGATGAAAACCTATCAGTTATCTGAGTCTAAAAACAAACTTGATTTTATGTTTAAGCTCATTTTTGAGGGGCAGTGGGGAGGAAGACAGTTCTAAAAATTCAACCACCATGTAAATGAGGAGAAACTGCTCTTAGTTTTATTTATCCCTGACAGCAATGCCACTTACATAATGAGTACATCATGCCACACGTTCTATAGATCTGCATTTAACCTCCGCCTCCATGATAATTATATGATGCATCCAAATCTCTGACTGCTTCTTTATGCCTTCTAGTTTACTGGCCCAAGCATTAACACATTAAAATACATATTTTATTATAAAGTGCTTTGCTCTTATTTCTTCTTCATATTATGTTATTTTTTTAAATGATTTTATGTAAGTTTTATATCAGTGATTTTTATTTCAGGATAGTAAGGAGGTGTTGAAAATATTTGTTATGAAAAGGGATTGTTTCAGCTATGAAAGCTAAGAAAAATTGTCCATAACCATCCATAACCATACTTTTCAGAAGAAATTATTAACATTCTAGTGAATTTCCTACTGGTATTTTTCCAAAGTTTTTCTTTTTAAAAAACATATTCAAAACCAACTAATGACATTCTTTAGAAAAGGATCATTGTCAACTTGAGCATTCCTGGGACACCATCATTACTATGATGACAGTTTTATAAGGTTGTCTTCAAAGCACTTAGGTTCAACTCTTTTATCAAAGTAGTCCTATGATGGCTTTGATCATAGAGAGCCCCAGGAATAATTGTTTCTCTTTCAGTTGGAGTCTAAGAGTTACCTCGGTTATAGAAGTATTCATTTATCCTGTTGATAGCATGGCTGGAGAGCCTTAACCTATGGCTTAGGCTTAGCTAATGTTAGAGTTCTAGCCCCAAGATTGAGGTAGAAAGCTTGATGTGGGATTTGAAGTCCTTTTTCAGCAAATGGAATGTTTATAGGTTTGCCCCAGCAGGAATGTTGAGCTTAAGGTACTAATAGACGTTACCTTTAGAAGTGTTATTTTGGTAGAATCTCAAAGGTAGGATAGTTGGACTACCTATCACAAGCTGTAAAGCTTCCTGTATAAAGCTTGTAAAAATGTAAAGATGAATGGCCACTACCTCCCAATTTTAATTTTTCTCCATACTGTCTCAGTCTTCAGTAAAGCAGATAGCAGCCATTTAGTGACATAAATCTCTTCATAGAGAAACCATAGTTTTGTAACCTAGTATGATCCTTTAAGGTACATAAATGTTCACACAGTTGTGTCTTCATAGAATATGTACTTTTAAGAAACTCTTAACTTTTTTATAGTTTAAATTTTTAACAATGTTTTATTACAACCTGCACTCTTACACCTTAAACTATGTCAGTATTATTGGCTACCAAGAGGAAAGCAGGGAAGTTTTAAAAATCCATTGGCAAATTAATACCTAGCATAATACATAATACAAGTACTTATGGTCTTGGAGCTTATAGCTCTTGCTATGTTTCTGAAAATTTTTTTCAGGAAACAGAAGCATTTTAAGAGGCAAACAACATGTTTGAGTATTATATCACCAAATAAAACATTGTATACTTTAAGATGGCATTTTAGGAGTTGGAGGACTTTCAAAAGTGATATGCCAAATGGGTGAAACATGGGGCTGTTTATGGTGACTGAATGCTGTATTTCTCATTTCTCCAAATGTCTGGTATAGCTACTACTTGCTGGCTGTTGTGAAGAGTCAACACTCTGCCTTTCTGAGGCTGATAGGGGAAGCAGATGTTTACACCTGTTCTCCAGCAGAACATGTTGGGGGTGGGACAGTGGTAGCAGCCTCACTTCATTTTTGGCATGTGATGCTGTAGGTCAGCAAACTTTTTATGAAAAGGGCCTGATAGTAAATATTTTCCACTTTGCTGGCCACGTAATCTGTTGCAATGACTGAACTCCACTGTTGTAATGGGAAAGCAGCCATAGACAATATGTAACTAAATGGGAGTGACTATGTTCCAATAAAACTTTATTTACAAAAGCAGGCCGGTGGACTGGATTTGGTCTGCAGGCCACGCTGCAGTTTGCTGGCCTCTGCTCTAGGTTACTGATACAGAAGGTATTTGCTAATGTCAACATAACTCCAAATGTCATTTTCTCTCATCCAAGCACTTCTCTGATAACTCAGCATTGTGCCAATTCCCCTGATTCTTTGTTATCAGCAACAGTTTGTTGGGGAACATCATGTGTTTAGAGGGATAAATGTTGTTTGGGGCAGCATTAATGAAGCAAACTGTAAAACTTCCTGAATGAGAAAGTGAAGGAGAGAGGGGGAGTTGCTTCCATGTCATTTTAAATATAGTCTCTCTGTTATGTTTTAGTTCATTACCTTTTGAGGAGAAAGCCTGAAATGGTTCTCCTAGCATGTCCCTATCTGTTTTTCTCATCTGATCCTATTCCTTTTTACTTCCCAAGGACCAGTCTTTGAGGTTAGCTAAGATTATAATTGGGAATATGTAATCACTTAATACTTGAAATTCAGCTTTTGTAGACTATGACCATAAGTAAGTTTGCCTTTAAGGCTCACAGGTTCTTGTAACAGTGCCTGTCAGAAGACTGTTAGTTGCTGTCATTCACTTTAATTGTTTGTTGTCATTTGAATTCCTTAATTAGGAGTAGATTATGGAATTTACTAGTCTTTTTGCCTTGTCAGCGCTTAGTCTACTGAATATGTGGAGGAAAAACATTTTGGGGATTTGTGGAGGGGATGACAGAAATCTTCAAAGTGATGACCCTGTGCTTGCTTGAAATGATAGTTAGGAGGGATGGATTTGGGGGAAGAGAAGCTGAAATCCTGATTCTTCAACAATTTTAAGGAAAAAAGTGATGAAAACTGACATTAATATGTCACAGTAAAGACTCATATAAGGTGTGGGAATTGAGCATGGGATGGCATAATTAATTTTGTGCCAAATAAACAAAATCAGATCCTTTCTTGAGAATAAATGTTCACACAGATGTGCCTTCATAGAATATATACATTTAGAAAACTCCATATATGACATGTTGTATGAGAAGGCTTCTCTTAGATCACTGGTGACCTCTAGTACTTTGGACTAAAACTAACGAAATATTATTTGGGCAGTTTATGTATCATTTCTGGAGTTCTTGACTTAGAGCTAAGGGCGTGTGTAGATACTGATATCGAGCAAGCTGAGCCATTTTCAACTATAATAACCTAATGGGTAAAGCTTCTATAGTAGTCTCCTTCAAACTTGTCAATAGCAATCACTGGGGTTATTTGTTTACAATGTAGATTTTTAGACCTCTCCCCTTGAGATTCTGGATACGGAGGTGACATGGTGGTAGCAGGTGGAAGTCCTGAAAATCTATATTGTAAAGGTCTTCCAAAGTGATTCTTAACAGGCAAGTCTGATGGATAGTGTTCCTAGAGGTATAATGTTTAGGGATTGCTAACATCCCAGGTAGGTCAATCATTAAAGAGTAGGATTAACTGTAGCACACTAAAGGAGCTTAGAGCCAACCACTACTCCTTTCTGTCCTCCCGAAATACACATTTAACCTAGAGTACCAAATTCTCAAAGACCCTCTAGGACAATCGAGTCCCATTTGGGATGTCTTTTGCTCTCATGCAGCATGTGTTTATTCAGTCAACATATATTTATTGATGAGCCACTATGTGTCAGGCACTATGCATTAGGGATGCAAAAATATACAAGGTAGACAAAATTCCTGACTTCATAATACTCACATTTTATTTATTTATTTATTTTTGATATGTATTGTAGATATTGGAGTTATCCAATACAAGTTTTATTCAGGCAAGTATATATATTATATAATATATTTATACTAATATATTATAATATATAATATAATATTATACTATTTATTAATTTATAATATAATTTATATTTATTAATTTATAATACAATATAAATTATATCCAAATTTCTACAATAATTTATAATATACTTTATTAATATAAATATAACAATTATATCAATATAATATATAATGTATACTTTATATATTAGCAGAATCTTTTAAAGTTTATTTCAATAATTTTGGGGAACAAGTGGTTTTTGGTTACGTGAATAAATTCTTTGGTGGCGATTTCTGAGAGATTTTGGTGCACTCATCACGCAAGCAGTGTACACTGTACCCACTAGGTAGTCTTTTTTTTTTTTGAGACAGAGTCTCCTTCTGTCACCCAGGCTAGAGTGCAGTGGCGCAATCTCGGCTCACTGCAATTTCCACCTCCCGGGTTCAAGCAGTTCTCCTGCCTCAGCCTCCTGAGTAGCTGGGACTACAGGTGCCCACCACCATGCCTGGCTAATTTTTTTGTATTTTTAGTAGAGATGGGGTTTCACCGTGTTAGCCAGGCTGGTCTCGATCTCCTGACCTCATGATCCACCTGCCTCAGCCTCCCAAAGTGCTGGGATTACAGGCATGAGCCACCGTGCCCGGCATATGTAGTCTTTTATCCCTCATCCCCATCCCATCCTTCCCCCTGAGTCCCCAAAGTCCATTATATCATTCTTATGCCTTTGCTTTTTCATAGCTTAGCTCCCACTTACAAGTGAGAACATACGGTATTTGGTTTTCCATTCTTGAGTTATTACACTTAGAATAATGGGCTCCAACTCCATCCAATTTGCTATGAATGTCATTATTTCATTCCTTTTTATGGTTGAGTAGTATTCCATGATGTATATATACCACAATTTTTTTTTTTTTGAGATGGAGTTTCACTCTTGTTGGCCAGGCTGGAGTGCAATGGCATGATCTTGGCTCACTGCAACATCTACCTCCCAAATTCAAGCAATTCTCTTGCCTCTGCCTACTGCAATACTCACATTTTAATAGGGCGAGGGATATTTCTATTAGACATCCAAGTTGAGATGTCAAGTAGACAATTGTCAACTAGGAATTTGGACTTTATGGGAGACATTAAAGCTGGAGAAATACAGATGTAGAAGTCATTGCTTTAGTGCTGATATTTTGAGTCAGAAGACTGGGTGAGATCACCAAAAAGCATAATTAAAGCAGAAAAGAAGTCACTTGACTAGGCTCTAGGATATTCCAGGGCTAGCCTTAGAAAAGAGCAGGAATATTTCTTCCGTGATACATATACAGACACTTGTTGAATCTCTTGTTGTGAAAGTGAGATCATGCCGATCTGACTTATTGTGATACATACACACATACCCCTTTATACCTAGAAAGCAATTAGAGCCTAGGGTCCAGGTGAAAGATAATGTGCTGAGTTTCTAATGGTAGGTATGGAGAGAATGGAACAAGGTAAGAAATATGAAAACTCAGCAGAATTTGATGTTTTACTAGATGTGGATGATAAAAGCATAAAGATCAGTCCCAAGGTATTTGGGAAGATGCATGGAATTGGCTTTGGAGCCAGAAGACCTAGGTTCAAAGCTTGTTGCGTCTCTTATTAGCTGGGTGGTCTTGGAAAAGTAATTTAACCTCTCTGAGCTCTGAAAGTTCTTTAATCTGTAAAAATGAGACTATTATCCTTGTTTTATAGGCTTGATATAAGGAACAGCAGTAATAATGTATATAAAGGGTTTAGCACAGTGCCTACATTTGGTAAATTTTTAAATAAATAAAGGCAGCTCATATGGTAGTATTTCATCAGTCTCCCCTCCTCCCATCTTTGAGCTTTCATACATGTTATTTTCATTCTTTAGAATTCTCTTCCTCTTACTTTACTGCCTCTTCCTCTGCCTACTCCACTTTTTAAAAACATATTCATGTTTTAGGTTAAGCACCACCTCCCCTAAGAAGCCTTCCTTTGACCCCCTCCCTGGACCAGACTAGGTTTCCCCTAGCACTGTGAATTTATCTTTAATATGGAGTGGTAATCATACTATGTTGTATTTGCCAACTAACTGAACTCCTTGAAGGCTGGGTCTGGAATGAGATGCAGTGTCATTCCAGTGCCCAGGATGGAGTGCAGTGGTGCAATCTCATGTCACTGCAACCTCCACCTCTTGGGTTCAAGCAGTTCTACTGCTTCAGCCTCCCAAGTAGCTGGGACTATAGTCGTCAGCCACCATCCTTGGCTAAATTTTGTATTTTTAGTAGAGATGGTGTTTCGCCATGTTGGCCAGGCTGATCTTGAACTCCTGACCTCAGGTGATCGGCCCGCCTCAGCCTCCCAAAGTGCTGGGATTACAGGCGTGAGCCACTATGCCCAGCCTGTTTCTTGTTCATTATATTTACAAGAATATCTAGTATTTACATATGTCTTCTGTGAATAGAGAACAATGCAATGCATGATATTCATTTTTTATTATGATGACTGCATAGATAATATGCCATTAATAGGATTGAGAATTCAGGAGGAAGAATATGTTTGGGGATGAAGATAATGATTTTGCTTTTGGACATGCTGAGTTCAAGGTACCTATCAGACATAAGAAAGTAAATGTCCTATAGGCAATTAGATACATGGGTATGAAGTATAGGGAAGTTCCAGGGCTAGAGATAAAGAGTTGGAAGGTATCAGGTTGCTGATAATAGTTTTAAGCTATGAAAAATACATTTCCCAAGATTAACTTTTAGAACAGTGATTCCCAACTTCTTTTCTTCCCCAGCATTCTGATGGATATGAGGTACTCACTGTGTAACTGTGGTTCAATGTCTCAATGATTCTGAAGCAAGGGCAAGCAAAAGGAACATGTTCCCCAGGGAAGGCCAATTATCAGAATGATTGTGGGGTGCTAAGGAGGGCCACTGCTATGAAAAGAGTACACAGTTTAGAACAGAGCCAGGGCACACCACTGTTTGAGATGGCAGAAGGGGAGAGGTACCTATGGAAGAGATCTGCAGGGAAATGGTCAGAGAAGAAGGAAAAGAGCCTGGAAAGGAGAGTTCTGCTTTTAGCTCTTTGAGGAATTGCCAGCACTGCTTTACACAGTGAATACTCCCACCAATAGTGTATAAGCATTTCCTTTTTTCTGCAACCTTGCCAGCATCTGGTTTTTGTTTTGTTTTGTTTTGTTTTTTTGTTTTTTTTTTTTTTTTGCTTTTTACTAATAGCCATTCTGACTGGTGTGAGATGGTATCTCATTGTGGTTTTGATTTGCATTTCTCTAATGATCAGCGATATTGAGCTTTTTTTTCATATGCTTGTTGACTGCATGTATGTCTTCTTTTGAAAAGTCTCTGTTCCTGTCCTTTGCCCATTTTTAATTGGGTTTTGTTTTTCTCTTGTAAATTTAAGTTTCTTATAGATGCTAGATATTAGACCTTTGTCAGATGCATAGTTTGCAAATATTTTCTCCTATTCTGTAGGTTGTCTGTACTCTGTTGATAGTTTCTTTTGCTGTGCAGAAGCCCGTAAGTTCAATTAGATCCTACTAGTCAGTTTTTGCTTTTTTTGCGATTGCGTTTGGTGTCCTTGTCATGAAATCTTTGCCCATTTCTATGTCCAGGATGGTATTGCCTAGGTTGTCTCCAGGGTTTTTATAGTTTGGGGTTTACATTTAAGTCTTTAATCCATCCTGAGTTGATTTTTGTATATGGTGCAAGGAAGGTGGCTAGCTTCAGTCTTTTGCATATGGCTAGACAGTTATCCCAGCACCATTTACTGAATAGGAAGTCTTTTCCCCATTGCTTGTTTTTGTCAGCTTTGTCAAAGATCAGATGGTTGTAGGTGTGCAACCTTATTTCAGGGCTCTCTATTCTATTCCATTGGTCTATGTGCTGGGTATATACTCAAAGGAATATAAATCATTCTACCCTAAAGACACATGCATGTGAATGTTCATTGTAGCACTATTCACAATAGCAAAGACATAGAGTCAACCTAAATGCCCATCAGTGACAGACTGGATAAAGAAAATATGGTACATATACACCTTAGAATACTATGCAGCCATAAAAAAGAGTGAGATCATGTCTTTTGTGGGAACAAGGATGGATCTGGAAGCCATTATCCTTAGCAAACTAATGCAGGAACAGAAAACCAAATACCACATGTTGTCACTTATAAATGGAAGCTAAGTGATGAGAACTTATGAACACAAAGAAGGAAACAACAGACACTGGGGTCTACTTCAGGGTGGAGGGTAGGAGGAGGGAGAGGAGCAGAAAAGATCACTATTGGGTACTAGGCATAATACATGGGTGATTAATCTATGCAACAAACCCCTGTGACACAAGTTTACCTATATAACAAACCTTCACATGTACTCCAGAACCTAAAATAAAAGTGTTTGTTTTTTAAAAAAAGAGTAGTATTCAACCAAACAAGGGAATGAAAACTTTCAAAGACTCAGTGTGACAGAAACTTAACTTCTTATAGCTCAAGCATATAGGCTTATGTAGCTAGAAAATCTGCATATTTAGCCTGGCCTAGCTTCAGGCATAGCTAAATCTAGGAAGCTGAAACTTATCAGATCCCTGCTGCCTTCTTTGCATAGGCTTCAGAGGAAGAAAGACCTTCTCTATCCTAGTGTCCATATACCTTTTTTTTTTGGTTTTGGTTTTGGTTTTGGTTTTTGCAGACAGGATCTTGCTCTGTTACTCAGGCTGGAGTCCATAGTGTGATCACGGGTCACTGCAGCCTCTACCTCCTAGGCTCAAGTGATCAGCCTCCCAAGTAGCTGAGACGATAGATGTGTGCCACCATGCTCAGCTAATTCTTTTTATTTTTTGTAGAGATGGAGTCTCACTGTGTTGCCTAGGCTGGTCTCAAACTCCTGGGCTTATGTTGTCCTCCCACCTTGGCCTTCCAAAATGTTGGGATTACAGGTGTGCACCACGACACCTGGCCTCGTAGTGTTGGTATATCCGATTGACCTTTCCTGCATCAGATGAACTTCCCTGAACCAATTTCTATAGCCAGAAATTAGATGAGATTTAGCGAGAGAGGCAGTGAAGCCTGAACCCTGAAACCAAGTTTAATTCAAGTCCCTCCTCTGCTACTTACTGTGTAACCTTGCCAAATTATATACTCCCTGTGTCTCAGTTTCCTCAACTTTAAAATGAGAGAAATCATAGTACTTATCACATAGGTCATTTCTTTAAATGAGATAATACATATAAAGTGGACAGAACAGTGTCTGGCACATAGTAAATTATCAATAAATCTTAGCCGCCATGATGATCATAATGATAACAATAGTGGTAGTGCTGGTCATAGTGATGAAGAAGAAACAAGAGCAGCAGCTACCACTTGTTATAGGGGTAGGGTTAGGAGAGGGTCAGCTAAGTGGAATAGATTCCCCACAGGAAATACGGATTCTGTTATCAAAAGAAGAGAAAGAGATAAAGGGTTGGAAAGATAAATTATAGCTACCAATAGTCCTCTGTAATCACATCCAGTAGTTTGAGAGCCATCATAGGTTTGCCAGTAAGGAGATGTTGCTGACTTGTGAGAGCAGTTTGGTGAAGTGGGGCTGGGGATCATGAAAGGATGATATCTTCTCTTTGTGACTCATCTGCATGTAACGACTTTGATGGATTTTCTGCAAATAAATAGTCTTTGGTTAGTAGCCATTTGCCTTGTGGGCAGAGCTCCAAGATAGTTTGCCATTAAAAAAAAATCCTCATAAAGGCTTAAACAGGGTTCAAACAGATCTAATCATCATATCATTTGGCACATTGTAGTACCTGATTCCATCTAAATTGCTTTCCCCTAACAATCCTTAGTCCACATTTCTGCTTTCTCTCCTTGTTAAGAATAGATGGCAGATCAACATTCTTGCCTACTCCTGCAAGAGCATCTCGAAGGAATGAAAGGCAATTATACTTCTGCTGCAGAGGAGCATTTTCCACATGTTATGCTGACAGTTATGAAAAGAGCTAGTTATTGGATTAGTTAGTGAGGTGTGATTGTCAGTTTTCATCAGGTTCTCATTACTGGTAATGTTGCCCAGACCTACATTTTTTCTCTGAATATGCTTCTGCCTTTTCTGTGTCTAGCTTACTTGTTTACAAAATATTTTCAGAGAGAAAGTCTAATTCAGGGTTAACAAAGTTCTGCTAAGTCACCCCAAGATTATCTGGGCTAAAGAAGTTTTTACAGAGTACAGTTGTGGAAAACAGCTCTTAAGAGTTTCTGGGTTAATCTAGAATGATTTCCTAAAAGAAAAGTTTTAGAAGAAGTATTAAAGGAATCTTTTCCTCCCAGCTCTCCCCTCGCAAATTACAGCAGCACCCACAGACAAATATCACAAAAAAAACAAAACTATATAACAGATAAATATGAAGAAAGAATGAGGAACTGAGAACTCTAGCCTCCAACTTTACCATTAGTAAAAGCACATTACAGTGTTCCAGACTTGCTCTGTGAATAAACTGTTCTCAGCAATGTATTTACGTTAGTTCCTTAAGTTCCTTCCAGAATTTATTTCCTAAAAATATTGGGGCTTTTGTTGTTACTGCAACCCACAACTGACCTTTCAGGAATAAAGTAGATTTAGATTGTGATTATTAGAAAGCTATTTCAAAATAGACAAATAACATTCATAAGAAAAAGTGTGTAACCTTACTGGTGTTCAAAACTATAATTAAAATTATAATGAGGTATCTTTTTTTTTTTTTTGAGACAGAGTCTTGCTCTGCCACCCAGGCTGGAGTGTCGTGGCGTGATCTCGGCTCACTGCAACCTCTGCCTCCCAGTTTTGAGCAGTTCTCCTGCCTCGGCCTCCCAAGTAGCTGGGATTACAGGTGACCACCACCATGCCCCTCTAATTTTGGTATTTTCAGTAGAGACGCGGTTTCATCATGTTGGCCAGGCTGGTCCTGAACTCCTGACCTCAGATGATCTGCCTGCCTCAGCCTCCCAAAGTGCTGGGATTACAGGCGTGAGCAACCGCACCCGTCCAAAGTAATATTTTTTTAGCAATCATGATAGGCAAAGACTTTGAAAAGATAATGCCCAATTTAGCTAAGAATGTGGTGAAACGGGCCTTCCCATATTTTACTGTTGGGAATGCAAATTAGTCATTATTTTCTGAGGAGCAAATGGCTAGATTGACAAAAGTCCAAAATTGACCCAGAATAGCACCCTATGAAAATGTATCTCTGGGAAACAGTTCTAAATATGGGAAGGAGGGGGATTTTATGCACAAAAATTGTTATCAAAAGGTATGTTCTATATAGGCAGCCCTGTAAATATTCATTCTACAAATACTTGAGTACCTACTATATGGAAGGCTATTAGGCACTATTGAACAAAACAGATTTAGCTGGTTTAGCTATTTATAATAGCGGAAATATTGGAAACAGCCTACTGTGCAGTATTCTCGCAGCAGTTAAGTAAACTATGATTTATCCGTCTAATGGAACACTGTGAATCATAGTTTGCTTTACCATTCCCCACCAACATTTAGGGGTGTTTCCTTAAAATAGAGTGGATTATAAGGCAGCCATTTAAAAGTGAGTTACAAAGATAGTATAATAACTTGGATAAATGCTTACAGTATAGTATTACTAAATGAACTAGATACACAATTGTATATATCATATGATTACAACCATAAGGATGTAGCAGGCCCAGGTAAAGAGACCAGGGAGAAAGTGAGCAAAGTGTTAGCAGTGGCTGTATTTCTGTGATGAGACTAAGCGTGACTTTTTTTCTGCTTTTCTTTATTTCCCAAATTCTCTTTAATGAGGCCTTGTTATTTGTGTAATTTTTCCCCCCTTGATGCTTTAGTAACACACTTACAAAAAGTTTGCATGAAAGTGAAGACTGCTCAGTGGCTATTTCGTGAACTGAGTGGGAATTTTGTCAGAGAACTTTATCCCTCTCTTTTGACTGATTGGCTATTTCAGCTGTGGTGGAAGTATGCAATAGTGGATAGAAATCTGCTGGACACTCACCCTTAATATAGTCTGTCTATACATACATAGCAGTGTCGATGCAATACACTGTGCCTCACAAATAGCAATGTAGATGATAAGATGCTTTTTGTTGTTTTTTTTGAAAACAGTATGTCTTTAGTATGTTATTTGAAGACTCGGGATTATGGCTAGTTGTGTGCCAACTTTCCATCCTTCAGACCTATAAAATCTGAATCAGTTTGGTTTTTTACTGCATTGTGGTGAAATTAAACAATTCATATAAATTTTTATTGTGGTTGATAGTCAAGGCTCTAGAAAGCTCTGAGATTTAATCTTGAGTTTTCCTTGCCACTTCAACCCAATTTTAAATTTTTTTTTCTTTTTCTTTTGAGACAGGGTCTCACTCTGTCACCCAGGCTGGAGTGCAGTTCTATGATCTTGGCTCACTTCAGTCTCCGCCTCTAGAGTTCAAGCGATTCTCATGCCTCCACCTCCTGAGTAGCTGGGAGTATAGGTGTTCACCACTACACCCAGCTAAATTTTTTTTTCTGTATTTTTAGTAAAGATGGGGTTTTGCTCTGTTGGCCAGGCTGATCTCAAGCTCCTGGCCTCAAGTGATCCGCCCGCCTCTGCCTCCCAAAGTGCTGGGATTACAGGCGTGAACCACTGTGCCTGGCCTCAATTTAAAAATTCTTAATCCACTCTTAACTTCCATCTAGTGGAACTCCAATTTTATCCTTTCTTTTCTCATTGTCTTCCCTACATTTCTGTTAGCATGAAATTTCTAATTGTACAGACTTTGCAGTGTGCAGAGTCAAATCTCTCATATCCTGTAACTTTGCTGCATGCTCCTTAGTTTTTTCTTTATCTACACTTATATCTGGTCATTTTGATACATTTTTTTCTTTTTTGGTCTTCTCAGCTCTTAGAAACAGACATGTTTGTAGAAAAGAACTCTTACCATTTGTTGTGTCTGGGACTTGTATGGAGGGTTTTTGTTTTGGTCTGGGTTGGTTTGCTTTTTCTATTTAAAATTTAGATTGTGTGTACACCCACACAGAAACTTCACCCAGCTACCAGGCTGTTCCTTTGTAGAGTGGTGATCAAACAAAAATATGCATCTAGTGATTCTTTCATTTGATTTGAAAACTGATTTCAGAAACACATGATTTTCTTCTTTTACCTGGCAGATTATTACTGAGCAAGCTGAAGAATGGAGGACTCAACCTACTTATAAAGTACCAAACTGTTAAGGTCATAGAAAATTATTTCTGGAAGGTACATCAGAAGTTGTTCTAGCCCAACTCTCTTATTTTACAGATGGAAAACCTGGGGCCCAAAAGAGAGCCTGGCTTAGCCTAAGCTGTACAATGACTAAGTGGTAGAAAATGAACTAGAACATTTCTGAATTCCCAGTCCAGCATTCTTTCCACTAAGCTGATGGCTGTCTTCCAGGTGCAGGAGTGCAGGTTGGTACTTATTACAGGACTCTGCTGGCTGCAGTGGCTCTTCCTGGTGCTGTGGAAAGTACCCTCTTCTTTGCTCAGTCTGATTCCATTTATGGGAAGCAGTGATGGAGTTTGTACATAAGCTTTACAGTAAAGTCTGCTGCTGTCCCAAGTTTCTTAACCTTTTAAAAGTCATCTTCCTTCCATTTCTGATTTCCTAGTACATCTATTATTTATTTCAATGTAAACAAATTCCAAATAATGGAAATTTGTCTCTACTACAGCTTATTCAAGTTTGCACTTTGGGTATATATGCTAATGTTTACAGACTGGTGAGGTCAGGAAAATTGAACTGCTGTTATTTCAAAAGTGAAAGCTACTCTGGGACTTCTAGGTCAGGGTGGCAGAGTGAATACTCCTGAATCTTATTCCTCTCATTCAAAAACAGAGAAATTATGCATAAATATTTTTAAAGTTTTTTAAAAATACATAGTTATTCTTAAAAATAAGAAAGGAAAGTGTCTTTTGGCCAGTAATAGAAAAGCCACTGTGATGGTAGGGGATCGGGGGGTGCTATGAATGGATATGGGCAATTGGGACCAGGTTTTTTTGCAATGATCCTGTCTGTGCATGAACCCAGGACCCAAGAGCACAATACAAATAGGAGCTGGGTTAATCTAACTTATCCCAGCAGTGTCACAGCCAGGAATATGCTGCTTGTTCCTGAGCGGAAGTAAAGAATAATTGGCAGTCACAAGCAAGCGCAGGAAACCACTCAAGATAGAACTTGGACCCAAAATACTTTTGGGCTAAAAATTCAGAACTGGGCTACCTAGGAGGAAAGAAGGCCCAGAGCTACCAACTTAAGGTCTGGTTCAAGGTTGGCACATTATCAGATTTAAGCTGAGGCAACTTAAAACTGCCCTGTAGATACAGGTACTTACATTTTTTAGTTATCATAAAAATTGAGCCCCCAAAACATTACAAAGAACCCAGTAAAACCTAAGATCATGAAAAAGCAGTCAAGAGAACCCAACAAATTAGAGAATTTATACCTGAGAAAAGAAGAACAATCTGATGAGAGTTTAAAAATAAGTTAAAATTATCAATATATGTTCAGAAGAAATTACATTTTACAGAATGAAGAATAGATAATGAAACAAGAAGAGAAAGCTGTGAGAAAGAAGCATTTAGACATCTTGAAGTGAAAAATATTATATTGAAATGTAAAAATACAATATTGAAGTAAAAGAACAGTTAGACTGCACATACTTTCTATAGCTTAAGAGAAAATTAGAGAATTAGGAAAAAGAACTGAGAAAATCTTTCAGAATGCAGTTTAGAGAGAGTTAGAAGAAAATGAAAGAGAAAGATGGACATGAAAGATGACCTGAGGAGCTCCAACATACATCTGCTAGGAGTTACAAAGGAGAAAAAAGAATGAATAAAAAAGTGGCAATAATAATAACAATAACTGCAGCTAAGAATTTTTTCAGAAATGAAGCTGAGTCTTCAAAATAGAAAATGCTGCCACATGTAACACAGGATAGATAAATCCACAACTACATACATGATAATAAAATCATAGGAAATTAATGATAAAGAGAAAATCTGAAATTCTGAATACAAGTATAACAAAAAATTCTGAATAATGGAATGGTAGTCAAACTGGCAGTAGGCTTTGGCAACAGTAGATACCAGAAAACTGACTAGTATCTTCAAAGTGCTGTAGACAAATAACTGTGAGCTTACAGTTTCATACAGTGGTTTATATACAGAGTGGGAGCAAAATAAACGCATCTTCAGATACACAAAGCTAAGTTTTCAACTCACAAACTCTTGGTGACAAGAGAACTAAAGGATGTTCTTCAGCAAAGACAAAAATAAATGCAGAAAGAAGTGGAATACAAAAGCAAAGAGTGTTAAAATATGAGATAAAGCTAATATGCTTCAAAAGCTAGAACTAAATCTTAGCAATAATAATATGGTATTAAAGATGTAAATGTGTGCTGAAGTCCTTGTTTTGAGTAGAAAAGATACAGATTAATGTTATAGACTTTTAAAAAATATATATTTAAATAAGTATGTTAAATATAAGGGTATCCAGTACAGTAATAGAAATATAGAAATAGAAGGTACAAGTCCTTAATCAGTAGGGGAAAGAGAAAAGATAGGTAATATTTTAAATGCTATCACTCCATTCAATAGAGGGCAGGAAAGAAGATAAAAAGAAGCAAAGGAAAAACATGGAAATAGGAAATACAAAATAAAACATGTAAGTAATCATAATATAAATTAATCTACAAAGCCAGAGAGATAGATTATCCTTCCATATGCTGTTTTAAAAGTAACACTGAAAGATAAAAAAATACAAGTATAGGACAGGAAAAATTTTCTCTTGATTACCACCTAGTGAAAGGTGGCAGCATGAACATCATTTGAAACATGAACATGTTTTTGCCTAAAAACATCAAATGACAGAAATATATGTCTCGCTTATAAATAGGTAACAATCCACGAAGATGATATAAAATGACTCTAGATACTGAAAATATACTCTCAAAATATATAAAACAAAACCGACAGAATTATCAAGAAATAGCCTATCCACAGTCAGTGTTGCAGATTTTAACACACCTCTCTTAGAAACCAGTATATCAAACAGTCAAAAATACTCAAGAACATAAAGGATTTGAACAACATAATTAACCAGCTTAATCTAACAGATATATAGCACACATAGGGCATGTGTATTGTGACCATGCTAAATGAAAAATCAACATTCACTTATTCATTCAACAAATACGTATTTGTCCAATATTTGCCAGATATTGTTCGAGGCTCTTGGAATCCTTTAGTCAACAGTATAGACAATAATCCTGACCTGTTGAAGTGTACATTCTAGCAGGGAGTAAGACGAAAAGGCAGACAATAAACAACAAACATAATAAAGTATATAATATGTTAGACACTGATGCAGTTTGGAAAAAAAACTAAAAAGGAGAATTGAATAAAGAGGATTGGATGGAGAAAGTACAGGTTGTAATACAAACAGTGGGTCTGAGTATATCTTATTGACAGGTTGAGATTTAAAGAAGCAGAAGAAGTTAGCCACAAAGATATCTGAAGGAAGAACATTTCTTCAGATGTAGTGTAGTGAGGTCCTCTAGCAAGAGGTTACAGCTAGAGCAAAGGCCATATGGTGGGAAAGTACTGACACATGAAATAAATGACAGGTGAGAGTAGCAGGAAAGAGAATCAGATCATCTGAATGTAGAGCGTCATAGGCCTTTGTCATTTACTATGCACAAAATGAGGTGCCATTGCAGGATTTTGAGTAGAGGAGTGATGTGATCTGACTTAAGTTTTTTTTTTTTTTTTTTTTGAGATGGAGTCTTGCTCTGTTGCCCAGGATGGAGTGCATTGGCACCATCTCAGCTCACTGCAAGCTCCACCTCCCAGGTTCAAGCGATTCTCCTGCCTCAGCCTCCTGAGTAGCTAGGATTACAGGTGCAGGCCACCACGCCCAGCTAATTTTTGTATTTTTAGTAGAGACGGGGTTTCACCATGTTTGTCAGGCTGGTCTCAAACTCCTGACCTTGTGATCTGCCTGCCTCGGCCTCCCAAAGTGCTGGGGTTACAGATGTGAGCTACCATGCCCATCCGATCTGACTTAAGTTTTAAAAGAATCATTCAAGCTGCTGTGTTGAGATTAGACTTCAGACAAAGGTAGCAGCTGAGCAGCTATTTCAGTAATCCAGGCAAGAAATGATGATAGGGGCTTGGATCACATGGTAGCAATAGAGTTGTTGAAAGTTGGTAAGATTCTGGATATATTTGAAGGTAGAGCCAACATTTCCTGGAAGGGCTTGTGGGGTGTGACAGAAAGAGGGAGGAATTGTAGATGATTCCAAGGTTTTTGACCTAAGCAACTGATAGGATAGAGTTTCCATCAACTGACATGGGGGAGGCTACAAATGAAGCAGGTTGGGGAAGAAAACTAGGAAGCCAATCTTATTTATTTATTTATTTAATTTTTTTTTCCATAGATTTTGGGGGAACAGGTAATCTGGTTATATGAATAAGTTCTTTACTGTGATTTCTGAGATTTTGGTGCTCCCATCATCCAAGCAGTGTACACTGTACCCAATGTGTAGTCTTTTATCCCTTACCACCCTCTCATACTTTCCCCTGAGTCCCCAAAGTCCACTGTGTCATTCTTACACCTTTTCATCCTGATAGCTTAGCTCCTTCTTATGAGTGAGAACATACAATGTTTGGTTTTCAGTTCCTGAGTTACTTCACTTAGAATAATGGTCTCCAATTCCATCCAAGTCACTGCAAATGCCATTATTTCATTCCTTTTTATGGCTGAGTAGTATTCCATGGTGTATATATATATACCACAATTTCTTTATCCACTCATTGACTGATGGGCATTTGGGCTTGTTCCAAATTTTTGCAATTGCAGATTGTGCTGCTGTAAACATGCACGTGGAAGTATTTTTTTCATATAATGACTTCTTAGGAATCCAATTTTTTTTTTTTTATTTTTTGGACAGGGTCTCGCTCTCTCACCCAGGTTGGAGTGCAGTGACTCGATCTTGGCTCACTGCAACCTCTGCCTCCTGGGTTCAAAGTGATTCTCCTGCCTCTGCCTCCTGAGTAACTGGGATTACAGGTGTCTGCCACCACACCCAGCTAATTTTTGTATTTTTAGTAGAGTTGGGGTTTCACCGTGTTACCCAGGCTGGTCTAGAACTCTCCTGACCTCAAGTGATCTGCCCACCTTGGCTTCCCAAAGTGCTGGGATTACAGGTGTGAGCCACCACACGTGGCCAGAATCCAGTTTTAGATATGTTGGTTTGAGATAACTGTTAGATTTCCAACTGGAAATTTTGGCAGTTTGGTTAAACAGATCTGCCAAAATGCTGTAGAGTATTTAGATGATATTTAGAGCTATAAGACTGTATCAGATAACAGAAAGAAAATACAGAAAAGGGAAGAGGGCCCAAGAAGTATCTTGTGTCCTTTCCAGTGTGAGTGAAAAAAAAAAAATGTATCAAGAAAGAGGTAGTTGTCAACAGTGTTAAATGTTGCTGTTAGGGTCATATAAGATGAAGACTAAGAACTGACCATTGATTTTGATAACATTAAGACCTTGATAAGAGTGGTTTTGTTAGAATAGTGGGACAGAAAGCCTGACTGAAGTAATTTTAAGCCACATTGAGAAGAGAGGAGTTGAAAACATTGAGAAAAGCTATTTTTTTTTTTTTTTTTAGAGATAAGTTTTTCAGGAATGGGGGTTAGCAAGGAAATGGAGTGGCAGCTTTTGGGGAGAGTCAAGAAAAGGATGTTTTTTGTTTTGAGATGGAGTCTTGCTCTGTTGCCCAGGCTGGAGTGGTGCAGTGGTGCAATCTTGGCTTACTGCAGCCTCCGCCTCCCAGGTTCAAGTGATTCTCCTGCCTCAGCCTCCCGAGTAGCTGGGATTACAGGTGCCCGCCACCATACCTGGCTAATATTTTGTAGTTTTAGTAGAGACAGGCTTCCGCCATGTTGACCAGGCTGGTCTCAAACTCCTGGCCTCAGGTGATCCGCCTCGGCCTCCAAGAGTGCTGGCATCACAGGCATGAGCTACCACACCCAGCCAGAAAAGGGTGTTTTTTAAGCTACATGTTTGCTTGTGAGAATGATACCAATGGAGAACAACAACAACAAAAAGATGATGTGGGAGGAAGAATGGAGAACTGCTGTAATGAGGTCCTTGAGTAGGGTCTAGAGTACAAGTTGAAGGATTTGACTTCAAATAGAAGCACGTTAGGTTCATCAATGGTAACAAGTGAGAAGATGGTAAAGGGTGGTTAAATGTGGTAATAGTTTGTGGAAGTTCTTTTCTGATTGCTTCAATTTTCTTAGTGAAGTAGAAAGCAAGACCAGCAGCCAAGAAAGAACACGAGGAAGGAAGTGTTGGGTGTTTGAGTTAAAAGGGAAAGGGGTAAAGTATTTATCTAGGAAAGTAAATGGACTAGGGAAGTATCTTTGTGTGCATTAGAGTCCACTAAAGGTTCAAAGTAATGAATTTAAATTGAGACCAATGAGCATGGTTGTATGTTTTTTTCCAGCCACATTTAGTTGCACAGGTGCAGGTGTGGAGTAGGCAGAAAATTGGATTTAAACAAGGTTGTAGTTTTGCCAAGCACTATAAAGGGAGAGAGGGGAGAGTGATGATAATAATGATAAATCATGGAATGTAATCTCGATAAAGAGGAGAGTGAAGGGACATCAAGAGCATGAGAGTCAGTGGAGATTCCATGAGGTTGAACAATGCACAGTAGTTCAGGATCACCCTAGTAGAAAGAATAAGCTGGAAAAATAGGATGTGGAGATACAGAATTGAGATTATGGAGGGGTTATAGTTTTTTTGTAATGGCAACAAAAAGTTAGCTGAAGAAGAAAAGAATACTTCTGATAAACTTCCTTGTAGATACTGCATGGGTAAGGAGGTAATTATAATGAGAATTACAAAATATTTAGAGCTGAACGACAATGAAATTACTCCACATTAGATCTTGTAAAGTAGCTAAAGAGAGAAAACTATAACCTTAAATACATGTTTAAGGTTAAAAAATTAGAAAAAGTGAAAATAAATGAGTTAATCTTTCAACTCAAGAAGTTGAAAACAGAGTAAGCCCAAAGTAAGTAGAAGGAATGAAATAAAATAAAGATAAAAGCAGAAATTAATGAACAGAAAACAGAATAGCAGTAGAAATAGTGTTAATACCAGGAGCTGATTCTTTGAAAAGATAGAAAATTCAATAAGCCTTTTTATTTTCCAACGTCCACCTTGACTGCAGTGTTCTAGGACTTCTCAAAGGCATCTTACATGCTAGTCTGGGGCCTGGGATGCAAACAAAAACAGATCAGAGGCAGTTATTTTGGCAACAATAGGGAGAGGGAAGAGTCTTCAAGGTCCCTTAAAGCAACATGTACAACAAATGAGCTGCATGCATAACCAGGGCATCTACTTTTTCCAGCTGCGCACACTGAGCCCCATCAGGGAGGGTAAAATGCAGTAAACCTTTGAAAAGCTGATCTAGAGAAAAACTATAGGTGTAAACAAATAGTATTAGGAAGAGAAATAGGGACAAAATTAAGATAAACATATTTAAAATATAAGATTATTTTGAGCAACTTTATGACAATAAGCTTGAAAACTTAGTTTAAGTGGACACTTCTGGGAAAATATAAAATATCACAATGACTTAGGAAGAAATGGCAAAACAAAGAAGTCCCATAACCTTTAAAGAAATTTAATCATACTTAACCACCACCTCCCCAACCTCCTGCCAAAAACACCAGGCCTAGAGTAATTTGGGGGATGAATTCTATCAAACTGTCAAGGAACAAGTATAATAATACTTGTCTTACATAAACTGTTTCAGAAAATAAAAAGAAGGAAACCAGAATCTACACTAGATTGTTTCGCCTCCAACTTGTTTAGTAACAACAAAAAGAGGCTAAGAACTGAGGCTAAGAAAAACCAAAATAAAGTCTGAATACTTCCTACAAACAGCACTAGAAAAAGACATCTGATTATACCTAGGTGGTATAGGTTTTAAGGACTGGACCTTTGACTTCGTGCTCATCCTTCTGTGTGGACCAGCTTTGATCTTTGATTCCAGTTATTTTAATTCCAGTTGTAATGATGGGTTTTGGACACTCTCAGTCTGTATTATGACCAACAGCATGTATCCGTAAGATAGCTAGGTCACTAATAGTCTGTGGCATGGAAAAAATTTTGTTTTGTTTTAATATGGTGCTAACTAAGCATATAGAGATTGACTCTGTAACTTTAACTCCAGTAACACACTGTTATCACCACCCAAACTGACCAGCCTAGTTAGTAACATCATATACAGTATCATACAAACTACGCAGAACCATGCCTGGGACACTCATCTGTTAGCTCTTACATGCCCTTTGTGCTCAAAGAGAACAATTTGTGGTTGTTGTATGCCAGTCAATTCAGTCATCATGGAGCTTAGTTGTTTACTGTATTGCATGCTAAGCAGTAGACTCTAGGAATCCAATAAATTTGATTCTCACATTGGTCCTGTTTGCCACAAACCTTGCCATGCCTCAAGAACCTCACAAGTTGTGTTTCTTAGAACAGTGCATATGTAGTTCTCATACTCTGCAACAGTGTTTGCCTCAGCATAATTGTGTTTATGTGGGATTGCATTGGCATTGCAATGTGAGAATGACAGAGTTGACAGGACCACTAACATCTGTACCCTGGGAATTGTTTCCCCCATCCCCATAGCTGGCTGAAGAAACTTTATTTCTGAGTTATTATGTAGGGACTGAAAGGTTTTCTTTTTCGTTTTGTTTTTTTTGTTTTTGTTTTTGTTTTTTACATATATGCACAGATTGTTTTTTACCTACAATGAGCAAAAATAATCTGGACAAAAAAATAATGCTCTCCCTGTTTTTTCTTTCAAATGTATACATATATTTGAAATCTTAGGCATAGGGAAAAGCTTTTATGTCATCTTCAGAGCTACTGCCATATTTTTTAGCTAGAACCAAATCTTAAATCTCTCCTGACAGAACCTTAATGAAGGGGACAAAGTGATCTCCAGTGGAAATGTGAAAGGCATAAAAAGGAAAAGTTAGATATCTGGAGGATTCAGATGACACAAAGAAAATAAGTTGAGGATAAAGGAAATGAGAGGGTAAACCTAGTAGTACAATGGCATCTTGCATCTTCAACTATTTTAAAGTATGTTTACCTGAGAACGTGAAGATAAACTGTATATAGATGGCACATAGACAACTAATAAATGAATAAACATTTACATTGCATATGTCAGAAGTATCTGCAAAGCAAAAAGGGTGCATGCCAGTTCATTGTTGACCAGAAAGAGTCTTTCATATACTCTTCCAGGATCTATGTTATTATTGAAAAAAAAAAAAAGAAGTTAGATGTTAAGTTTGGGAGTATTTTTAGTAAACCCAGATGAACAGAGCAGGCTTTATTTCTGGATCAACTGCAAATTCACAACTATGAAGACTAGTTGAAATATTTAAATTTCTAGATGAATCATGCATAGATCACTTTTCATAGGGCCTTTTCCTTAAAACTCTGCAGTTAACTAAAAGTGGGAAATAATTATTTTTCTTAACACCTGGTGGACCATTCAGCCTCATTTATAGGCTTTAAAGAAAACTAACAAAATATTTTTAAAAATCAAGTTGATGACAATTTAAAAACTTACATAGAATTTCTGAACCTTCTTTAAGTTATAGGTTACATTTTCAAGAAACTGATCGTTATCAAACTTGTGAGCTTAAATTTAAGTGTGTTGCTACCAGGCAGTAATACGTTTGGCCTGGCATACAGATTACAAGCACAACTTAACTATCACAGATATCTTTGAGAACTAAATGGATTTATTTATTTTAAAAGTTATTCTAAAATTAATTCTGTACCTTTCTCCTCCGTACCTTTCTCCTTAAGTTTTTGAAACACCTTTCTTGACATATAATTTCTGGACTACTGCACATATTTAAATTGTAATATCTGATGAATTTGAGGAAACTATCTCCCTAATTCTCCCTAACTCTTAACTGTACTAAATACTTATAGTCTTAACAAAAATTTCAGATAAATCATATGTTTTAAAGCTACTTATTCAGTGTTTAACTGACACTATATAGAGTCCTTTTGCTACTTTTAAGCTAATCAAAAGAGATATAATATACCCTGTTAGTGCTTCTGATCAGTTCAAGCATTTTTTTTTTCTCGTCAAGGTGCTATGAGCATTTGGCAGGGTAGTTCTTCACTATGTGGGTCTGTTTCCAGAATAGCAAGCATTCAGCATCCCTGAGCCTGGCATTTGAAATGCCAATAGCACCCTCCAATCATTGTGACAATCAGTGTCCCCACATATTTTCAAAAGCTCTTGTGGTAAGTGTTGCCCCTTCCCCTCCCCGTGACAAACCTGCCCCTTATACCTTTACTGATGTTTCTAGCCTGTGTGGCCTACAAAAAAAGTGTGAATGGGGAATTGTTCACATTAAAAAGAGATAGGTTTTCATTTCTGCTTTTTGTAAGCCATTGCTAAAGTTAAATTTAATTGCAAAATACTAAACTCTTGAACCAATTCTAGGACAGGTTTGCAGAATGATTTTCTTAAAGGACCTTTATAATATCTTACCCTTAAATGAATTTCTGAGACTTAACATTCGTAACACTAGGGCATGATTATTTAAATATATGGGAGCAAGATTGGGAACATTTTGTCAGCTAGTTAAGTTATTGTGAGCTCCATGCTGTGCAACTTGTATATCCTGTCTTGCTTTGCCTCTCTGCTGCTGCCTTGTACTCCAAAATAGCACCATCTCTTCTCCCTACTCCCAGCAACCCACTAGACTATGTATAAGCCATTAGTGGATATATTTTGTTGGTCTGATTTTTAGCTTTTTTGCTTGTTCACAAAGAACACATGTCAAAGGCCCTTTATTACACTGAAAGAATTGCGTGACTCTGTTCTGCATTTTCTTACATGTGGAATTAAGGCTGACTCTTTACTCTAAAATGATTCATTTTGTGGTAAAGTCCCTAATATGTCTCCCTCACTCAGGAGCATCTGTGCAGGAGTCAACATTAAATGTGAGTTATCATTATTGATCTTCTCCATCACCCCCAAAAAGGGAGGATTTTCACATCGCATAAATTAAAACAGGATTGAGATGGAAAAATCAAAAGAGAAGAAAAAGTGACAAAGAACCTCCTATTTCCTTTAGAACTTCTTATTTCCTGCCCCCAAGTAATATTTTTGGCCCTTCTAAGTACCCAGTAATAAAACGTCACTATAAAAGCATAGAATAGTAAATGAAGCTGTTATGAATTCTAGACTATCTTCCGACTTGGCTGTGTGCTGTTGATGGTCTCCTTTAAAAACAAATTGTTTGTTTAGTATGAGATCAAAAATTATTTACGTAAAATATATGGAAGAGTAGGGCTTGATATTAATTTTTTAACATTATGGAGATCTTTGTAGTGATACAAATTTTGAGATTTCCTATAATCTCTTTGAAGACACGAATCATGTCTTACAGTACTTTGTGTATCGCTATCCCTAATAGTACCTTGCACAGAATAAGAACTTAATAGTTGTTAGTTGATGGAAGAAAAGTATCAGTTGAAAATAAAAATTAAAATATTTTCTTTGGATCTTATATTCATAAATGGACTGAAAATGACTGCCCTGTTCCAAAAGGAGGAACAGAGATCTTCAACTGTACTTCTTAACTGGTAATACTTGACTCATCACCTTCTTACCTAAATCTGAACTAAAATACTGTATATTGTACCTACCCAGAAGTTTATAAATTAACCTACCAAGAAATTTATTTGAGGAAGAGACAGAGACATTTTTGAAAGACTAGGTAATGTCCACCTAACTGTTGATCTCCTTTGGGCCTTAAAGGACCTTGTGGTTTTGTTACCAGAAAAGGAGTCCAATCTGGACCCCAAGAAAGGGTTCTTAGATCTCACTCAAGAAAGAATTCAGGGCAAGTCCATAGAGTAAAGTGAAAGCAAGTTCATTTAGAAAGTGGAGGAATAAAAGAATGACTCCATAGACAGAGCAGCCCCAAGGGCTGCTGGTTTTATGGTTACTTCTTGATTATATGCTAAACAAGGGGTGGATTATTCACGAGTTTTCCAGGAAAGAGGTGGGCAATTTCCAGAACTGAGGGTTCCTCCCCATTTTAGACCATATAGGGCAACTTCCTGATGTTGCCATGACATTTGTAAACTGTCATGTCACTGGTGGGAGTGTCTCTTAGCATGCTGATATTTTATAATTAGTGTATAATGAGTCATGAGGACAACCAGAGGTCACTCTCATTGCCGTCTTGGTTTTGGTGGGTTTTGGCTGGCTTCTTTCTCGCAACCTGTTTTATCAGCAAGGTCTTTGTGACCTGTATCTTGTGCTGACCTCCTATCTCATCCTGTGACTGAGAATGCCTTAACCTCTTGGGAATGCAGCCCAGTAGGTCTCAGCCTTATTTACCCAGCCCCTATTCAAGATAGAGTTCCTCTGGTTCAAACACCTTTGACAAAAACATACCTATACCTTAGTCTACTATGTGTAATGCATTCCAACATTTGCTATTCTGTTTATTCACTTTTTATTGATCTGGTTGTGGCCACTAAATTGATTCATAACCTAATAATGAGTCTCATTGTACCTTCAGCCCAAGTGACTGCCTGTTTCCATTAGCAAACCCAATTCTTTGGTGAACATATAATCTTAGAGTCCTCTGTAAAGAGAGACTATCTTTCAAAGTTGTCAGGAATTAAAAAAGAAAGTCACTTCCTTGTGCCCTTTTCTCACTGTAGTGAGATGAAAAAACTCTATTTTTTTAAACACTATTAAACTTACAGAAATATTTCAAGAATAAAGAATTGCTGTATATCCTTTACCTATTTATCACATTCACTTTTTTTTTTTTTTTTTGAGCTGGAGTTTCACTCATGTTGCCCAGGCTAGAGTGCAATGGTGCGATCTCGGCTCACCCCAACCTCTGCTTCCCAGGTCCAAATGATTCTCCTGCCTCAGCCTCCTGAGTAGCTGGGATTACAGGCATGTGCCACCACGCCCGGCTAATTTTGTATTTTCAGTAGACATGGGGTTTCTCCATGTTGGTCAGGCTGGTCTCGAACTCCCGACCTCAGGTGATCTGCCCACCTCAGCCTCCCAAATTGCTGGGATTACAAGTATGACACATTCACATTTTTACCAGTTGTCCTAATAAAGTCCATGGCAGCAGAAAGATCCAATCCAGGATCACTATACCGAATTTTTGTGTATCTCTAGTTAGACTTCCCTTGACTTATATGACCTTGGTTTTTTGGGGGTGTTTTGTTTTGTTTTGTTTTGTTGTTGCCCAGGCTGAAGTGCAGTAGTGTGATCTTAGCTCACTGCATCCTCTGCCTCTTGTGCTCAGAGGATCCTCCCACCTCAGCATCTTGAGTAGCTGGGACTACAGGTGGGCGCCACCATGCCTTGCTAATTTTGTTTTTGTTTTGTTTTGTTTTGTTTTGTTTTGTTGGTAGAGACGCGGTTTGGTGACATTGCCGAGGCTAATCTTGAACCCCTGGGCTCAAAAGATTTGCTCTCCTTAGCCTCCCAAAGTGCTGAGATTATGGGCATGAGCCATCACGCCTGGCTGACCTTGATATTTTTGAAGATAGCAGGCCAGTCATATATGTCCCTCAGTTTAGGTTTATTCAGTGTTTTCTCATGATTAGACCCAGTTTATGCATTTTTGGCCACAATGTCATAGAAGTGATACTGTGCTCTTCTCATTTCATGCTGTCAGTTTGTCACGTTACTAGTGGTCTCGTCTTTGATGACTGGATTGAGATGACATCTGCCAGGTTTCTCCATGGTAAAGTTAGTTTTTCCTCCTTTGTGATTAATAAATGTTGTGAGATGTGGTCCTTTGAGATTATGTAAACTCCAGTTTCTCCTCTACTTTTACCCACTACTTTGAACATCCATTAATACTTCTTTCTTGGATTGATTTTACAGTCATGGTTGCCAAATGGTAATTTTTCTAACTTTATTACCCCTTCTACATTTATTAGTAGGCATTCTATTGTAAGCAAGAAGCTGTTCTCCTCTCATTTATTTTTTTCACTCATTTACTTATATCAATGTCTACTCATGGGTTCCTAGTCAGTGGGTTATAATTCATTGCTGTCATTATTTATTATGATGCTCTTATTATCACAGGTTTGGCTTTTTAAGCAGGCTTCTGTGTCCTTGCGTCATATCATTTAAGTATTGTTTGAGGACTTTCTCACCTTCTAGTGCAAGAGAACAGGCTCATTTTCTTTCCTTACCCCAGCTCTGGAATTAGCCATTTCTCCAGGGAGCCCTGTTCCTCTTAGTAGAAAGTGGCATTCAGAAACAATGATCTGGGCACTAGGTATGCTAAATGCTGCTCTAGTGTTGCTCTTCCCAGGCCCCTTTCAGTGGACAGAGCTAGGAAAGACATACATATGGATGCATTTGCTTACATATACACATACATTTACGTCTTTATTTCTTTATCTTTCTATATTGAAAATCATAAGTTCATACCAACATGGGGTTCTTTCTAGCTTTCCCTTTTTTTTTGTATTTATGTCTGCCTTCTCTAACAATGAGAAACCTAGTTGCCATTTTCAATATGTTTACTTATTTGCTCAATCCCTTGAGTAAAGGCAATCCCCTAATTAGAACCAAGTAGACCAGGCTACTACCTCACCACTATACCCTCCTCTTATTGTCAGGGCTCTTTGCCTTCTGAGAAATAAGGAAAGCTGGGAAGAGGGAAGGAGGAAAATAGGTAGAGATAAGTTTTTTCTTAAAGCATTTGAAAAGAAGATTCTGTCATCTTTTTCAGTAACCTTTTACATAATCACAAGGAAAATAAGTGCATAGAATATAAAAACTGATATTTAAGCTCTTTGCTTCAGATTTTCATTTAGATTCTTACATATATTTTATAAATGCACATGCATGTTAACCAAGTTTTTTTTGTGATAATGACCATGTATTGAGCATGACCACATGCTAGGCACTGTGATGGATGATTGTGTGTGTGTGTGTGTGTGTGTGTGTGTGTGTGTGTATCCTAAACCATATAACAACTCTGTAAATAAGCATCCTCATCACTATTTTGGGTGATGAACCAAATAAGATTCAATGAGGCTGAAGAACTTGATCATATCAGTCAGTTAAGCAGGGGTTAGAATTTCAACCCAGGATATCTGACCTCAAATACACAACCTTCCCAAACCATGTGTACAGCACCATGGTATATTGCTAGCATTGGAAATCATCACTGGGGAGCATTTTATCAAACATCACCCTTAAACCATGCCATTTGGGTTTTTTTAATTTAAAAAAATAAAAAGAGGAAAAAGTAGAAATTACTCAACTGGTTCATTAATTTATTCCTTTACTAACTTTTGGGAGAGTTGAGTCAATGACAGTCGATGATTAGTATTCACATCATGGAGACATTTTATTGGTTTATTCACACATTAGATATGTCCCATCTCAAAAACAAACTTATGCAGTTCCTCTATTTGATAGTTCTTATATTTGTTGGAAACTCTGTTGAGCTGACTACCTGGTGCTCTTAATTCCATTATAGCAACGCCCTAAAGTTTATAGACTTTTTTCTTCCCTCTTTTTTACCTACAAGAAATAAAATAGATGAACTCAGCATTCCTATCCTGCTTATCTGGAATGAGTTATTTTCTAAACAAGTGGCTGTTTGCAAAGCTCATCCTGTAGAAGTCTGTGGTCAAGAATATTTCCATTCAGTTCTTATTTTTACAGGGGAATTAATATCTTTACAGTCAGAAAGGAACAATAAATGCTTGTTGGCTGGGTTGAAAAAAATTAAATCTACAAAAAGACAAGTGAAGAAAGAAAGAGCTTACATTCAACTTTCTGGAGAATTTTTCTCTGTTTCTCTGTATATCTGATGTGTTCCTGCAAGTGTCTCAAATACCCAGGATTTTACTGAAGGATTTGAATTGGTAGATCTTTTCAGATCTGTTTTTACTTTACTTTAATCAACCAAAGTTTATTCTTCAGGCAGTTGTATTTTGTTCCCCTTTTACTGGCTGTGTGTCTTTGGCCAAGACACTTAACCTTTCAGAACTTCGCTTTCTTCATCTGTAAGATAGTAATATGGTCACGAGTCCCTTAACGACAGGGACACATTCTAAGAAATGAGTTGTTAGGCAATTTCGTCCCTGAGCAAACATCACAGAGTGAATTTAACACAAACCTAGATGGTACAGCCTACTACACACCTAGGCTATGTGGTATAGCCTATTACTCCTAGGATACAAACCTGTACAGCATGTTACTATTTTGAATATTGTAGAGCTGGAACATGATAAACATTTGTGTGTCTAAACATAGAAAAGGCATTGTAAAAATACTGAGTAAAAGAATAAAAATGATATACCTGTATAGGGCACTTACCATGAATGAATGCACCTTACAGGACTAGAAGTTGCTTTGGGTGAGTCAGTGAGCAAGTGGTGAGTGAAGGCCTAGGACATTACCGTACACTACTATAGACTATTAACACTGTGCACTTAGGCTACCCTAAAGTTATAAAAAAGTTTTTTCTTTCTTCAGTAATAAATAACCTTAGTTTACTATAATTTTTTTACTTTATACATTTTTAAAATTTAACGTTTTGACACTTTTGCAGTAATACTTAGCTTAAAACACAAACACATAACGCTGTACAAAAATATTTCTCTATATTCTTAATCTATAAGCTTTTATCTGTTTTTTTTTTTTTAACTTTAAAACTTTCTTATTAAAAACTAAGACACACACACATTAGCTTAGGCCTACACAGGGTCAGAATCATCAGTATCACTGTCTTTCACTTCCACATCTTATCCCATTGGAAGGTCTTCCTGCATGGAGCTGTCACTTCCTATCATAACAATGCCTTCTTCAGAATATCTCCTGAAGAACCTGCCTGAGGCAGTTTTACAGTTAACTTTTTTATATATAAGTAGAAGGAGAAGTACACTCTAAAATAATGATTAAAAATATAGTATAGTAAATACCAGGTTAGGCCGGGCATAGTGGCTCATGCGTGTAATCCCAGCACTTTGGGAGGCCAAGTCAGGCCAATCACAAGGTCAGAAGATCAAGACCATCCTGGCTAACATGGTGAAACCCTGTCTCTACTAAAAATACAAAAAAAGAAAATTAGCCGGGCATGGTGGCAGGCGCTTGTAGTCCCAGCTACTTGGGAGGCCGAGGCAGGAGAATGGCGTGAACCCAGGAGGCAGAGCTTTCAGTGAGCCAAGATCACGCCACTGCACTCCAGCCTGGGCGACAGACTGAGACTCTGTCTCAAAAAAAAAAAAAAAAAAAAAAGTAAATACCAGGTGATAAGAATTTTTCACTTCCATTATAGTCTTATGCGACCACCATTGTATGTGTGGTTTGTTGACAGAAACATCAGTTATGCAGGTCATGACTGTACAGTAGTATACATTTTCAGTGTGGTTGAGAGGATCAGGTGAGATAATATATGTTAAAACACTTTATAAAATATAAAAGAGTTTGTCATTGTTACTACTTCCTAGAAGTGGACATAAGATAGAAGTAAAAAGAGACAAAGAGGCCAGTTTGGAGTAAAAGAGGTTTACATTCCCTCTCTAATTGCCAGTGAGTGTGAAATCACTGTATGAATCTTACAGAAACAGGTCAGGAAACTGTGTCTGATCAAGTTGTTCTTGCCATGCCTTTAAGGAATAATATAAACTGGTGACTTTCATTCAACATATCAGAAAAGTGTCACTAACCTTTCCCTAGCCAGTCATGCTACCAAGCATGGGAATGTTAGTATTTAGGTTTACATCAGTATTTCTTTAAGTGAAAAGATCTAATGGAGACTCACCTTATCAGATGAGATTAGCTATATAAGCTATATCCATAATATATATCATATACGATCTGAATTCCCAATATAATTTGCTTTTTATTTTGTTTGTTTGTTTGTTTGTTTTTGAGACAGAGTTTTGTTCTTGTCGCCCAGGCTAGAGTGCAATGGCACGATCTCGGCTTACCACAACTTCTGCCTCACTGTTTCAAGTGATTCTCCTGCCTCAGCCTCCTGTGCAATAGCTGGGACTACAGGTGCCCCCCACAACACCTGACTAATTTTTTGTATTTTTAGTAGAGACAGGGTTTCACCATGTTGGTCAGGCTGGTCTTGAACTCCTGACCTTAGGTGATCTACCCACCTCGGCCTCCCAAAGTTCTGGGATTACAGGCGTGAGCCATCGCACCTGGCAACAGTTGGCCTTTGAGACACAGTGTATTCTAGTTTATGATAGAATTTATCAGTCTTCTTAAGGAAGACTGAGTAATTTCCAGGATCCCTAATAAAGGGGTTCTGATTCACTCTCAATCTAAAAGAATGAGTTTGTAAAACTCTTTTCAACCTATATTCCTCAGACCAACTTCCAAGTAGCTGATCACTTCCCTTGATTTAATTTCACAAAGTTAATCATAGGAGTAAAGAAGTTGTCAAGGCAATTAGAGGGAAAAGAATAGCATGTTGAGAAAGTTTGAAGTGAAAAGTATAAATTTCATGTGGAAAAAGGGAAAACAGGTTAGAGTTTCCAAGAGTCCAGAGAAAAGACGGTTGTTACTTTGGGGATAAACCCGTTGGCTTAGAAAACATTTGGCCTAGAAATTTTGGTTAGTGTAGTGGTAACAACAGAGTGCAAAAGATTAAATTTTAGATGTTTCTTCCAGGTCAAATCCAAAATCCTTTAACACGATGCAAATAAATTCCTCTCTTTTTAATTTCATTTTCCCTGTACTACTGAGTCTTGTAGCCTTGCAATTGCACTACTGTCTGTTTTCTCTCTTCATTTCTGGCCCTTCTTTCTTTTCCCTCACCTTTATACCACTTTCCACTGTCATTTTCCCGATTGTGGCATCTTAGGCAACTCTGGTAAGCTTTATACTTACAGATCCAGCCAGTAATGTCTTTAATGGACAGATAACTTTCTTTGCAGTGAGCCAGAGCTTCAATTTGCTTCCTCACGGTGCAACAGGAATGGCATCTCATTAAAATTGAACATTAAGGGCCTGAAGGTGCTTTGACTAATTTTTCTGTCTGGGCATTGTTACTTAAGAGATCTGGAAGTTGAAAAATCCCCCTTCTCATAGTAGTCAGAGCAATCAGCCTTAGAGACTGCTGCCTACTCTGAGGCAGGGGACACTGGAAGGTTGGTGAGGTTTGCCCCTGAGCATGCCCCCAAAGAGCCTCCCTTTATTCCTAGAAGCTGGCAGGCTTTCTTTTCCTCCTACAAGTGGCAACCCGAATTCTGAGTTGAAAGTGAATCTTTGCCCTTGGCTCCTCTCTAGCATTCTTCACTGAGTGAATAGGAGTTTGGAATGTCAGAAAATAGAAGAGGGGAGGGGAAAAGATGTGTGTATGACTGTGAGTGTTTATATGTAAAAGCAGCTTCATCTGGGAGGACTTAGGGAAACCTGACTTCCTCAGACTGCTTCCTTCTTATAAACTCTTGGTTCCTTATTTATCGTTTTTTTGTTTTTGATTTTTAAGTTGTCTGACCTGATTTTATCATAGTAGTTCCAAATGCCTTACAGCCCAGTGGAGTCAAGCTAAGGAAGGACAGCATGATTTCCACAGGATTTGTATTTCTTCCCTCTGGATAAAGTGATAGTAGATCCCAGACTCACTGCCAGCAGGATCCAAGGTGGTCTTTCCTCCAGTATTTAATCTGGTGTCATCAGGAACCTACACTCAGGTTTTATTGGAGAGCAAGCCTCAATAAGAAGTGTGCTTTGAGGAGAATCAAGGACTTAATCTAGGCATAAAAGGTGTTGCTCAGCACAATACCCTCTACGGTAAGCTACCAGTCCTGAGAACCTGTGGTCAAAACTGAATTGAAAATATTGATGGAACTCAGACTCTGTGTAACTGGGGACTGGTTCAGAGCTCAAGACTATAATTTACAGGGCAGCTTTTATCCTTTATTTAGTTCTATCCAAAGTCATCTTGCATCAAGTCAAAAGGAGAGATTCTGTGAGGGTAACCTAAAGGGGAAATTTCCCAGCTTTGTGTGAAGAATCCAGTGGTTGCGTGTCTATCTGCATCCTGAGGAACCATGTCCTCTTTATATACCCGAAGTAAAGAATTCACTAGGAATAGGAAACCTCAGTCTGATTCTCCCCCGGCATCTCCCTCCCTGACTGCCAAGATGCTCTGACTAAGCAGCATTTTTTATTTACATATGTTCATAGCTGTGTCAAAGGTAGAGAATGTGTGTATATATAACTTGGGGCATTAGGTTTAGAGCAAAGGGACTTCAGAGCATATGGGAATCAGTACAGGAAAAAAAATTGCAAGTAAAGACCCTGTAAGTTTCTCTGCAAGAGGTTATGGTTCATAATACTTAATGTAGTCTTAAGTAAAAGCAGACTTAAATATGTCGGGCTACAGTTTCTGCCTTTTAGCTTTTAACTATCAGTTGTAAACTGCTTAACAGTAAGATTTTACAGTCCTTATCACTTTATCTTACAAGGCTTTTCTTAATTTCTACAGCTATTTTAGTCACTGCCTTTCTTGTGTTTTATGGGTCAATACTATGTTTCAAGAGAAAAACCTCCTAAATGGCCACACAACTATATACATTAAACTTCAGTTTAGCAAGTTCTGTGTGTGTATTTGTGTGTGTATGTATGTGAGGTAGAGTATGCTTTTGCCTAGTTTGTATGTCTGTCTGTGAGAAAGACCAAAATGAGCAAGGAGCAAGGAGTTATGGCCACTTGGAATCTTACTCCTTAATCACCAAGTACCTTCAGGAAATTTCTTGCTTAAAAGCCAAAGAACTAACTCTTGGCCATTGACAACCAGCTGTATGGAGGTGTTTGCGATGTCCTAGGTAGAGCCATTTGGGACTTTTCTCCATTTTCTCTAATGAATGTCTCAGCGAAGAGATTTACATATAGGCATTTGCATCTGATTTAGTGTCTTCCTCTGTGGGAAGCTGACAAAAGCAACAACTGCTACCAATAGCAAGGGATGAGAAGCTCTGATGGGCATATTAGGTAGCAGGCAATGTAGCAGTTACTTTTTCAGGAACTAGATTGTGCTTTGCTGTATATACAGAGTAAGAAGAAGGACGGCCATAGCTTCCTTATTTAGGGAGCTATGGGGAGAAAATTTGCAAGAAGCCTGGATAGACTAGTGTGGGGTTTTTTTCCCCAATTATTTTGTATGCATTTTCAATGTCTTTCTTACCAGTATAAATTACCATGTAGTGGAATTTGGTATATGGCATGTTGGTCTAAGACCTCAGCTAGGGATGAGAATACCAAAAGAATATTGTTACGAAGTTATTTTATTCACAAGTTTTTGTGAGAGCACCAAGAGGGGCTCCAATATATATGTTACTGTCATCGAGTTCCAGGAGTGTCTCTTCAACACATAGACTGGTACCTCTTTTTCCCAAGGAGCCACAGAATGCTTTCACCCCACTAGCTGTTGGGTATTTTTTGGTGGCTACCAATTGAGGTCCGCAAAACTGAACACCTTACTTCAGTTAGTGTTTAACTTTGCTCCCTTCCCTCTTATACTGTGTAGTACCTTTAGTTGTAAAGAGCCCCTTATTAATGTCTCTTCACCACTATAACCATAGTTCCAGAGCAATGTGGTGAGCAGTCAACAATAACCTGTTAGGTGATCTTCCTCCATTTTCCCTTTCTGTTTCTCCTTTGCTTTCTTAGAGTTAGGTACTGCTTTCGTCTTGTCTCACTTCTAACAGCTGCCATCCAACCTCCCTACCCTCGTTTCACCACCCCTCATCCCTGCCTTTTAGACAGAGGTCACAGTGGGAGAAAATCTGAATTACAGGAAACTAAAACATAGACGGCTTAATAAGATACTGCTTCCCAATTTTAGTGGTCACTGGCTGTGGATTCCTACAATACCATCAACTTACTCTAACTAACTTCCAGTGTCCAAATGACTTGAGACTATAATAAAGAGAATGTTGATTTTCATATACCACTCATGTTCCATTATGTTGCTTATGTCTTTAATGTCAGAGAAAGATATGCAAGACTCATTTGGTGGCTGCTGACACTAAGGACTGGGTATAAAATGAAGATTTCATCTCGCAAGATCTCCCTTAACCTAGTTCATTTTCTCTCATGTCCAACTAATTAGGGTAGTCTTTAAAAACTGGTTTTGAGTGTATTTTAACAACTGGTTTTGTGATGGTGGTGTTGTGCTCATATGCCTTTTGATGCCTGGTTGCAACTGGCTGATCCTCAGCCACCCTGAAAGGTGGGTATTGGTATCCCTATTTTACATATGAGGAAACTGAGGTACATAGAAGAGAAATGGCTTGCCCAGCATTGCTCAACTAGTAAGCAGCAGAGCCTTGATTAAAGCACCAAGCTCTCTGACTCTAAAACCCCATATTCCCAGCAACATTGGAGTACGTCTCAAATATATTTGAAGGTCAAGTTTAAGAACATGCTAAAGGACAAAGATGACAGTTAAAAGCTTAAGTAGCTGTGGGAGTCCAAAATGTATCCTTGATGGAGACACAGGAAACTGAAATTGCAGGAAGGAGGGAAACTGTATTTATAGGCCAAGGGAGGGAATTGGCAGGCCATAACTGAATCTCCTATGCCTGGTTCTCAAATCCCAGTCATACTCTCTGGGACCATGGAGCCCACAGAATCTGAGAGCTTGTGGGCTTCAGGGTCTTTGTATTTCTCTAGAAAAGTGGAAATGCTTGAGTCTTTACAGTAAAGATACTGGGAAGTTTCTGTGTGCATTTCAGAGTTAAAGTCAGGACAGCTCTCTTACTGTCCTCTTCCAAACTTCTTTGACTTGTTTGTATACATACATACAGTTTCTTCTAGAGATGGCACAGAGTTACAGAGGGACAGCACCTGATCCAACATTCTTCAAAACGGAAGATTGAAATTTCAGCCAGCAGTTAAAAGTTTGATTGTTTTTTGAGTGTTGTTAACAGGGCTAAAGAGTAAATGCCCCCATATAAGGAAAATATCCTCAGAGAGAATTTTAAAATAATAGCTATTCACATGGAGAGAATATTTTGGACACTGTACCTTTCGTCAAATGTTCAAGCAGTAGTAAAGGCAAACTATAAACTGTAAGTCAAACAAGTTATTATTTTTAACTTGAGAAAACAAAAGGCAGGATGATTTTTCAGTGACTAGAAAACAAACCTTTATTATATATGTTTACTTTTAAACTCGTAACAGCAGCTGATATACTCCCTAATGAAAAATCACTCATGTAGAAGATAGTGCATGTCCTCACCAGCCAAAAAGATTTTTGTTTACCTTCTCTACTTTGTATTTTGAAAATAATAAATATTTTTAATTCTCTGAACACAAAATTATGCTATTAAACATGGTTTTTAAAAATATACACCCGGGCTGGGTGCAGTGGCTCACACCTGTAGTCCCAGCACTTTGGGAGGCTGAAGCCTCGTGGACCATGAGGTCAGGAGTTCGAGACCAGCCTGGCCAACATAGTGAAACCCCATCTCTACTAAAATTACAAAAACTTAGCTCGGCATGGTGGTGGGCACCTGTTATCCCAGCTTCTCGGAAGGCTGAAGCAGGAGAATCGCTTGAACCCGGAAGGCGGGGGTTGCAGCGAGCCAAGATTGCACCATTGCACTCCAGCCTGGGCAACAAGAGCGAAACTCCGTCTATAAGTAAACAAACAAACAAACACATCCCTCTTCCTCACTAGAGAAAATTTCATCCATCCTTTTGGCATGCCCTCACTCGCTCCTACTGACACTAAGAATGACTGTTATAAGTGGTATGCTCCTAATATTGCTGTTTTGGAGTCTGTTGATCCTAAATAATGAAATAATTTTTTTTACTGCTACTTTTGGCTTTCATATGAAGTTTCCATTAGTTCAGTATCTTTTTTGTGTCTAAAAGTTGAGAAGTTCCCTTAGTAACAGCTCTGATCATCTCTGATTTGTTACTCAGGAAAAGTGGAAAAACTTTCAGATTCACTTGCATTTCTAATGGGAACCACACCAGGTAGATATTGATGAGAATTTGAAAGCTCAGTCTCTTTTCTCATACCACAAAATAACCCTAATATAAGATGCTGGGTTCATACAATTAGTAGTAAAACTTTCTTTTGACAGTAATTTTCCAACATAAAAAAAATTATTTTTCTTTTGAGTCTTTGTAGTTAAAGAAAAAATTCTGAACTGCAAATACATTAGACACTTGTAGCTCTTGGTTTTTAATTACTATGTATATTATTGGGTCTAACGTTTATAAATTCTATAAATTAGGAACTACTCAATTTAGATGGTTTAGCATTTTTAAATTATCCTAAAAGTAAGAGCCAGGTAATCTTTGGTCAGTATTCTCAAATTTTTCTTATTTGCTAATTTAAAATTTTTTCAATGCAGGGTATATTTAAAGGAAACAAATACTAGAGGATGTCCAAATTGTAGTGCTTATCTGATATTTATTATATTGAATAAATCTTGAAGTAAGTGGGTCATCAGCTGAACCCTGGGAATCTTTTAATTAGGCACATTTTCATTGAACTGGTATTTGTTATAATAGGATTTGACCTGCATTTATAAAGCAAGATCAGTAGCATTTTCCCATTTAGTCTGGATTGCTATTCCTTCAGTTCTAACATCTCAATTTTAAAAAATGACAAAAACAAAAAATTACAGAGATTTTACATAATATTTTTCAGTCAGCCATTAATGTGCATAAAGGGAACATTTAATCAATAAGCTTTGTTTTATAACCAGTCCTACAAACTAATTAGGGTACATTTGATAAATAATTGGATGATAAAGGATTATTGCCTTCATCAGAGCTTGTCTACGTAACAACTTTGGTTAGCAAGCCAGAGACATTCTGCCCCTTTGCCTTCCAGACTGTCAGTGTTGATAATTACTTCTTGCGTGTGCTTTGTGCCTTCCTCTGACAAGTACCAAACAGTTCTTTAGCATATTATCATATCCTCTATACATCCAACACTACATCTGATGCACTACCAATCTGGAATCCATTTTTACTCCTCTTTATAATCCGTTGTCATGGAATGAGAAACACTTGGATGAACAATGCTAATTAAGAGTGCAATCTGTTAACCATTTTTTTCTGCCTAATTAAAACCAGGAGTGTATTTGTTTTTGGGGTTTTTTATTTCACTCAAGGAAAATCAATAGCAGTAATTGTTAAGCCCAAGGAATCTTCCTAGAATAGTAAAACCTGTGGGAATAAAAGTAGCTTTCCCATTAGGACCCATTACATGAATTCTTTTTTTTTTTTTTATTATACTTTAAGTTTTAGGGTACATGTGCACATTGTGCAGGTTAGTTACATATGTATACATGTGCCATGCTGGTGCACTGCACCCACTAACTCATCATCTAGCATTCGGTATATCTCCCAATGCTATCCCTCCCCCCTCCCCCCACCCCACCACAGTCCCCAGAGTGTGATGTTCCCGTTCCTGTGTCCATGTGTTCTCGTTGTTCAATTCCCACCTATGAGTGAGAATATGTGGTGTTTGGTTTTTTGTTCTTGTGATAGTTTACTGAGAATGATGATTTCCAATTTCATCCATGTCCCTACAAAGGACATGAACTCATCATTTTTTATGGCTGCATAGTATTCCATGGTGTATATGTGCCACATTTTCTTAATCCAGTCTATCATTGTTGGACATTTGGGTTGGTTCCAAGTCTTTGCTATTGTGAATAATGCCGCAATAAACATACGTGTGCATGTGTCTTTATAGCAGCATGATTTATAGCCCTTTGGGTATATACCCAGTAATGGGATGGCTGGGTCAAATGGTATTTCTAGTTCTAGATCCCTGAGGAATCGCCACACCGACTTCCACAATGGTTAAACTAGTTTACAGTCCCACCAACAGTGTAAAAGTGTTCCTATTTCTCCACATCCTCTCCAGCACCTGTTGTTTCCTGACTTTTTAATGATTGCCATTCTAACTGGTGTGAGATGGTATCTCATTGTGGTTTTGATTTGCATTTCCCTGATGGCCAGTGATGATGAGCATTTTTTCATGTGTTTTTTGGCTGCATAAATGTCTTCTTTTGAGAAGTGTCTGTTCATGTCCTTTGCCCACTTTTTGATGGGGTTGTTTGTTTTTTTCTCGTAAATTTATTTGAGTTCATTGTAGATTCTGGATATTAGCCCTTTGTCAGATGAGTAGGTTGCGAAAATTTTTTCCCATTTTGTAGGTTGCCTGTTCACTCTGATGGTAGTTTCTTTGGCTGTGCAGAAGCTCTTTAGTTTAATCAGATCCCATTTGTCAATTTTGTCTTTTGTTGCCATTGCTTTTGGTGTTTTAGACAAGAAGTCCTTGCCCATGCCTATGTCCTGAATGGTAATGCCTAGGTTTTCTTCTAGGGTTTTTATGGTTTTAGGTCTAACATTTAAGTCTTTAATCCATCTTGAATTGATTTTTGTATAAGGTATAAGGAAGGGATCCAGTTTCAGCTTCCTACATATGGCTAGCCAGTTTTCCCAGCACCATTTATTAAATAGGGAATCCTTTCCCCATTGCTTGTTTTTCTCAGGTTTGTCAAAGATCAGATAGTTGTAGATAAGCAGCGTTATTTCTGAGGGCTCTGTTCTGTTCCATTGATCTATATCTCTGTTTTGGTACCAGTACCATGCTGTTTTGGTTACTGTAGCCTTGTAGTATAGTTTGAAGTCAGGTAGTGTGATGCCTCCAGCTTTGTTCTTTTGACTTAGGATTGACTTGGCAGTGTGGGCTCTTTTTTGGTTCCATATGAACTTTAAAGTAGTTTTTTCCAATTCTGTGAAGAAAGTCATTGGTAGCTTGATGGGGATGACACTGAATCTGTAAATTACCTTGGGCAGTATGGCCATTTTCACGATATTGATTTTTCCTACCCATGAGCATGGAATGTTCTTCCATTTGTTTGTATCCTCTTTTATTTCCTTGAGCAGTGATTTGTAGTTCTCCTTGAAGAGGTCCTTCACATCCCTTGTAAGTTGGATTCCTAGGTATTTTATTCTCTTTGAAGCAGTTGTGAATGGGAGTTCACTCATGATTTGGCTCTCTGTTTGTCTGTTGTTGGTGTATAAGAATGCTTGTGATTTTTGTACATTGATTTTGTATCCTGAGATTTTGCTGAAGTTGCTTATCAGCTTAAGGAGATTTTGGGCTGAGACAATGGGGTTTTCTAGATATACAATCATGTCATCTGCAAACAGGGACAATTTGACTTACTCTTTTCTTAACTGAATGCCCTTTATTTCCTTCTCCTGCCTAATTGCCCTGGCCAGAACTTCCAACACTATGTTGAATAGGAGTGGTGAGAGAGGGCATCCCTGTCTTGTGCCAGTTTTCAAAGGGAATGCTTCCAGTTTTTGCCCATTTAGTATGATATTGGCTGTGGGTTTGTCATAGATAGTTCTATTATTTTGAAATACGTCCCATCAATACCTAATTTATTGAGAGTTTTTAGCACCATTACATGAATTCTTAGTAGAGACTGGCCTAGTTAACTCATGTCCTACATAGAGCTGGGGGAGATGGCATCTGAAGTCTTGGTTTGTTGACCAGAGAGACTGGGAGCTTCGAAGACATCAGCTCCCTTTCCTGCAAGCGGTGTCCTGCCCTTCTACTCTAATTTTTAGTTCCATGATAAATGTGTATCAAAGCCACCTGCCCTATTGTGAATCCTCCCACAACATTTTATGAGCATCTGCTTTGTAGTAGGCTTTATATTGGACACCAGAATTCATAAATGAAAGATACAGTTCCTGCCCTCAAAGAATTGGCAGTCTAATTGGGGAGATAAAGAAAATCAAGAATTAGAATACCAGGGAGGTGAATTTTCTAATAAAGACATAAGTTCAGGGTGTTTTAGATCAGTCATGTGGTTAATACATTAGCCTGAAGTTTGGAGAACAATAGAAGGTAGATGGACAAAGAAGAAAACAGTACATTACAAAGGTAGAAAAAGAATATGAGAACATAATGGCATTATTCTGAGAGCTGCATGTCGGTGTGGCTAGAACAAAAGATATATTTAGAAATGTAATAAGAAATGAGGCAGGAGGCTTAGCAAACCCAGGTCATGTGAGGCTTTGTATATAATTTTGAGCATTTGGGGAGTTATCCTGTGGATAAAGAATAAAGGAATGAAGATTTGAAGTAAAGTTGCTGTGCTCAGAATTGCATATTAGAGAAATAACTTTGACAGCTGTGGAAGCTGGACTGGGAGGAGGGTCAGGACATGATCAGGTCACTGGCCTTTGACTGCAGTATTCCGGGTAAGAAATGTTAAGGGCCTAGTCAGAGATATTTTTTCTGGGAAGTATAGAGAAGCATTCAGTTGTTTAGAAGGTAGAATTGATAAGATATGGATTGATAGAATGGGGATAAGGATGAGCCTGAGAGAGGGCAGAGTCAGGAGTGACTACCAGGTCTCTGGTTTAGGTGACTGGGTAGAAAATGGTATGATAAGTATCAGGTGCAGGGCTCACACCTGTAATTCCAGCATTTTGGGAGGCAGAGATGGGAGGATTGCTTGAGTCCAGGAGTTTGAGACCAGTCTGGTCAATGGAGTAAGAACTGTTTCTTCAAAAAATTGTTAAACTAGCCAGGTATTGTGGCACATGCCTATACTCTTAGCTACTTGGGAGGCTGAAGTGGGAGAATAGCTTGAGCTCAGGAGGTCGAGGTTTCAGTGAGCCATGATTGTACCACTGCACTCCAGCCTGGGCAACAGAATGAGACCGTCTCAAAAAGAAAAAAAAATAGTGTGACAAAATTGAGTTGGCAAACACAGGAGGCTAAACGCTGTCAAGTGGGGAAATGGTTTCACTTTTGGAATGTCGAATTAGAGGTACTTTGGGACATTCAGATAGTGATTTCCAGAAAGTAATTGGTCTGACACTTGGGAGAAAATTATGGGCTAAAAATACTGATATTTATTGTTGAAGCCATAAGAGTGGTGAGCTTATCTAAGGAGTAGATGTAACATAAGGAGGGGCTGAGAGTAAACCTCAAGAGGAGTAACCACAGCAGATAAGAGATATGTTTCTTTTTCTAATGGTGCTTTCCTATTCCATCACCAGTGGAATCACATGCAGGAAGACAGCAGGTCTTGTATCTGGTTTCTTTGTTCAGAGGTATTGTGGTCAAACTTATGTTACGGTGATGAGTTTCAGTTCTCAAAGGATTCAGAAATTTAGTTAAGGGTCAATTGGTTATGAGTTTTGTGTTGCATTCTAGTTTTGTCTTCAGTACCTAACCAGTTGTGTGACAAGGGATTATTTTTTAAAGTTTGGAAAAGTTCCCAGACTATTCAGCATTGGTTTTTAATTTCTTTTCTTAATCTGTTAATATTTGGGTGAGCTGGCAATTTATTACTATAAGAAGACCAAAGGGAAACAATCAGAGTTGGCTTTCATCAGCTTTTTATTTCTTTTAAGCCTCCTTTTTATTCCATTCTTGACCTGGTTATCATGCAGTGAGTGACGGTTATCCACAACTGGAATGTTAGTTCTCATAACAGTTCCAAAATCCAACAGCCTTCTTTGGTTACACAGCATGGAAAGAGTTCTACCAGTGACATGATTAGATAAAGATACTGAAAGTGTGTCTGGACTTTAACCTCTCATAGTTCATTATGAAAGCAACATTTTCATATAGGAGTTGTACATAAAATTGCAAGTGGCTATTTTAAAAGTTGTATGAAAAGTTAAATATTCTAGATTTAAATAAAGTTATAAAATAGATGAGAGTATATTATAGCATTTTAAAAAATGTTTTGCATTGATTTCCAAAATCAACTTTACATAGTTGGTTGTCTGAAAGTACATATATCCATCCAGACAGTAAAATAATGACCTTAAATGTGTGTAGATTAGAAAGGGAAGTAGGAATTAGCCTGGTTAATCAAAATCTACAAATAATCAAAACCCTTTACTTGAGTGCTGAGGAATTTATTTGAGCTTATTCCTCTTGCAGCCAACAAACATTGGGAGAACCAAAAGACCAAAGAGGGACGAGAGAGAATAAAAAAAAGTATGGAGGACTGTAGTAATATCAATAGCTAAAATTTATTGAACATTTACTCTTTGTCAGTGCTGTACCAAGCACTTACATTTATTGTCTCATTTAATACGTTTGATAACCATAAACACCAAGTTAACTATCTCATTTTAATGACAAGGACACTGAACAGAGAAGTTAAGTAATCATGTAAGATCACATAACTTAGTAAATGCTGGAGCCAGCTATCTGGATCAAGAGCCTCAGCCTTAACCAGTAAGGCATGTAACTGTTCTAGTGAAACTACTGTCTCTTCTTTAAATAGCTCCTAGATTATTACCAGTATCCCTGACTACTGAATCTGACTTGGAAAGAGAGATGATGACAACAAAAGCTATCTTAAGGAAAAATGTAACAGAATAACAGGAACAAACAAACCTAGATTAGTAAAAAGTCAGAATTTTTTTTTTTTTTGAGACAGGATCTCGCTCTGTCACCCAGGCTGGAGTACAGTAGCACCATCATGGCTCACTGCAGTCTCAAACTCCTGGCCTCAAGCAATTCTCTTGCCTCAGCCTCCCTAATAGCTGGGACTATAGGTGTGCTGGGGCCTCACTAACTTGTTGACCAAGCTGGTCTCAAACTCCCAACCTCAAGTGATCCTCCTGCCTCAGCGTCCCAAGGTGCTGCGCTTACAGGTGTGAGCCACTGTGCCCAGCCAAAGTCAGAATTTTACATCATTTTAAAATAGGTGTGGTGGTGCATGCATGTAGTCCCAGATACTCAGAAGGCTGAGGCAGAAGGATCACTTTGAGCCCAGGAAATAGAGGTAGCAGTGAGCGATGATCATGCCAGTACACTCTGACAACGCAAGACTCTCTCTCTCTCTCTCTCTCTCTCTCTCTCTCTCTCTCTATATATATATATATATATATATAAAATTTTAGTATTTACAAGTGTCTATGATAAAACTCAGGACCTGTTAAATTGTAACAAGTTCTGAATTAGCAGGGCCTGAATTACTGAGATTTTTCTCATCTGAGGAGACCCTTCCCTGCCAAAACCAAGAAAATAAACTACAAAAGCATCCCCTGTCCCAAAAGTCTACATTTTAAAATACCTATTCTGCTCTGGGAGGTGGTTTAGCCCCCTAAATAAGAAACTTGTGCATTTGAAGACTCAAGTTCCCTACTAGGGGTATGAAAGTGGAAGAATCAAAGAAAGCTTCAGTTCTTTATCCTTCTAAATTTCATCTTTCAAGGCAGAGTAGCACTTTGGGATGACTGTGGCCCTTTCAAGGCCCCAACTTATGTAAGATCACTTACAAGTCACACATAATAGTGTCATTTTTCATGACCATCCAGTTTCAGACTTCAAGCTGATGTATCCACTAAGTTTGTTCCTTCCATTATCGCCTTGCCCAGAATATCTAGTCAGTATTGGTCTCTCCCTTTCCTAACTACCCCTTTTTATTTACTGTATGTACTAGATGGTCTAACATTTGATTGCATTTAATCAATTGCTTTTTTTTTTTTTTTTTTGAGACGGAGTCTTGCTCTGTTGCCCAGGCTGGAGTGCAGTGGCATGATCTCTGCTCACTGCAAGCTCTGCCTTCCAGATTCATGCCATTCTCCTGCCTCAGCCTCCCGAGTAGCTGGGACTACAGGTGCCCACCACCACACTCGGCTAATTTTTGTATTTTTAGTAGAGACGGGGTTTCACTGTGTTAGCCAGGGTGGTCTCAATCTCCTGACCTCATGATCCACCCGCCTCAGCCTCCCAGTGCTGGGATTACAGGCATGAGCCACCACGCCCAGCCAACTTTCTTGAATTACATTCTATTTGTTTTATGAGTGTGCATATTTTACCTCCTCAAAGAAGAGCTCTTTGAGATCAGAGAGCCATGTCTTAGATTCTGTAATTGTCGATTTTATTCCTGTAAGTACTACTCACAAGGCTGGGCACATACAGGTGCTTAATGTAAATGCAGGGAATGAATGCTGCTGCTTGAGATTTGATCTCTCCGCTCCTATCCCATTTAGCCGTCTGGAAAGGAGTCAGAGGCCACACACACTTGAGAATCTTATTTCTAACATGAAGGCTAACCATAGGTCTTCCCAAGTCAATTCAGATTCCTGTTTATTGCAATTTGCTAGTATATCGGTCACTCCAAAATATATGAGTTAATATTTTGGTTTTTGTGGGAATCAAAAGAGAAAAAGCCTGTGGAATCTACTCAGAAATAAAAAGTTCTACCCTATGTTACTTAGGTCCCAAGTATTAATATTTATCTCCTCATGAAATGTGAGGTCTGGAGAGCCTCACTAATTCCTTTGTAAAAGTTTTGATTCACAGCCTAGTCCAAATAAAATTAAAGTTACTGCTACCCAAACAGGCTGCTGGACTGTGACATTTACCATATGAAAATACCCATCTCTTCCCAGGCTTCAAGGAAAGCTTACTTCCTAAAGAAGTATAATGGTGGTCAGTAACATCATGACAGGCTAGTGGGGAGAGACCTGGAATCTCAATTAGAGAAATGGAGTGAAACTCAAACAGTAGGATTTAAGGCCTAAATAAGGACTTTTAAAATTTACGATATACTCTATGCTGTATTCTAACAATATTTTGGAGGGACTGATCAGGCTTCTTTTCTCAGGTGTTCACTGAGGCTGTGTTTTTTTTAAATCATCTGAATGTATTTCATAGTTTCAGATGCCCATACACATCTGTGTGAACCTAAAACTCCAAGCTATGGGGAAAGTAAACATAGATATTAAATGTGAGAAACGTGACCCATGTGCTAGAGCCACACAAGTTTTAGAGCTCCTCATTCCCCTGTTGGTCATTTTCATCCTATATAGTACACAGCATGTGAAAGGCTAGAGGGAAAATATGCCGGAGGCTGCAAATGCATTTATGAATCACAAGAGTTTTCAATTATACATATAAAATGGCTTGCCTTAGGTATCTTATGGAGGCCTTAATATATCCATATATTTCCTTCTACAATGAGTGCATTTTGTGAGTTTCCAAAAGATCCAGAAATTCTTCAGAAGCTGGGAATATTCACAAAAGGGAGGTGCAGGTCTGCATAGATGCTAAGAGCTTTAAAATTCTAATAATATTAGGTAGCACAATAGAGACAACAAAAGATGAGTCTATTTCTATCATTTAATGAACTTAATGGTTTTTCTTTTAAAATATAGTGACATATGCTGCAATATATGAGATGATGTTACATGATACCATTTTTACATGCCTTAACATTTTACATGCCTTAAATTGATAGGGTAGTCACAATCTGGCATATGAGATTTTTCAGAAATATTTATAATATGAACTGAATGTAAATACTGTATTTGACTATGTTTAACTTTTTGTTCTATATGTATTAAGTAGTCGGTAAAGACAAATCAAGACATATAATATGATGAAGACATATGTGATTTAATACTTGCTTTTAAAAGTTAATTTTTCCTTGGAAGTATACTCTCTTACACATATGTATACCAGGTCACATGGACGCCTGTTTTTTTCCCTGCATAAGACAGCACTTTTGGTATTGCCCTGATTCTGAATGTATGTAATCACCTAGTGCAGCTGAGAGGCCATGTGCTATGGATGTTTCTTTTAGGATGTTACAGATAAATTAGACCATTTTTTATAAGGGAGATCCTTGTGATAGTTGGAATTTCTAAAATGCCTCCCCAAAAGGTCCTCGCCTAATCTCTAGAACCCATGTATATGACAAGATAGCTCTCGCATGATTGTTCTGTTACATACCACAGTTGACCTAAGTTAGGGAGGTTTTCCTGGGTGGGCCTGAGCTAATCACATAAGCCTGTGAAGGCAGAGAGCCTTCTCAGCAGATGATGGACAGGAAGCCAGAGAAATGTGAAGTGCGAAAAGAACTCAATGCTTCATTGCTGGTTTGAAAATCAGAAGGGCCATGTGAAAAGGAATGTAGGAGCTTCTGCAAGCAGTAAGCAGCCACTACCCTGCAAGGCTGTGGGTACCTGAAACCTCACAGGGCTGGATTCCTGCCAACAACCTGGATGAGCTTGAAGCAGATTCTTCCCCAGATGCTCCTGATAAAAGCCAATAGCAGACTCCTTGATTTCAGACCATTGAGTACTTGAGGAGGGAACCCAGCAGAACTGTGCAGACTTCTGACCTACAAAACTGTGTGATAATAAATGGGTTTTTAAGCCACTAAATTTTGTTTTGGCAGCAATAGAAAACTAATGAAATTGAAAATTTGATGATATTAATTTTTTTGATATAAAAAACAGCATAGGCCTCATTATCATTGCCCTCTACTGTCACATCTTTGCATAAACCTTGGAAGTTCTTGTTCCACCCTCACATTTATTTCTAGATTATGCAGGATCCCCAGATAAATTACTAGAACAATGAAGGCTTCACTTCAAAGTTAGAGACTGGTAGATTCTCCTTATTTCAAGTTTCCTAAGAATCTTGTCTGTTTGAATTATGAAGAAATCTTTTTCCTTAAGATAGAAGGATGGAAAACTTTTGTCTCTCTTGGACTTACATATGAAACCAGAATGATTCTTAAACTCAAAAGTTACAAAATTATACTATTTCGCAATTAACTCAGACCATGATTAGGTTTGCAGTACCTCTGAAAATTTGAAGGGTCCTTGCTGCAGCCACACTCACATCATTGGCTTGTTCATCAACAGTCAATATTCTGAGAACACTGAAGGGAAAGAAGATGGTTCTCTGTAGACCACCCCAGAATAGCTCAAATTTTTTCCTCTGGCTCAGCTAGTACACAAGAACATAATATAAAATGTTCCTTCTGCTTATTCCCTCTTCGGGAGAAAATGTAAATAGAAGTTTTTTCCCATCACTGTGGGGTCAAGCCATAACTCCAAAAGGAAAATGAGTTAAACCAGTTTCAGCCTTGGTAGCAGACATGTGACTTGGTCTCATTCCTTTCCCTTGGGCCCAGCTTTCCTGAGCCACAGTTTTATTTTAAACTTGGTAGAAGGAGTTTGCTTTTAATTATGTGCCTTCCTGAACTCCTGATAACTTTCAAGTTGAAAGCTTTTGTGGGGATTTTTCTAAGCCAGTCTCTGGTGTTTTGAGGGCCCTACACATTTCACAAATCAAAACCAGTCTGATTTCTGTCCCTTTCTAGGATTGCCATCTGAATTAATGGTGATCTTCATTCTGTTCTTTTATGAGAAACAGGCCCAAGCAATGAGATTATTATGGGAGAATTTCAAGAGGTATGAAAGAAAGAAGTCTGCTTCTTATTTTGGGACATTTTTAAAACTATGGTCTATCCAGCTAATCATTCTTTTTACCTCTACTCTCTGTATTCATATTGGTTTCTGAGCAGCTTTTAGTCTCTTCTTCTCTAGAGTCTCATTCACATTATCTGTTGTCCCCAGTTGGGCCATAAAAGCTGTGAAAGTAATTCCTTCTTTGAACAGTTTCTATCTAGTTCAGACACACTAGAGAGTCTCATTTTAGTGGCCATCATTTGTCTTCAATAGAAGGTAGAGCAAAACAGTCTTTGACAAAAACACTTAGAGAAGTTCTAAGACTTCCAGATTAGAGCATACAGCATAATAGATTTGTGAATTAACCTACCAATTGGAGAAAAGATTCATGCCTTTTCTAAAATATATGATATCATCATGTGCAGATAAGCTATTCAGACTCTACTTACAGAGTAGACTAACTTGTGTTTTTGAGAAGAGAGAGGGAGTATACAGAGGAGGAGGATGGAAGGATGGGACCATTGCCAGAGCATAGATAAGATGAGTCCACATTCCTAGCCTCTAAAGGATCATCGATTCGGCTGAAGTCCCTAAGCCTTATGTTCTAGGACTTCGCCTTATTTCCTGCCCACTCAGCTGACCTCTTAGAATCCTCTTCTCTGGGAGAAGCTTCAGTGTTCATTTCCCTACTCTGTGTTCTGCTTACCTCTTCTGATGTCACTTCCTGGCTTACTGTTCCCCTGAGATTACTTAGGCAAACTCCCACTCTGTCTTATCTCCTCTAGATTTACTTAGTAGTCACCCTGCAGGGTTGGCAGTCAGCTTTCTTGAATGAAGTCGAGTTAGTCTAACAGTTGATGTGATCTGTAATTAGTTTGAATGACAGGAGGATGAAGAGGAAAAATTCAAGTTAAGTCTTCTGAGTCAATCCAGCCACTCTGCTTCTTTACCCAAGAAACCCCATCTTCTCTCTCCCTAAATCCAACTAGTGTTTTTTTCATCAAACCCCGGATTATCTAGGGTATCAAGAAGCCAAGCAAAACAATAGTTTCTAGAGGTATTCCACCAATGAAAATTAGTTAGGAAGTATGATCTAAAAACCTAAGCCATTTTATCAGAATTAGGGGAATTAAACATTAAACCCTATATACTTTTAAGCTATCTTGCCTTACTCTTTTTAGGCTAAAAACCTGAAAGGAAACCATTTCTATTACAGTGAGAATAATTCACCCTTAGAAGTCCAGTTTTCTTCCTTTTTTGAAATAATATTGTTTGTATTAAGTTAACTGTGTTATCCCTACTGCATCCAAAGCTCACTAATCTCTGAGGTTTTAGGAGATTTATCTACTCTCCTCTAATTGGTAGGGTTGACTTTCCCAGGACATTGCTAAGGCTAGCCCCTGACGGCAATAATATTTTAAAAAAATAAAAAATAAAGGATTCCACATAGCTCCAAAAGTCAGGTAAAAGCTGGAGGGAATTAGAGATAGCAAGGAAAGATCAAGGATTAACTTGCAAGCTCTGTTTTCTCTAATATCTGCATCTAGGTAAATTGTCTACTGCCTTGTCTGCTGGATCACTCATTACTTACACATTTTATAAAAGGTTACCCAAAAAGAAATTGTTAACAAGGAATGTTAACAAGCCTTTAAAAGCTAATAAACAACAGACTGTGGTGTTTGCTTTCAGTTACTCCTGGCAAGCAGAAGTAAGAGTGTAGGTCATCAACTTCCTAGGTGGCTGTAGGGAACACCTCCTACAGTAAGCCTATAGGGACAAAAACTGGTATGGGAATCACAAGTGTGAGCACCATTATCATTACCTTCCTCCACGTGCTCTCATTTGTGGAAAAATTAATCTAGGCCTCTTGAAAATCCTGTGGAATCTGCCTTTTCATATCCAGGAACCCTGGGGGCTTTTTCTGATTGCTGCTTGATAGTGCTAACCTATTTTTTGTGTGTTTCAATTTTTAAGTGTTTGTATTTTATGTCAACCTCCTCAGTGAAGGTCATACAGTTCACACAGCCATACTATACAGCCATATATCTGAAAACTTTCTTGGCTTAATTGTGCTTCCAGAACATTCTAAATGAAAAGGGTTAATGTCATTTAAAAAGTAAAGCAATGGAAATTATTAGCATGCTTTGATTTATAGATAATGGCTAAGATTGATGCCTGGTAAAATCCTAATCTCCCTGTTTTAATGAAAAAAAAAAAAAAAAAAAGCTTGTTTTGTCACCATAGAGGCAGCTGCCAGAGTCTACACAGCAGAATTTAAAACTAAAGATATAGTAAAATCTTACCCAACAAATAGGATATTTAAAAGAAGAAACTAAAAAAAAAAAAAATTCAAGTGAGGTTTCACATTTCAAGAAAAAGTCAGCAAAAAAGCATGATTTAATTGTCAGAAAGTTAGGCCTCAGTCTGCACACCATGGAGAAATGAGCTCCTAGTTCAATAGGAGGAAGAAAAGGCCCAAGGGACCAGTTTGATTGTAAACAGGTCATTTTTCCATACCTAAGACGATGTGGAAAGTACATCTTTGGAAAGAGTGTCAACAATGCTACCCCCATATGAAGGGTATAGTTTGAAGGCTGTTCTAGTCAGAAGCACTGAGAGAAAATAAATGGTCTTCTAAATTATTGTTTCATTTGGTTACATGTGAACTCAATTCCCTGAACCAAAGGTATGAAGTTTTAAGTTGGTACTCTAACCAGCATCAGTAGCCAATATAATATTCTTTTTTTTTATTTTTTGACAGTGTCTCACTCTGTCTCCCAGGCTGCAGTGCAGTGACGCTATCTCAGCTCACTGCAACCTCTACCTCCTGGGCTTAAGCAATTCTCCTGCCTAAGCTTCCCAAGTAGCTGGGAGTACAAGCTTGTGCCACCACACCCAGCTAATTTTTGTAGTTTTAGTGGAGATGGGGTTTTGCCATGTTGGCCAGGCTGGTCTCGAACTCCTGACCTCAAGTGATCCACCTGCCTCAGCCTCCCAAACTGCTGGTATTACAGGCGTGAACCACTGCACCTGACCTAATAAAATATTCTTACAATTTAAAAAATGAAAGCAGAGGAATGGTGGCGGGGAAGCTGACATTTTAAGAGTTCACTTCCTTGTAGTTATCACAGTTAATTCTTACTGTTAGAATAAGTGGTAACTTGCCAAGGTCACATTGCTAGATGTCAGAGCAGAAATTAGAAATCAGGTCTAGCCAAGGCCATCACACTTCTCAGAGCATTAACAATTCAGTTCAGTTAGTGTTTATTGAACACCTATTGTGTTCTGGCCCTGTAGGTACTAAAAATATAATTAGGAATAAGATGGAATTTTAGGGAAATGTTCCCTCCATAACAATATGTTTTTTAAAAGAATGTATGTATCTCTTCTGGATCTTTGTTATCAGGAAAAAAATATGTGTTTGTATGTGTTTCTCTAATATGATCTTCCCAAAACTCCTATCTTTTAGGAGGTTTTCTTAGCTGAAGCCAATGGGTTACCACTGTTATCTCCATAGCACATATTCTCATGTTTTCCCTACATTGCTTCAGGCGAACTTGTTAATTATGTTCACAGTGCTCTCCTGGTTCTGTCGTGCAACTTATTCTGCTTCTTCCTCAGTGCCTCCTCTACAGGGCTCTGCACACAGTGGGCTCTTAAATACAACAGATGTTTTGCATTTGCTGGTATGGAGTTCAGGCTGAATTATTCACAAGTATTTGACATGTCACAATAAATAGTTTTCCTGGACCATGAATTTTAATCCACCCAGATGCTAGGTCTTCTCACAAAGCTAATGAGTGACATAACCCATAGCCCAGGATCTCAGCTTCACTTGCATACTTTTTTTTGTTTGTTTTGTTTTGAGACAAGGCGTCACTCTGTCACCCAGGCTCAAGTGCAGTGGCATGAACACAGCTCACTGCAGCCTCGACCTCTCATGTTCAAGTGATCCTCCTGCCTTGGCTTTCCATGTAGCATGGATCACAGGTGCACACCACTATGCCCAGCTAACTTCTTAAAAATTATTTTGTAGAGATGGGGTCCCGCCATGTTGCCCAGACTGGTCTTGAACTCCTGGGCTCAAGTGATCCTCCTGCCTCCAGAGTGCTGGTATTACAGGTGTGAGCCACTGCACCCAGCCCTGTATATGTGTTAGTTCTTGAGAGGTGATTAAAATTTAGTTTCTTTTTTGAAAAAAAAGATATCAAGAAAAAAAAACTTCAGGTAAGTTGAGAAAGTAGGCAATGAAAGTGTGGGGTATACATGTAAGTGCCACTGGAGATTAGATATATAAATGTGGGACAGGAAAAATGCCTGGAATTGTCCTGAATTTTAGATTTCCAACTTTCAGGATTCTCACCTCAATGTATGAGAATATACCATATACTTTTCTTAATGAGTCCTAATGATTCCCCCACCTCAAATGGGGGCATGTCTCCATGTTCAAAAAACCTTCATTTAGTCCAGCGGTATTTAACCAGGGCTGTACAGCAGAATCACCTGGGTTACTTTTTAAAAATACATATAGGAAAGCTGCATTCTAGACCTACTGAAACAGAATCTCCAGTACTGAGGTTAGGACATGTACATTTTGCAAAAGTGTGCAGGATTATTCTGATGAGTATAACCCTTGATTTAAAGAGAGATTCCATGAGGAAATGTCATGTTTATCAAGGTGACTCTTTTCAGTCCTCTTTAGTCATATGTGCTGTCACTGTATACCTCTCCTGGACAGCTGTAGGGTGTGGTGTGTTGGGTTGTCCTGCTATGTTGTTTGACAAACCAGTGGCTTCCAGGGACTGTTTAGTGCAAAGCAGTGTCATTGAGTGACTTCTCAGAAGTTCAAGGATTCATTATCCATTTTGTAGATTATTGGACCTTTGGTTCTCTTCCTCCTCTTGTCTGTCTTGAAGATTTTGTGGTTCTTTAACCCTTCAGAAAGGGAAATAATTAAGTACATTTAAATCAATTGAATTTTTATTTGCCAGAGTTCTTAAAAAAAAAAAAAAAAGAAGGGATAGGAGGGTAAAGGTCATCTACAGTAAAAAGTAAATGTCAAACACAGACATAAGCACTTTTTGTTGTTTGATTTGTTTACAATGACCAAGCTTACTGGTTGTATCTATAAAACTCCTTTTGAGACCTCAGAGTACCTACTTTTTTTTTTTTTAACCAGCATCCTAGGGACTAGGATGGGACTTTCTCCCATCTCCCTTACTCTTCTACTTTCACTAGCAACCTAGGAGAAACTGAGGAAGTCTCCTGAGTTTTAATATTTGTAGTTGCAGCATTCACTCAGGGCAAGGTTGGGAGTTTGTGAACGAAGGAAATTAATAGAATGAATGTTGAGATCCAGAGAGGCCAAATGTCACATAGAAAGTCTGTGATAGTCACTCCTAGAACACAAGCTTGGCTAGTTAGTTGGGCGGGGAGTTGGGGGCAGTTTTTGATCATTTTACATTTTGCTAACTTCTAGTTTAAAAAGATGCTATCCCTAATGCCTCAAATCTAGTGAGTCATGGCATACAAAGAAGTGTGAACTAGGGCTAAGTCACCTTTGTGTAGTCAATTTGATTGCTTTTCTTAAATGGCACCCCCACCTCCAGCTGTGAAGTTCAGCCATCTGATTTCAAAAGTGCATTTATAGATGGAAATAATACAAATCAGTCTCTTGCTAATGCTGTTTTCTTTTCTTTTTTCTTTTTTTGTTTTTGTTTTTGTCTCCTTTCTCTAGCATGAAAGACTTTCTAAGTAAGAACTCTCCCTGTTATATATGCATGCTTAATACTTGTAAGTGAATGCATGTCTAATTAAACTTAGCTTTATATAATAATTCAGTAATGTTTCTCACATCCTTTCCGTCATTTTCATTTCCACTGCCACCACAATAATTCAGACTTTTATTACCTCCTGCCCAAAACAGTGGAACAAGCTTTTCAATTTACCTTCCTGTTTCCAGATTCTCCTCTTTCCAGTTCACCTTGTAGACTTCCACTAGATTAATTTTTTTAAAGCACCAGTGTACCAGGCACCATGCTCGGTATTAGGGAAACAACATGAATAAGACAGTATCCTTACCTTCAATTAGCTAACAAGCCACTAGAGAGACAGATCATTTCAGCAGAACATAATAAGTGCCCATCAGAAGTACAGACAGGTATTCTGAGCACAGAGAAGAGCAATTAATCTAATCTGATGGTTCAGATTGAGGTTAGATACTGTTATTTAATAGTGGATCCAACAAAATACCTTATACCTAGATGATGCTCCTTAGTAGTTTGTTGAATGAACAAACTAAAGACCTGTTTTGCAATTGCTGAAAAATTAAAGAAGGACATCAAAATTGGGGGAATGACCCTCTGCAGTTTTTCACCTCGTATCTAAGGGTACAAAACTGATCTTCTGAAAGAAGAAACTAAATAAAAAATAATAGACTATAGAGCCAAAAGTTGGAATCTTTCTTTTTCTACTGTTACTCTGATGAAATTAAGAGATTTTCTACTGTTACTCTGATGAAATTAAGAAATTAAGAGATTGGGAGAAGACATAGTTATGGGACTATAGGCCAAATGAGTTTCCTTATAATTTGTTTAGTATTGAGCTGGTTCTGCCTTATTAATATATTCTAAATTTTACATATGTTCTTCCTCTGCTTGCCCTCTCACCAGGCAGCAGCTGAGGACAAATCATTTACTTCTAACCTAGCAGAAAATTACTTAGTTTTGCAAAATTGTTGGAGAGTGGTATTTTGCCATAATCTTTTGTGAACTCTCTTGTATTATAATAGCCATTTGTGAAAGGAAACTTTTTCCCACAGACTTCAAAATATGCTGTGAAACTGTACCAATTAAAAGAGTGAAGCACTAGCTCAAGAATAAACAAAGAGGCCTATGGAACACAATCCATAGCCCCTCCAAAAAATCACATGTATAAGGTGACTTCATCTCAGTGAGGAAATAATTATTCAATAAGTGATCATTAGGACAGTTGATTATCTGTTTGAGCAATTATATCCTTCCCTTCAGCCATACCAAAAACAAATGGATTTCAGTTGGATTACAATTTGTAAGAGAAAAGTGTTTTACCATAAAAGTTAGCAGAAGAGAATATTTTGTAATCTTTATATAGGAAAAGCCTTTCCAAGTGTGATACCGTTAGTAGAAAGGGGTCCTGATTCAGACCCCAAGAGAGGGTTCTTGGATCTCATGCAATAAAGAGTTCAGGGAGAGTCCATAAAGTGAAAGCAAGTTTATTAAGAAAGTAAAGGAATAAAAGAATAGCTACTCCATAGACAAAGAAGCTGGTTGCCCATTTTTTTGGTTATTTCTTGTTTATATGCTAAACAAGAGGTGGATTATTCATGCCTGCCCTTTTTAGACCATATGTTGTAACTTCCTGACTTTGCCATGGCGTTTGTAAACTGTTATGGTGTTGGTGGGAGTGTAGCAGTGAGGATGAGCAGAGGACACTCTCACGGCCATCTTGGTTTTGTGGGTTTTAGCCAGCTTCTTCACTGCAACCTGCTTTATCAGCAAGGTCTTTATGACCTGTATCTTGTGCCAACCTCCTATCTCATTCAGTGACTTAAAATGCCTTAATCGTCTGGGAATGCAGCCCAGTAGGTCTCAGCCTCATTTTACCCAGCCCCTATTCAAGATGAAGTTTCTCTGGTTCAAATGTCTCTGACAATACCATAAAGATAAAAATCATCAAATTTAATTATATAAAATTTAAAATCTCTAAGTAAAAGACACTATAAACAGAGACAGAAAGTGAAGTGGGAAAAAATATTTGCTGCCTATATTAGTTTTAAAAGCCCTACTCTATAGGAGGTTCCCCTACTACAATAAGAAAAAGATGATTACCCTACTGAACAAAGGCTATTAATTGGCAATTCAGAAACAAAGAAAAGAAAAATAACCAAAGATATTGATTGTTCATAATGATTTTAAAATATTAAAATTAATGACAGATATCATATTTCTGTCAGAAATATTTCATAAGAAGGTAACTGGACAAAGGCACTAAGGTTTATAGATAAGTCTGCTCATTTTAACATTGTTTAGCTTCAATCATAAATGAGACTGTGGTGACCCTGCAGAATTGACTGTTTGGTGGAGACAAGTAAACCTTAAGATTCTTAGAAACAGGAAATTTTACCTTGGGACAGGATCGACCAGACTCTAGAGAGGTACTTTTTAAAAATGGCCTTTAGGCCAGGCATGGTGGCTCACGCCTGCAATTCTAGCACTTTGGGGGGCTGAGGCGGGTGGATGACCTGAGGTCAGGAGTTCGAGACCAGCCTGACCAACATGATGAAATGCTGTCTCTACTAAAAATACAAAAATTAGCTGGGCTCGGTGGTGTGCACCTCTAATCCCAGCTACTCGGGAGGCTGAGACAGGAGAATTGCTTGAACCCAGGAGGTGGAGGTTGCAGTGAGCCGAGGTCACGCCACTGCACTCCAGCCTGGGCGACAGAGCGAGTCTCTGTCTCAAAAAAAAAAAAAAAGGCCTGAAGATCAGAGATTTATTGCTCCTGCTAACTTCCTTTTCCAAAAATTTGAGCTTCAGGCTCTCTAATCAACGATAATAGAAGAAGTCATCTAACCTGCTTGGTGTTTCCAAAAATGTATTATGGTCATGCCAGTATATTGTGGCTTATAGCATTGCTCAAAAAAAGACAGACTCAACTTTTAGATGAGATCAGGGAAACAAGTGAGTCAAAACCTGTTGAACACTAGCAAAGCCTTTCCTTTTCATTTGATGTATTGTGTGTATTAAGACACCTTTTTTAGGCTGGGCACAGTGTAATCCCAGCACTTTGGGAGGCGGAGACAGAAGGATTGCTTGAGCCCAGGAGTTCAAGACCAGCCTGGGCAACATAGTGAGACCTCATCTCTACAAAAAATTTTTACAAATTAGCTGGGCCTGGTGGCATACACCTGTAGTCCCAGCTACTCAGGAGGCTGAGGCAGGAGCATCACTTGAGTCTGGGAGGTTGAGGCTGTAGTGAGCCATGATTGCACCACTGCATTCTAGCCTGGGCAACAGAGTAAGTCCCAGCCACTCAGGAGGCTGAGGCAGGAGCATCACTTGAGTCTGGGAGGTCGAGGCTGTAGTGAGCCATGATTGCACCACTGCATTCTAGCCTGGGCAACAGAGTAAGACCCTGTCTCAAAAAAAAAAAAAAAAACACGATATTTTCTTACAGAAGACAGTAAAACCTAGGTGAAATCATTTTGTTTAAGTTACTTTTACTGTGAAGAGTGACATGAATTTCGTATGAGATGTAATTAGCAGATTAACATTTTTATGTTTTTCTGAGAAAGAGATGAAAATACTTCACTGTGTTATGTCCGTAATCTGGAACAATCATTTTACTGAGGAATGCTGTTACTGTTCTGAACTTCACATCAAGTTCCAGATTTTCATTCTCCCACATAGGAGTTTTTTAAATTTCAAAAGATGGCAGTGGGGCTGAGCGCAGTGGCTCATGACTGTAATCCCAGCACTTTGAGAGGCTGAGGCAGCGGGAGGATTGCTTGAGCAATGTGGAGACCCACCTGGGTAACATAGTGAGACTGTGTCTCTACAAAACAGTAAAAAATTAGCTGGGAGTGTGATGAGACCGTAGTCCCAGCTACTCAGGAGGCTGAGGTAGAAGAATCCCTAGAGCTCAGGAGGGCAAGCCTGCAGTAAGCCCTTTCACATCATAGCACTCCAGCCTGTGCAGCAGAGCAAAATCCTATCTCCACCCCTCCCCCGCCACAAAAAAAAGTCAGTGCTAGAACTTAATACAGACAAATTTGCATTCACAACTACAATTTCTTGGTTGAAGATTAACTGAGAAGGTATTTGTGTGATATAAATTGATCAGAATGGAGGTTTTAGAGCAGTTAGAAATCTGCTGTAAGGATTAAATGATGTGTGTAGGTTACAGTACTGTCTGTATTTATCTTTGATTTAGACTCAGCTATTGGGCAGTAAGAATTTCTTAGCAACTGAGGAATCTCTCAGAGTTACCACAGATTGCTTGTTTAGGGTGTACGCACATCTAAATCATGGGAAAGGAACAAAATATGTTAACTCTTTTTTTTACTATTATTATTATACTTTAAGTTTTAGGGTACATGTGCACATTGTGCAGGTTTGTTACATATGTATCCATGTGCCATGTTGGTATGCTGCACCCATTAACTCGTCATTTAGCATTAGGTAGATCAGCACTTTGGGAGGCCAAGGCAGGGGGATAGCTTGAGCCCAAGAGTTTGAGACTAGCCTGGGCAACATAGTGAGGCCCTTTCTATGCAAAATGAATGAATGAATGAGGCATTATGGTCACCGTTACTAGATTTGATTGACTGTGCCTTTACTTTTCAGTAAATAATACATAGACTTTCCTGACCTAAGCTTTATGATGATCTCAGGTTGTGATATGGGGGTAGGAGGAGGTTAACTCTCTCTATAGCCACTGCTTTCCTTAAAATCATTGCTTTTTATTAAAGTGTCTTAACATGGCATTTTAAAAAGCAACCTTGGCCAAGCATGGTGGCTCATGCCTGTAATCCTGACACTTTGGGTGGCTGAGGTGGGAGGATTGCTTGAGCCCAGGAGTTGGAGACCAGCCAAAAAAAAAAGCAATGCTTTACACTCCAGTCATTGAGAGCATCAAAAATTATTTTCCAACCACTGCCATGTCAAATGTAATTTAAGAAAGCACCCCTCTTCCCTGAAGAAAATGCAATTTGGTTTACTTTATTCCATCTCTGATTAGTGGCATTGGTTTTGTTTACAATTAGAAAATAAAATGTGTTTAGGGTACAATGTAATGGCAAATTGTCTGTAAGAGGTTAGTTTTCTTTCTCTTTTTGATGAGCTGAAAAGGTCATTGTAGTAGCATATTCAAGCTAGTCATCTTTGCGTATTTCATTTATTTCCTCACAAAATATTTATTACAAATATAGTAGCACGTTTCTCTTTTTTGAAGACATGTGAGCATCTATCTGAATAAGATACTCAATATTTCATCTTGATGTGTGATCTCGAGCAAGCGGTTTCTTTTATCTAAATGTCTTCATCTGAATATGGATAATCCCTTGGAATCCTCCCTTCTTCTTCAGGGACTCTGAAGAAAATAATTTAGGCTTCATCAGATTCTTTAAATTATTAGAAAAATAATCAGAAAGAACCAAAGGGCTGTTTTCCTTTAGCCTAAAGATATTTGCAATTTAATATCATCTTTTGGAAAAAAATTTACGATAAAAGATATATGTTTTGTCACTTATTTATGCAGTGGCTTTATGGGCCTTGTCTTTGTTCCTTAAAGGTAAATGCCATTGTTTTAAAATTTCTTTTTCTTTTAGAGACTGTGTGTATATCGCGAGTCGGAGGCCAAACACACCGTATTTCATCTGTAGCATTCAAGACTTCAAACTGGTAAGCATTTTTAACGTGCTGTTCGCTCTGCTCTGTATTCTCTCTTTTTCCAGTTCCATTGGCTATCTCTTATTGTTACTCCATTGCTGTTGACGTGGTTACCAGTTCACCTTTTGAGTGCTAACTGTCTCGTGGCAGTAGCACTGAAACGAGGGTTACTAGTTCCATCTTTTCAGCTTTGTAACACTTACTCTCATAATGCTTATATTGTAAACAATATTTCTGAAGTTTTTATCCCTTTAGTAACTGTTTTGACAATTTCAGATAGTCCCTTGAATTTCTGAAGTAGGTTGTTTCTTCTTAGCCATTGTTAAGAGCCTAAAGTAAAGTAAATTCAGTAAATTGATGAGTAGGGGAAATAATATAAATGGGTCAGAGAATAGTTTCCAGTGGAAATCTGTCACTTCCTTCAATATTTCGGTAGGTGTGGAGTATATGTTGAAATTGTTGTGGGGGTTTCCCGGGGTAGCGGTTGAAAGAAGTCTGGCTTGGGCATGGTAAAGCTGTTGTACTTTCTTTCCAGTTTTAGTGCATGTGTTGCAGAACTGAGGACATAGCTGCTGTACTTTCTCGTTAAAAATTCTTCCTGAATATATAAGTGTTGATGTTCCTCATTATGAAATCGCTTTTTTAGGGCCAGTGGTTCTCATACTTTAGGCTTTGGATCCCTGGATGTCTGCAGAGATTTGGCAGAGGTCTGCAAATAAACATGCTAAGCTTGATGTAAATGAATTGATCTCACATGTCTGGACAATGATTTTTCAGCCTGTTTTCAGTATGCTTTTATGATTTTTAAAAATTTCACTTATTTAAAAGCAATACACAGTTAAGAACCACTATTTGTTGTTGTTGTTGTTGTTTGAGACAGAGTCTTGCTCTGTCACCCAGGCTGGAGTGCAGTGGTGCAGTCTTGGCTCACCGCAGCCTCTGCCTCCCGGAAACAAGTGATTCTCCTGCCTCAGCCTCCCGAGTAACTGGGATTACAGGTGCATGCCAGTACAACCAGCTGTTATTTTTATATTTTGTATTTTTAGCAGAGAACAGGGTTTGTATTTTTAGCAGAGAACAGGGTTTCACCATGTTGGCCAGGCTCGTCTCCAACTTCTGACCTCAAGTGATTTGCCTGCTTTGGCCTCCCAAAGTGCTGGGATTACAAACGTGAGCTACCATGCCTGGCAGGAACCACTGTTTGTTTGTTATTTTCCTCAAACAATTGGTATTTGAAATACTACTGAAGTAGTATCATTTGGGAGTCTTTTGAAACATTTTGATCTTACAAGGGACCCTAGTACTTTGAAGATTGTGAACCACTGTCTGTACTCTTAAGGGTAGAGAATTCCTAATTCCTTAGCTTTGTAGAGATGTGTATCACTATCTGTGAATGCTCTTATTTCCAACACCCTTTGTAATTTGACAATATTTGTTTTGACTATGTTGTATGTGATATTTCAGTCTAAAGAAATGTAGTTTGAAAAGATCTTTCTCTGCATCTCCTTTGTTTTTTATCATTTTTAATGGCCCAAGTACCAAATTAGTATATTCAGTAAAAAAAAAAAAGTCACATTATTTTTCTTTGTTAAAAAGTTATTGCTTAAGTTATTGCATGCCTACTGTTTTAAGATGAAGTCAAATGTGCTATTTACTTATAAGATGGATCTATTCTTGATAGGTGACTTTTAACTTTCCTGGTTGCATTGCAAGGCGGCCTTGCAGTTTAATCTTGTAAATCAAATGCTTTCTATCCAATTTTTATGTCTATATGAATTTTTTAAAACCATTTTTAGAGGTCTTTGCTACTTATTATATCTTTCCTTCCAAAGTGTTTTTTTTTTTTTTTTTAACAGATACAGCACTGACACCTGAAATACGGGTATAGCCTTATTCCTGAAGAGTTTTGTTTTGGTAGTGGCTGCTGCTACTGCCCTTTTCCTGCCCATTGTCTTTGTGTGTGATTTTCACAAAACCAAACATCAGTGCACCATGAAAAATATATAGCTGTGAAATAAAATTGTAAATATTTTTATTTTACCTATTAGATCTTGAGCCCCCTTTGTACAGTTTTTGCACATTAACAGGTGCCTTCCTGTTTGAACAGCATCTCTTATGAAATGCTGATTACAATGTGATAGTTGCTGTTCTGGGCAGAGGTTCCTGCTGAGTTACGGTAATTGCTCAGGGTGTTAACAGCAATAGAAGCTGAAGCTTCTGTTGTCAGTATTGGTCTAATACAACACATTAAAGCTATCTACAAAAATATGTGGGAAGTAGGGTGCAGTATGTTTAGATACCTTTTTCTAAATCACACACTGCTGTTTCTCATGTTTTTGTTTGAGGTTCTGTATTCAGCACATCCTCATAGTTGTTGTGTAAGAACAACAGATGATGAAATATTTGCTCTGGGAATAAATATAGTTATTTCCACTGTCTTATTTTCTTACTTCTCTGTACTTATTAAAAGATAATCAAATAGATGAGAATGATCAAGATTTTTTTCTCCTTCAGTTTACTGAAGCTGTAAGGGAAAAAGATGAGCAGAAGGAAATAAGCTTTGTTTCTCTGTGAGATTTTAAAAAGAAGAAGAAATTGAATTTGATTTTGCTCACAGCAAATAACATGACTAGTGGAGCAATGAAAGAAAAAAAAACCCGATAGCTTTGAAATGTTGAGTAATTAGGTATTTTATCTTTTTAATAATCACAAAATAAAAAGTTGGTTTGGGGTTATAATTGAGAGACGTGTTTCATTGTTTATACTATAAATGAGAATCCCTTTGCCGTGGTGAAATTTTGTGTATAAAGTATGTTTGGGCACTGTAAAAATAACTGGGTGAATGCCCTTTATGATACACATTAGTAGGTATGATTACGATGTTAAAGACAACAAAAGCTAATGAGGTGAGGCGTGGGGAGGAGGAGACATGTACCGCCAGTCACTGAGACTAGAATAATGGCAGCTTATTGAACCGAGGGCCTTAGGTCACATTTCATGAAATAGCTCTATATGAGATAAGGAGAAGGGTCTTTGTGTTTTATGTGGGGACCTGGGTTGTCTTCTCAACTCTGCTGCTGCATTCCCTTAGAATCGAGTCTGTGGTATAGAACACAGCTGCCTCTATGTCCTGATCCCTGTCTGTTGTCCTGCCAGACTATTAAACAGCCTCCCCTTTCACTCTCAAAAATGTCTGAGTGTGGATGATAGGTTGTGAGGTTGTGTGGTTATCTTGCCTACGGGGATAGGGTCCATGGCTTCTGCTTTATTAATATTCAACCATCAAAACACACAGGGACACCACCATCCTACACTAGTAGGTGTATTTTGAGCCCGTACTTCCACAGGGTACGTGGAGGCTATGATAGTATCAAGCAACTAAGTTCCTAACTGAGCTGAGGTTTTAAAGGTAGGAATTATGTATTCTATTAGGAAGCTTTCATTCTCTTAGGAAGTATTCATTTGATTGGGCTTATTTACAAACGGAGATGTCTGATTTTGTTTAAATGCGCTGACCAAAGTATTTATGGAACAACTAGTCAAAAGCAGGAGCTCAGGTGAGCAGAAGAGGCTGGGTAGAATTATGGACAGTGCATACTTAGAAGCAGGAGAAAGAAGTATTGTTGATTAAAAAGGTCGCTTTGCACCGTAGATTTCTGAACTATATAGTAAAATAGCTGGCAAAGTCTTTATTTAGCTTTTTGAAGGACTAATAATTTGGAATGGCAGTCTGTGATCCTTGTGGCCTGGCATGAAAAGATTAATTGAGCCAAATTTCATTTTTAGAATTTAGAGTTGAGAAACTGAGAGACTGAGGCAGTTAGTAGAGGGGAAAGGTGAATGGATAATTCAAGAATTACCCCTAATATATCTGTAAAAATTAAAAATAAAAAAAGAATTACCTGAATGACAAGAGCAAGGTTAGGGCTGACATAGGCAAGCTCACTTGCTAGGGTAGGAAACTGGGAAAAGCAGAGGACAGGGAAGCTGTGGGAAGGGCAGCAGACTGCCAAGGGAAGTGTGTGCACAGCCGTCTCTTCCTTGACTCCCCTGGGTCCCACTGCACTGATGTTCTTCCCACAGGATTCTTAGATTATCCTGTTCGCTCTGAGTAGAGAGCTCTCATCTGGGCTAGCTTGAGTGGATCTTCATCAATTGCAATGGAAAGAGCCTAGGTTAACATCTCCAACCCTTCTGCTGCCCTCCCATAGCTTTTATAGGTCACCATGTGACTTAGTTACTTTGAGGGTTTTGTTCTGAATAAGTCAATATCATTGAGGAGCATTATATCACAGAGTGCAAATAGGAATGTTTTGGGCTATAATCAGGGGCATTTACTGAATACCTACTTTGTGTTCTTTATGGAACTCAGCACCTAAAGGGAGACTGAAGAAGTATAAAATATTGTTCATTCTCTCAGTGATCTTAGATTCTAAGTGACAGACAACTTGTGGCATTATTGGATGTCAGTCTTCTTTGGAGAACATTCTGAATAGGATTGACAAGAAGGGCATTCACTTTTAGTTCTAAAAGAAATGATTTCTTTTGTGTGTTTATGAAAAACAATAAAATCATATTTTTATAGAAACCCAGGCATTAAGAAGTATAATACAAATAATTTGCCATCTGGAAATAATCATGGAGTCTGAGAATGCTAACAAGGTCATGGAGACAGTAATTTTCATTCAGTATAACACTGAGGAGTTCCTTGTATAGTAAGTGGTTCCTTGTAGCAGTTAGTACCTTTCTTTATTCACAGATAAGTAAGCAAACTCACTCCTGTAATATTCTCCATGGAAATTCAGTGTGTATTCTTGCATTGCCGTCATTCATACAGTAGAGGAAAACGTGCTTTTGGTTTCCTAAAGTTACATAGGTGTTTCAGCTGTTACTTATACCAAATGAGTTTCTAGGTAGTATATGTAGCTATAAGTACTATTTTGGGTTAATAACATTGATTCATTTTGGTTCCTCAGCTGTTTTATTAAAACTTGGAAAATTGTCCTTAAAGTTAAGCCAGATAACAGAGATTCCTTAGAGTTGGGGGTGATAGGGATGTTAAAGTGTTTCAGGTGATGGTTAGCTGGGCTCGACATATTGTTATGGCTCCACATAGATGATAATGTCGCTGTATCATTTGTGTCCCTAACAGCCTACTTTCTAAGTGCTAGTTCTGAATGTGGAATAGCTAAGGATGCATACTACTAGTTACCTTGGAGAATGCACAATTCCATTATTGCTGTGAATGTGGGGGCCAAGTTATTTATCGTTTAATACCATATCCCTCTCATTGTTTCATTGTCAAATGTGACCAGCTGGAGGAAAAACACCTGGAATTTCTCTCTGATTCCTGGTCTGTACTCATAAGTTGTTTGCTACTCACTACCCTTTATTCATGCCTTCCCCGACAGTACAGCAGCAGAAGGGCTGAAGAGAAATTAACTTCATCTTAGGTTCCACTTGCCATTGAGATTGCCCACCCTCCACCAAATTTATTTTCCTAAAAATGGATTAAAAGTAACAAGAAGCTATTTCTCCTCCTTTTTAATAAAAACTTACTGAGGATGAGTAATTATGTCTTCTTTTCTTATTAGAACCATAGATGATGCTGGGAGATATCAGATAGCGACTTAATTACCCATACCTTTTGTGCACACATTCAAGTGTACACACAGTGACTTAATTATCAGACTTACACATTATCTACCGCATTTCTTTAATCCCAGCGTGGCTGTTACCACTTAACACAGAAGGCGTACTGTATGGACATTCATGGAATGGGCATTCGTTTAAAAGGAGGTAAATCTTGCATTGGAGCCCTTTTTTGGTTGCGGGGGGTGGGCAGGAAGGTCCACATAATTTGAACATGGCTAATTCAGAATTTAGGATCTGTTATTCTGGGATTGAGATGAGGGATGGTAGATTGCCCAGGTTCAGAGCTCGGACTTCGACATCAGGTTGTCTGAGTTCACGTACTCCGTCCATCAGTTGCCATCTTTCCTGACCTTGGGAAATACACTTAACCCTCTTAACTTTCTTTAGTTACCTGTGAAGTTGGGATATAAAGTACCTACCTTGCCAAGTAGATTGTTTTTAGATTAAAAGGTCAAACTTACAAAGTGTCCAGTGCCCCATAGAGTGACACTGATTGTGATGTTGTTGTTTAGTTGGTACCTTAGGTTTATGCTTTTTATTCACTGATGTATATATTGTGTGCTTATCACATTGGCTGGCTGTATTGTCCACAGTAAGTATTTAGTGAATACTGAATGAAGTAACATTTAAGTGGAATAAATTCACTGGATAAGTATTTTTAAAAAACTTTAGTAATAGTTGTTTGATACAGTGCATCAACAACAAATTAACATTCTCTTAAACAAGCCAAAGAAGTCTACTCAATTACCTTTGGTTAGCCTGCAGTGCGTAATGTATAGAACTAATAAAACTTTATTTCTTTTAAAATACTTGAGGAAAATTCAGTTTCTTCTTTTCTTCACGAATTTGAATGAATGTAGCCTAAGTCATAATATTTTTTAGGCATCATTATATTGTTTTGGGTTTTCCATAGGACTGACTTTCAGCAAAGATAAATGAGGGCCTAGTATATGTGTGAACCTCCCAGAAAAGGCCAACTGTTATGAAAAATGCCTTACGCTATGATGATTTGTTTCTGTTTTTGTTTTTGACAGTCCTTCAAGGTAGGCCTGCAAAACTGAGTATTTCTTTCTATAACTCCTTCTTCTCTTTACTTTCTTGGCTTGTACCATACAAAAAGGTCAGTATCACCCAGTTACGCCTTTGTGACTTGTTGTGTAGTGTCGGACAATGAAGTAAAAACTTTACATTGAAGTTCATTATCAAGTATTTTCAGCTATTATATCCAAGGACCAAGTGGCCTTTTCACATATAAATTTGCGATTTCTAATTTTGTTTAATTCTTTAACGAGGCAAGAGGCGGGATGGAATTCTTTTTTGGAGACAGAGTTTCCCTCTTGTCACCCAGGCTGGAGTTCAGTGGCGTGATCTCAGCTCTTTCCAACCTCCGCCTCCGGGTTCAAGCGATTCTCCTGCCTCAGCCTCCCAAGTAGCTGGAATTACGGACACCTGCCACCACCCCCAGCTATGTTTTTGTATTCTTAGTAGAGACGGGGTTTCACTATGTTGGCCAGGCTGGTCTTGAACTCCTGACCTCGTGATCCACCCACCTCGACCTCCCAAAGTGTCAGGATTACAGGCATGAGCCACTGCATCAAGCAAGATGGAATTCTTTAGCCCTGAGTTTGGTGGACTGAGTCAGAGGAGGTTGTATATCTATACTCCCCTCCCGCCACAATTGTAGAGTAATGACATTGAAAGTTTTTTGAACCACCACATCCTTTTTGCATGATACTGATGTCAACCTCTAAATGGACAGGGTGGTATTAACATAAGTGGAAATCAAAATGAGGGCTTGGGAATAAATAATTCCAGCATTTTATTGGCCACATTTTCTGAGCTTCCCAGCAATTTGTCTTCACTTGTGGCTGCCAGTCAGGGTAGGGCACTTGGGATTTTAAGTTTTAGTGTTTAACTACTATTGTGAGGTTGAATAATTCATTTTCTTCTAATTTACTTGGGTCAAGGGACTCTAAGAAACTATTGAAAAAATTTCGTTTAATTATATGTATTTCCATAAAATATATTTCTGAAAATGTTATTTACTAAAACTGTTAACTATACGTGAAATTGTTTTCAATGCAGAAAACTCTATTCTAATTTTAAAGGAGCTTAAGAAAGGTTGAGACAATCTGATATTTGCAGCCATCTACTATGCAAGAATATTGGTAAAGTCTTGTTCAAACTTAATTCTTTTCAATTGGAAATTTGTAATTTGTATGTATATATGGATGCTTGCATTAAGAACCAACTCAGTAGTCCAAGAAAAACCTATTAGAAGTACTAAAAAAACTTAGGGAAACAGATACTGTCAACATTTTCTCATTTGTATGTGAGAACAATGACTTGTTTTGAAAAAAAATGCCTTTTTAAAATGCATAAAATGTTTTAATAATTACTTGAACTATTTGCATGTTTAAGATAATGCCAAAGTGTTTGGAAATGCTTTACCAGGTGTTTTTGATTTAAAACCTTAATTTGAATGTAAGGATTTAGGTGGTTTGGGCAGTCATATTCCTAGTGGAAGAGATTATCCAGAAGTCCATTTTTATTTTGATGCTTCTGGCAAAAAATACTGAATATGCTGTACATTCAAGTGCACAATTGAATCTTTAATTTGGAGTTTGCAGTGTTGGTGATGACGGGGAGAAGGTGTGTGGTGAGAAGGTTGTGGCTACTGACACTCTGTCAGCTATACCATCACTGAGGCCATGAGAATCAGAGACTGACTGCACACAAATTTTAATGTAGATCCTAGGATGTACTCTAGATGGTCATCTTTAGTAAAAGAAAAGAAAATGATCACGATAAAACATTCTGAACATTAGCTTATTCTCCTGGTATTTGTTTTGTGTGTGTGTGTGTGTGTGTGTGTGTGTGTGTGTGTGTATGTGTAGGGAGCTTAAGAGACTTACAAAAATAGTGAATGAAATATATTAAAATCTTTGTTTACAGAAAGTTGTTAATTACTCTTGCTTTTCAAAGGGAATTATATGTAACAGGACACCCTAGTAATGATTTAATATTAAAAGGTTGCTCACCTGTAATTTTTAGACAACCGTAAGACAGGTTCTTATATAAGTATTGGGATTTTATGGATTTTTTTAGTTCATTTGAAACCACATGAAATTGGTTTAAAAAATGTTATGTGCTCTCTAAAATATTTGAAAAGGAACATACGCAAACTGTTATCTGAGGTATACTGTGCTAGCTTTCAGAAGTTGCTCTATAGTCTTTTTCTTCCTGGTTTTTAAATGTTTTCAAAGTTAATTTTAAAAAAGACGTGATACATACTAAACTAGTTTTGCCTATAAAAATAAGTAATGTCTTTCTGGAACTTTATGGTCTGTGCCTGTTCATTATACTCACCTTGTGGGCGTTTGGAGAAAATTACAACTCATGTGAATGTTGTCTTTTTCCCTCTGTTTTGGGGCCTTTGTCTATTTACTTTGCCTTCAGCTTTATGCAGTTAAACTTGAACTTTCAGAAAATGGCAGGGCCTTTCACCACCCAAATGCCCTATTTCCTTATTAAGTACATGTCTTATGTCTCTAGCTTCTGTCATTAGAAACTCTTCTGAAAGCTCAGTTTGTCCACTTGTGATTCATTTTACGGTTGTGTTTATCTGACATCATAGCATTTCTGTTTTTATTATAAGCATAGCATGTTGCTGTTAACTGTGCTTTGGCACTATCTCACATCTTAACTTGGTTATTTTGAGGGGCACACACCATACTGCTTTATGATAGGACCTGGATTAAAGTGTGGAGCCAGAAGGGTCATACGTTTGTTCACACTGAAATAAGGTAACAGCTTTGATTAATGCAAAAAGGTTAACTTAGTGGTAGAACAAATTATCTGAGGTTTCAGAGGTCATCTGCTAAAGAGTTTTTGCAGATACCGACTTGTGTGCTGCGTGCCCCAGGGCATGATGGGGCATTGGGCACGTTAACTTAAAACTGTTTTCTTTTTTAGGTCCACAACTCCCAAGCCTGTTGCAGATCTCCAACTCCTGCTTTGTGTGACCCCCGCAGCATGCTCTCTGCCGGTGGCATCACAGTCACCACAGCATCTTTCTGAAGCTAGGAGAGGGCCTGTAGGGGTAAGGAGAATCCCGTTTTTAAAAGCTATCAGTATTTTATATCCCATAGGGTATAAAATAGGAATATTATGTCCCTCCCCAGAGCCCCTTTTTAAAATGTGCTGTATTATATGTGTTTTTAAAGGAGTAACAAGTACATGCACAGAGGAAGCAAAATACGGGACTTGCCTTACCCCTCTAGGACAGTTCCAGAAGTTAGCGGGGTTTGGTGGAAGGGTATTTTGGCACCAGCAGAGAGCATGCTGGGCTGCTGCAAGGAGCAGGAGCTGGCAATCAACAGCGAGTTTGGATGTTGGCAACTGAAATGGGGAGAAAAGGGGGTAAGTTTGAGTTCAAGTGTGGAATGTGAATTTCCCCAGGCTCATTGGGACTCATGACCCACAAATCTAAACTATTTTGGGTGTTGTCCTCTCGGGTGACATTTTGTAGGGTGTTGCTCAGAAATAGCGAGGCTTTTCTCCAGTGCTAGATGCAGAATACGCACTTCAAGAGGCTTGGGTCGGGCTGTAGCTATACTTCTTAAGAGCTATCCCTTGGTTATTCCTCTGTTACTAGTGGTGGTCCTGAGGGATGTGTAAGAGGCAGCAGGATGAAGTATCTGTAGTGCTTTATCCCTTAAAGCACAGGAACCCATGTGGGTGATCATAGGGGTTATTATTGTGTAGTGCATCTCCCTTTTTAGGAAAGTTCACACTTGTCTTCCTTTTTTTTCCTGTAATCGTAGGACTTAATGGAGGACTTAATGGTAATGTTTTCTGAAAGTCGAGTATTTATTATTCCGAATGACTACTGGGTTAACATGAAAGAAGTGTAGTTTTAGTTAAGCATTGAAGTCAGTGTGAAGAAGTGACTGTGGCTCCCCAGTTCATACTGAATTAGCAAATAATACAAGAGGATAGCAAGCTCTCTCACACTTAGACACACACAATGCAGCATACTGTCAATATACAGTGAATTGTTCAGTTGCAGTGCAGAATATTAATATCTTGGGGTGAAGAAAAGAAAGTGCTCCAGATGGGATGTGGCACTTGGGGAAGTTCTGTGAAGGTGGGTAGGTTTTGAGGAGCTGGGTATGTTTTTCACACATCAATAAGAAGTGGATAGGCAGAGTATAGGAGCCTTGCAGGTGTACCTGGCAGCCTGTCCTTATAAGCAACACAGGCAGTGAGGCTGACGAGTCTGGGAGTTGTGAGAAGATGACCCGCAGGACGTCACTGAAGAGCATGGGTTAGTGGATTTTGGGAGGCAGATGTGGAGATATAAAATGGGGCTAGATTATAGAGAATCTTCAAAGTTAGCAAAGTTAAGATTTTGTGTAATAGGCAGTAGAGAGCTTGTGTAAGCTTTTTTATTCGAGATGAGCCATCTTGCAGACCACTGCTTAAGAAGACTGACTGTGGCAGTTTGCAGTGTGGAAGGGGGAAAGATGGTGAAAGCTCCAAGTAGGAGGCTAGGGCTGCCATTCGTGGGTAAGATGAAGAGGACCAAGACAGTAGAGATGATATATAGATAATTGTAACCAAATCAGGAGTAATTGTTGGAACAGCATAACACATTTACATATTTGCTGATGTAATTACTCAAGGGTCATATCATAAAAAGGGGTGGGGGTTTCACATTATGGAAACCTTGGAATTCTCTGTCTTACGGTGGAAGACAGAACCCAGTGTAGTGTAGACAAAAGTCTAATTTTAATTCCCAGAGAAAGACTGATATCTTATGGGACAAATTAGTATATTCCCATTCCTAATAATGGTGTACCTAGCTGGTGGGTAATTGCAGGCTTTCAACCTCCAGTTCATCTTCATGAGATCAATGTTGATTCAGAACAATAAGTGTCAGGTCTATGACACCTTTAAAGTTATGCTTAAATGTGAGTCTGTGACCACTAATGAATGACTACAGTTGTTTCATGACTTGCTAAACATACCTGGTTTTTCACAAGCAATAGATTTTTGAAGGAGAGGTATTCACAGTGGGTGCTAGGAAGATACACACATTAATTCTGTAGAATTTAGCTAAAATGTGTTCAGCCTAAGGGATGACATTAACAGAGACTTGTGATCCTGCTTTGCATCTCATGAGTGCTGAGCAGTTGGTAGAGATGGATGGTATTTTCCATATATCAGCATCTGCTGTATGCTCAGGCTTTGCTCCTGTTAAGGGAACTAGGGCTCTCTAGCCTTTTCAGAGATTCTGTGAGATTATGTACTTTATTATTATTATTTTGTCTAATCTAATCAGACTAGATTCTTGTATTTCGAACTAAGAACTCAGAATATATCCATGACCTTTGGTTAAAAAGCTTAAAGGGAAAGTAAACTTCATTTATTCGTTGAACAATTTATTTAGTATTTCTTATTTATTAGTGTTCTGTCTCCTGAATAAATAACTCATTTTAAGTGTTTATTGAGCACCAATTGCACATAAACTATTGTATTAGTTTTGTGGGAGAAAAAAATAAATAAACTAAATATCCCTCCCTCAAGGAATGTTTGTAAAGTTGATTAACTATGCTAGAAAATAGAAAGTGAATGGTGCTATGAGATACAGAGGTATAGTAGTAGTATGAAGGTTGAATGGAGAAAGAGATTAAATACAGCAGAAGACAATTATTTCTATCAGAGAAGAGATGACATAGGAGATGAAGAAGAAAGATTTAAAATGATTTTTACAGAAAGATGAAGAGATACATAACTCTTGAGTAGAGAAGGCAAGAAGAAGAGAAACTGTATGGACAGTATGAGCTAAATGTGAAAACAGAATTTTTTTTGGCTGGGTGCGGTGGCTCATGCCTGTAATCCTAGCACTTTGGGAGGCCGAGGCAGGTGGATCACCTGAGGTCAGGAGTTTGAGAAAAGCATGGCCAAAATGGGGAAACCCCATCTCTACTACAAATAGAAAAATTAGCCGGGTGTGGTGGCACATGCCTGTAATCCCAACTACTCGGGAGGCTGAGGCAGGAGAGTTGCTTGAACCTGGGAGGTGGAGGTTGTGGTGAGCCGAGATTGTACCAGTGCACTCCAGCCTGCACCATGGGATCGAAACTCCATTTAAAAAAAAAAATCTGTGCACAAAGAAATGGGCAATGCATTGACTCGGTGCAAAATATCATAGATGAGGTAGTGAACATGTTTAGGAATATATTCACATTTTCAAGAAGACAGCTAGTTTCCCTATTGAAATCCCTGGCATACAGGAGCAAACAGCATGAAATAAAGAAAAGTTCTATGTTTTTAGAAATAGGTATCCAACTAATACACATAAAAATTGTCTTTATGGAGTAAAATGCATATTTAATCAATCTAATCAAACACAACCTCAGCTAAATTCTTCTCTAAGATATAGACACACCTGCTAAGCAAAAGGGATAAGATATCTTGTCTCTAGGAAACAACAGAAGTTAATTAGCTTCAAAAATACTTTATATTTGCAATTAAAAATAATTTTAAATCCACAGTAGCTATGGTTCTCATTAGAACATAGAATATTGTGATGCCTTGGACTATTTTATTAAAAATGGCTATATTTGGTCCTTATCTCAAACTTTGTGTTCAGGTATATAGCTGATTAATAATGTAGTTTATTAAGAAATATTTTTTGCATATTACTGTGAAATCATAGTGTATGAAATGGACTAATAAAGCCTATAATGACCAGGAAAATATTACTTACTGCAAAGATAATATAAAGTTCAGTTCTTTTATCTATAGTTTTATTGTTAAGTTACATATATAGATAAATGATAGACAGACATCAACACACACATGACTGTTTACAAATTACGGAGGTTACAAATCTAAAACACGTGATTTTTATCTCAAAATAATAAAGATTAAAATGTTAGCAATGTTCATCCATTGGTCAAAACTTTGCATTCTTGTCTTGGATTCTTGCTTATATTCATCAATTTTAATCTGGATCTAAACACTTAAATAAATGAAAATAACATATTAAATAAATTTGTTTATGCACTGCACTTCATTTCTAACGATTTCTCATGAGATAGTGGAATGCATGATGACATATAATTTATGATATTGTTCTAGTGTTTCCATGCCCAAATTAAAGTCAATAAAATTTTATAATAGAAATACCCAAAATGAAGAATGATGATGAATTGAGCACTGATATTAAAAAGATTAAAAATGGTGCAACTTTTTATAAGCAAATTAGATCTATGTTTTAAGAACTTTATATGAAGTCTTACATGTATCTGCATTATACTCAGAGGTATAAATAAATCGTTAACTTCTTTATTATGTCTTCAAGTTACCTGATGTTCCTCCTGAGCATCTCGAACCTCAAGATAGGGAAAAATTGTATTCAATAAATCAAGTAAATACATAACAATGACTGTGTATTAACAAAAAATTAAAAATAAAAAAGAAATCAAGTTGTCTTAGTTCAATGCAATAACAAAAATAGTCACTTAAGCACAACACTCAAATGCTGAGTTTTCTCATTTCACTTCTTTCTTTTCTTATCCAAGATGGTATCTCATGTATGAGATGAACTTTACTAATAATACAGGCAAATGGGGAGATGTTGGTTGAGAGTGTATTGAATCTATAGGTAAATTTAGGAAAATTTTAAATCTTAAAAATATTGCTTTTAATCTGTGAACATGTTATATTTCTCCTATTATTAAATAATTTTTAATTTATCTCAATCATGTAGTTTTGGTAAAACATCTTGTAATTACATTTAAATCTATATATTACACAATTTGCATAAGAATATAAATTCCATATTTTTAGAAATTTATTTTTGAAATTTTCTTTACTGTTATAGAGAAATGAAATGGGGGATGACCTCCACTTTTCCCATTTTACTGTAAGTCTTTGAGTAAAGGAGTGACTCCTCAACCTTATTGTATCCACAACACTAAACAGGATATGTAAGCCAAATAAAATTTTGTTGAACAAAAGACATAACACTTTATGGGTCCACATATACATATGCATCCAGAAAACTCACTTCTGCATTTTGTGTCTGCTCCTTCTTGTGACTTTAAACAGTAAGTCCTCAGCAACAGCGTCTTCTCATCCTAAAATGGATATGATATGTCCCAAATGCATAATGCTAAATTATTTGATCATAAATTGGGAGTCTCCACTCTCAATCCTAAAGACAAGCATTATCTCCAATACCAAACACTTGAAAAAAGTGTAATGAGATTACATTTAGATATTATTCAGAAGCCAAAACCACAAATAAGGCAACAATTCTCAAAGTTTAATTTTCTCAAAAAGGTTCTTTTTAAAAAATTATTATTATACTTTAAGTTCTGGGGCACATGTGCAAAACATGCAGGTTTGTTACATAGGTATACACCTGTCATGATGGCTTGCTGCACCCATCATCCCATCATCTACATTAGGCATTTTTCCTAATGCTATCCCTCCCCTATACCCTGCCACCAACAGGCCCCAGTATGTAATGTTCCCCTCCCTGTATCCGTATGTTCTCATTGTTCAACTCCCACTTATGAGTGAGAACATGTGGTGTTTGGTTTTCTGTTCTTGTGTTATTTTGCTGAGAATGTTGGTTTCCAGCTTCATCCATGTCCCTGCAAAGGACATAAACTCATCATTTTTATGACTGCACAGTATTCCATGGTGTATATATGCCATATTTTCTTCATCCAGTCTAAAATTGATGGGCATTTTTGTTGGTTGCAAGTCTTTGCTATTGTGAACAGTGCCATAATAAAATACATGTGCATGTGTCTTTATAATAGAATGATTTATAATCCTTTGGGTATCTACCCAGTAATGGGATTGCTGGGTCAAATGGTATTTCTACTTCTACATCATTGAGGAATTGACACACTGTCTTCCACAATGGTTGAACTAATTTACACTCCTATCAACAGTGAAAAAGCATTCCTATTTCTCCACATCCTTTCCAGCATCTGTTGTTTCCTGACTTTTTAGTGATCACCATTCTAACTGGCATGAGATGGTATCTCATTGTGGTTTTGATTTGCATTACTCTAATGATCAGTGATGATTAGCTTTTCTTCCCATGATTGTTGGCTGCATAAGTGTCTTCTTTTGACTAGCGTCTGTTCATATCCTTCTCTCACTTTTTGATGAGTTTTTTTTTTTTCTCACAAATTTGTTTAAGTTTTTTGTAGATCCTGGGTATTAGTTCTTTGTCAGATGGATATATTGCAAAAATGTTCTCCCATTCTGCAGGTTGCCTGTTCAATCTGATGATAGTTGCTTTTGCTGTGCAGAAGATCTTTTATTTAATTAGATCTCATTTGTCAAATTTGTCTTTTGTTGCCATTGCTTTTGGTGATCTAGTAATAAAGTTTTTGCCCATGCCTGTGTCCTGAATGGTATTGCCTTGATTTTCTTCGGGGGTTTTTATGGTTTTAGGTCTTATGTTTAAGTCTAATCCATCTTGAGTTAATTTTTGTATAAGGTGTAAGGAAGGGGTTGTTACAATTTTCTGCATATGACTAGCCAGTTTTCCCACATTTATTAAATAGGGAATCCTCTCCACATTGATTTGTTTCATCAGGTTTGTCGAAGATCAGATATTTGTAGATATTAGATATTTGTGGTGTTATTTCCGAGGTCTCTGATCTGTTGCATTGGTATATATGTATATGTTTGGTACGAGTACCATGCTGTTTTGGTTACTGCAGCCTTGTAGTATAGTTTAAATTGAGTTACCATGATGCCTCCAGCTTTGTTCTTTTTGCTTAGGATTGTCATGGCTATGTGGGCTCTTTTTTGGTTCCATGGGAAATTTAAAGTAGTTTTTCTAATTCTGTGAAGAAAGCCAACAGTAGCTTGATGGGGATAGCTTTGAATCTATAAATTACTATGGCAGTATGGACATTTTGACAATATTGATTCTTCCTATCCATGAGCATGGAATGTTTTTCCATGTGTGTGTGTTCTCTCTTATTTCTTGGAGTGGTGGTTTGTAGTCCTTCTTGAAGAGGTCCTTCACATCCCTTGTAAGTTGTATTTGTAGGGATTTTCTTCTCTTGGTGGCAATTGTGAATGGGAGTTCACTCACCATTTGGCCCTCTATTATTTGGGTATAGGAATGTTTGTGATTTTTGCACATTGATTTTGTACTCTGAGAGTTTGTTGACGTTGCTTCTCAGCTTAAGGAGATTGTGGGCTTAGACGATGGGGTTTTCTAAATATGCAATCATGTTATCTGCAAACAGAGATAATTTGACTTCCTCTCTTACTGTTAGAATGCGCTTTATTTCTTTCCTCTGATTGCCCTCACCAGAACTTCCAATACTATGTTGAATAAGAGTGGTGAGAGGGGGCTTCCTTTTCTTTTGCAGGTTGTAAAATGGAATGCTTCCAGTATTTGCCTATTCAGTATGATATTGGCTGTGGGTTTGTGATAAATAGCTCTTACTATTTGGAGATACTTTCCATCAAGACCTAGTTTACTGAGAATTTTTAGCATGAAGACGTGTTGAGTCTATTGACATATTTATGTGGTTTTTGTCATTGCTTCTGTTGATTTGATGAATTATGTTTATTCATTTGCCTATATTGAACCAGCCTTGCATCCCAGGGATGAAGCTGACTTGATTGTGGTGGATAAGCTTTTTGATGTGCTGCTGGATTCGTTTTGTCAGTATTTTATTGAGAATTTTTGCATCGATATTCATCTGGGATATTGGCCTGAACTTTTCTTTTTTCTTGTGTCTCTGCCAGGTTTTGGTATCAGGGTGGTGCTGACCTCATGAAGTAAATTAGGGAGGAGTCCCTCTTTTTCTATTGTTTGGATTTTTTTTTTTTTTTTTTTTTTTTTTTTTTGAGATTGAGTTTCACTCTGTTGCCCAGTCTGGACTGCAGGGGCATGATTTTGGCTCACTACAACCACTGCCTCCCAGGTTCAAGTGATTCTCCTCCCTCAGCCTCCAGAGCAACTAGAAATCCAGGTTCATGCCACCACATTCAGCTAATTTTTGTATTTTTGGTAGAGATGGTTTTTTGCCACGTTGGCCACGAGGGGGCTGGAACTCCTTACCTCAGGTGATCCACACACCTTGACCTCCCAAATTTCTGAGATTACAGGCATAAGCCATCGCGCCAGGCCGGTACTCTTGTTTCAACTGAAAGAAAGAAATGTGCTGTCATACTTTACTCCTGTGAGAAAGTCCAACAGAGAAGGAATCTAATAACATCCCAATTTCCAACTGATTTCAATAAACATTTTACATAATCTAAGAAATAGAAAGTGCGAACAAATTTGTCATGAGCATTAAAGTGAGCCAGCCTCCCAGCTACTCAGGAGGCTGAGGCAGGAGAGTGGCATGAACCCGGGAGGTGGAGCTTGCAGTGAGCCCAGATTGTGCCAATACCCTCCAGCCTGGGTAACAGAGCGAGAATCCGTCTTAAAAAAAAAAAAAAAAAAAAAAAAAAGTGAGCTAGTTTCTATGTGCTAATTCAAATCAAAGATTTGGCCTCACTGGCCTAACTCCTTGGAATGAAGTATCTGCCAACTGTCAAAAGTCAGGCTACATGAGCTTCAGAGGCCTGCAGAGACCTCTGAATGACTTTGCCATGGAGAAGAGTCACACTCTCCAGGGCCTCCTCTCTGCTAAGAGCTGAACACTCAACTGGAAAGCCTGCCTACAGAGAGGAGCAAACCGTTCCTTTGAACTGTACTAACACTGAACAAAATGTTTCTTCTTGTTCAACATTCACTTCTCTGCTACCTCATTCTACCTCATTCTTCCTGACACTGGACAAGATCTTGGACAAAGGAGTCACAGCCACAGACGTTTCTGGCTAGAAAAAAAAAAACAACAACCAACACTCTAGAGATCGGTAACAATAAAACAGAATTTCTAGTTCTCAAATTAAAAAAAATGAAGTTAAGATAATAGATAATACATTCATTAGTTTACAAAAATAAAAACTAATAGTAGCATCCACTGTTGATGAAATTGTAGGTTCTAGAAGGAATGTGATTACTACAAGGTTTTCGGAAAGTAATTTGGTATTTAAATAGTTATAATTTTATTTAATATTACATAAATTTAGTATTTAAATAATTTCAATACATGGTACTTACAGCACTTGGCCCAGTTTTCACATTTTGTACCACTTATTAAATACAAATAAAATTACCAGGATTAAAAGATAAATATGCCATCATGTTTATTGTATCATTGTTATTAATACTAAAGATTTGGAATTATAGAATTTTTCTCAAAATTAGAAAGATTAAATGGTACATCCATTGAAACCTTGGTATAAATATAATATTGATTATTATGTAACTATTAATGCAAATAAGATTGATATATGTGTTCCTTTGGAAGAAAATCTAAAATATATATTTTAGCAAAAGCGAATTATACAATATGCATGTATTGTGTGTGTACATGGATGTATGTATAGCAGTTTCACTTTCATAAACATGAACATAATCTTTGCAAATGTTTTATATGCAAAATTAACTTCGTGAAAATTATTGCCAAACTGCTGTTGGTGCTTATATTTGAAATTGGAAGAAGAAAAGAAGTTTATTAATTTATTTTCCACACATCTACTTATTTTCAAATGTTACAATGATTAATTTTTTGTAAGAGCACTGAGAAACCAACAAGCACTTCTAGTTTTTAATTTTACAGTAAAAAGTAATTTCATTGGTATGCTTACAACAATATTGTGAGTATTAATATATGTTTTTACTTATAAAAAATTGAGTTTCATAAAGGTTAAATGACATATATAATGACACATATCAGAAAGTGCTAGTGCCACGACTCAAAAACTATTCTATTTGTGGTTCCAATTCATATACTTTCCAATTTATCTCATTATTTCTTGACTGTGTGTATGTAAATGTGTGTGTAAATGTTGAATTTTTCAGATGAATAAATTTGTGTAACAAATTGGATATAGATTAATTCAGTTCATGTTTTTTGATGTGCAGACCAAGGAATTGAGTAAAAGCCATATATCTCAGAGAATCACAAAGGTGAGAAAAATCGTACCAGTTTCACAACTTTTTTTTTTTTTTTTTTTTTTTTTTGTAGAGAAAACCTGGGACCAAGTAGGGATGATTTTTCAGCTTACTGTAGTAAAAAACAAGAGCTTTGCATTCAGGCAGTAGCAGCATCTGTTTCCAACTGAGTCTTTTACTAATAGTGGCATGCACTGCTAAATATCCAAACGCCACTATCAACCACTCAAGACAAAACACCAAAGATTTATCCTCAATTTCTTCCTTCCTTAAAACTTTACATCAAATCCATAATTAAGTCTGCTAAACTTAGTTTCAGAATATTCCCAGTCAGACTATATTCTGCTCTCAATATCCACTGTAAATCCAAGCCACCATTATATTTTGCTTCATCTACTGCAATAGCTTCCCTAAAATTAACACTTTCTTACTTTTGCCTTCTTATATTTATTCTCTGTAATATTCCCTTTTAAAAATATATATCTTATATTAAGTCATTCTTCTTAAGGGATGTTTGTGGAGGATATGTCGCAGAAAGAAACTACTCGCTTTACCAGCATCCAAGATGAGGCTCATGTCCAGTGCTCTAGCCTCATATCTCAGGCCCACCCCTTATTCCAGAGTAAATAGTATTTTATTCAAGTTGCCCATATTTTCAAGTTCTGTCTTGGTTCAGAGCTTTCTCCCTTTGCTTTTTCCCATACTGTTTTCTGTTAGTCTTCTCAGAGCTGACACTTTCTTCTTTTCAGGTCTTAGATTACGCTTTATTTTCTCACAGCTCTGGACATCAGAATTGTGAAATGGGTTCAGCAAACTATAATCAAAGTGTAGGCATGGCTGCATTTCTTCTAGAGTCTCTACGAGAGAGTCCATTCCCTTTTTTTTTTTTCTAGCATCTAGAAGTCATACTGCCCACCACATTCTTGAACACTGACCTTATTGCCTTCTCCAAGTCTTACTAAAAACATCTACTTTTGAAATTTCTCAGATATTGAATTATCTCTGCTGATACAGCCTTTTTATCTTTTCTTTTAAGTCCTTGAACACAATTTTAAGAAATGTTTTAAGGCCCTTGTGTGTGAATTCCAACATTTGGGTCATGCAAGAGTCTGATTTCTTATTTATCTCTCCTATGTCAATATGCTCCTGTTTCTTTATACATGTAATAACATTTTTCTGTGAACTGCAGTTGCATGTTTAGATAAGGGATTTGTTTTCTTTCTCTGAAGAAGGTTGGCATTTGCTCTATCAGAAATTGTTGGCTAGTGATATTGATGTTGTAGAACCTTTGTCTTATTCTTTACTGGGATGAGACTGTTTGGATTTTATCCTTATTCTCATTGTGAACTCTTTATTCTTAGCATCCAGATTTTCTTCCTAAAGTGTATCCTTTCTGCAATTTCAATAGGAAGCCAAAGGTTTTTGTCTACTCTCTCTATCTTAGTAGGACTCAAACTCCACTACCCTGACTAGAACTACCAGTAGTTTGAGTTTTCTAACAGGTGTTGCCTCTCACAAGAGGGCATTAGCTGTGGGCGTCTGCCTGCAGACCCTGGCCCAAACAACAGATGAATAAAATGTACACTGACACACAGGTATTCTGTTTTGCTAGTCCTGCTGTGTCTGACTGCCTGCACACCAAGACAGGTTTGTCACTGCAGCAGACCCTGAGCAGCTAGCACTCCAGGCATTTATTTAGTATACAATTACCAACAGAAGCTTTGAGTAATTACACTTGAGGATAATGAACTTGGTTAAGACAGTAGTTCTATGAATGATTAAAGCTCAGGTACTGTAGTCTAAGTGAATACCATTAGGGGACAATATCCTTGGTCCACCTCCCCCTGAGAGGGCCATTTGGTACAAAGGTTAGTTAATGGAGGTAGGATAAACAGACTTAACTGGGGAAGCCTCAATTGTCCCTTGTATTTACTCTATGACATAATGTTCCAAGGTAAGAACTAGCTGCCTTCAATCTGTTCAATTATTACAAGCTGGGTAACCTTTTGGCCTTACGAAAGGTTTGTGACTATTCCCTAGAACTTCCCCTAATATTTCCCTTTACTATTTCTGCCACCATCCTGAGTGAATCCCAACATTTCCCCATTTTTGTTTTCTTTATTAGGGTTTTTTGATTGCAGAGCACAGATATGTGCAGCCACAGGATTTTCAGATGAGGCAGTCACTGCTCTTATTTAGACTTTGCATCCTAGGATTAGCAAATAACATAAGACAAACATGAGCATAATTAGCAAAAATCTTTTCCAGTCAAAGAGTATCCCCCAGGAGTTAGGGTCCAAGTAGGAGAGATGATCTTGTACTCCCTTCCACATGGCTGTTGGGTGTGCAGATCTGTGGTGTGAACAGATTTTAAAATTTTAGTTTTAACTTGCTTCATGTCTGCAGTTAAACTGTTATAAAAGGTTCCCCAGAGGTGTTGTTTCACCTCACCCTAGCTATACATTAATTGGTTCCATGGTAGAGAAGTGACACAGGTATGTTTATGTTGCCATTCACATTTTCACTGTTGACAGAATGCTAGTGCATCTTGTGGCTCTCCCGCATACTCTTTCCTTACTGTAGGAGAAGTTCATCACATATATTTTTGGCCAGATTATCTACAAAAGCAGTTGTTTGTACTGATTCAGTAATAGATACAACAGCAATGCTAACAGTTGCCATAATGACTATGGCTGAGCCTGTAAAGACCATAAGTGTAAATGTGAATCTTTTGTGTCTGACCTGGGACAGGGCACTTTCTAAGGTGGCAAGGGCAGAAGAATCTTGCCAATTGCATGTCAAATTGGCTGGTAGAAGTGCCTCAGATTGTCTCCTTAATACCACGACACTGGAAGTTTTTAAACTAGACATATCATGACCAGTGATACATGAGGCAAACCAAGCCTGTCCCTGCACCCGGGTCACAAATGTGGCATTTCCAGGTGTAATGGAAATGTTAGTTCCTGTAAGGAAAACATATGGATGGGTAGTGCAAACCAGGCACTGATCAGTGTGAGTATGAATAAAGGCTATAGTGTAGTTGAGCCTGGAATTATGATATCTCCCATAGCAGGTGTTAAGAGAGGTGCTAAGATGTCCCAGGTGCCATAAGGTGCCTTGGGTTGGTATGGGGTTTACTCAGGGTCTGGGGATATCCCATCCCTCCATCGGCCCAAATTACAGGGGAACGAGACATGGCTATAAAATATTGTGGTTAATGCTACGATGCAGAAAGACATTTGTAAGCGTGCCCTGCAGTTGGCCATGGAGACTCCACTCTAAGATGTTTTAATTGCCCAACCAGAGACTATGAGACTTCCCAGCTAAAGTGAAATCCATTATTTTCTTGGCTCTGTTCTTTAGTACGGAAAGGAATATTTGGGAAAGCAGCATGGATTGCATTGCCCAGTTTGAGGTTATCTGTAGCTAAAACTGTTAAGGCACTTTTTTTGCCATGATGTACCCATACTTGTCTTGGAGCAGTTACACAGTAAGGGTTAGAGCCTTTATAACTTAGAAGCGGTGAGAGGATAGTGTAGTGCTATATAGTGTTATCTGGCACCTTAGGGAAATGTGTGTTATTATTGAGGGACCCTACTTGGTGTAAATCTATCCGTCCTAGCCAAGCAGTCATGTTGTTACAGAGTGGGAAGGGAGTTATCTGCCCAGGTGACAGGGTGAAAGAAAAGTGGGCCATTTTAGGCTCATATTTAGGGCTCATATTTTAATGAGCCCAATAGAGTGTAGCAGGTACAGTTTGCAGGCAAAGCGAGAGTATAAAAATGATCAATACCCTATGTGAGTCGCATTGTACAATAGATAGCATAGAAAGAAACAAAATAACTGGAGTAAATGGTGCCTGTGTCTGGAGCAGGATTTGTTCAGCCTCCTCTGGAACTGTGGGTCTTACTGGGTTAACTCTTTCAATTCCGGTACTAGATTGGACCCTAGCCATGCCATGTTATGGTTTGATGCCTCGTGCTGGAATCCAAAGAGGACTTGAGGGGGTGTAAACACAAGCCTACCCTCTCCCCCATGTTAATAATTCATTAAGACCACACTGTGTCCAGAATTGGTGGGTTCTTGGTCTCACTGACTTCAAGAATGAAGCCACGGACCCTCGCGGTGAGTGTTGCAGCTCTTAAGGTGGCGCGTCTGGAGTCTGTCCCTTCTGATGTTCAGATGTGTTCGGAGTTTCTTCCTTCTGGTGGGTTCGTGATCTTGCTGGATCAGGCGTGAAGCTGCAGACCTTCACGGTGAGTGTTACAGCTCTTAAGGTAGCGCGTCTGGAGTTGTTGGTTCCTCCCGGTGGGCTCGTGGTCTTGCCAGGCTCAGGAGTGAAGCTGTAGATCTTCGCAGTGAGTGTTACAGCTCATAAAAGCAGCGTGGACACAAAGAGTGAGCAGTAACAAGATTTATTGCAAAGAGCGAAAGAACAAAGCTTCCACAGTGTGGAAGGGGACCCGAGCAGGTTGCCAATGCTGGCTCCGGAGGCAGCCTGCTTTTATTCTCTTATCTGGCCCCACCCACATCCTGCTGATTGGTAGAGCCGAGTGGCCTGTTTTGTCAGGGTGCTGATTGGTGCCTTTACAATCCCTGAGCTAGATACAAAGGTTCTCCACGTCCCCATCAGATTAGTTAGATACAGAGTTTTGTCACACAGGTTCTCCAAGGCCCCACCAGAGCAGCTAGATACAGAGTGTTGACTGGTGCACTCACAAACCTTGAGCTAAACACAGGGTGCTGACTGGTGTATTTACAATCCTAGAGCTAGATACAGAGTGCCGATTGGTGTATTTACAATCCCTGAGCTAGACATAAAGGTTCTCCACGTCCTCACCAGAGCAGCTAGATACAGAGTGTTGATTGGTGCACTCACAAACCTTGAGCTAAACACAGGGTGCTGATTGGTGTATTTACAATCCCTGAGCTAGATATAAAGGCTCTCCATGTCCCCACCAGACTCAGGAGCCCAGCTGGCTTCACCTAGTGGATCCCACACCGGGGCTGCAGGTGGAGCTGCCTGCCAGTCCTGCGCCGTGCGCTCACATTCCTCAGCCCTTGGGTGGTCGATGGGACTGGGTGCCGTGGAGCAGGGGGTGGTGCTCATCGGGGAGGCTCGGGCCGCACAGGAGCCCATGGAGTGGGTGGGAGGCTCAGGCATGGCGGGCTGCAGGTCCCGAGCCCTGCCCCATGGGAAGGCAGGTAAGGCCCGGCGAGAAATCAAGCGCAGTGCCGGTGAGCCAGCCCGGCTGGGGCACTCAGTACACCCTCCGCAGCCACTGGCTCGGGTGCTAAGTCCCCCATTGCCTGGGGCCAGCAGGGCTGGCCGGCTGCTCCGAGTGTGGGGCCCACCAAGCCCACGCCCACCCGGAACTCCAGCTGGCTCACAAGCACGGCACACAGCCCCGGTTCCCGCTCGTGCGTCTCCCTCCACACCTCCCTGCAAGCTGAGGTAGTGGGCTCCGGCCTTGGCCAGCCTGGAAAGGGACTCCCACAGTGAAGTGGGGGACTGAAGGGCTCCTCAAATGCCACCAAAGTGGGAGCCCAGGCAGGGGAGGTGCCGAGAGCAAGCGAGGGCTCTGAGGACTGCCAGCACGCTCTCACCTCTCAACACCATTCATTACTGTTTACATCTTTCCATAAAACTGCAGGTTTTATGCCTTGAGAGGTTTTAGCAAAGTGCTTTTCTACAACTGATTGAAATTTGTCATCTGAATTTAAAACATTAAGGGTAAATAAGGCCTGTGCCAGTAGTGTTGCAGCGTGCTTACTTATATTACCCTGTCTCTGTTATTAGTGCACATTTTTAAGGGTGAAGTGTCTGTGTTCTACTATTGCCTATCCTTGGGGGTTATATGGGATGCCTGTGGAATGTTGGAGTTTCCACCTGTGACAAAATTGTTGAAATCGTGAGCTGGTATAAGCTGGACCATTAAAAGTGTTCATTTTTGTGGGTCATCCCATAAATGCAAAAGTTAAAAGAAGATGTTTAATGACATATTGAGTAGGCTCTCCAGGCAAAGCATGTGCACTGATTAAATGACTGTTGGTATCAATGGATATATGCACATATCTTAGTTTCCCAAATTCAGGGATGTCTGTAACATCTGTTTGCCACAACTGATTAGGTTCGAATCCTGTAGGGTTCACACCTGTAGAAGGAGGGGGCGTGCCTGTGCGCTGGAAATCTGGGCATTGTAGGATAATTTGTTTAGCTAGCCTCTGGGTAAGTTGAAAATGGTTTAGATAAATTTCTCCAATTTTGGTGGAAAAATTGATGTGATTGGGTGGCTTGGTCTAGCAGTGATGTCATAACCTGAAGGTCTGCTTGTTCGTTGCCATAAGCCAATGGGCCAGGGAGTGGGCTGTGGGCTCGAATGTGTGTAGTAAAAATAGGATGTGAACATTAGTCTAGAATTGTTTAAGTCAGAGAAAAAGAGTAAACAGAGCTGGCTCCAGAGTGGACTTAATCAGTGCTGTTTCAAAGTTTTGTAACAAATAAACAGAGTATGCAGAATCACCTAACTATATTTATGGGCTGAGTGGAAAAAGTTTCTAAGGCCAACCAAACTCAGAGCCCCAGTTGCAGCTCTCTGCATGCTAGTAAACCCAGTTCAAGTGATTGAATAGTGTGGTCTCCTCCAGACTGCCACTTTTCCATGTTTAGCAGACCCCTCAGTAAACAGTGTTAAAGGATTAGGCATGGGGGTGTAAATTATTTTTATAGGCATTATTATCAGAGTGTGAGATAAGAAATGAAGGACTTCATCAGTAGGGAGGATGTGCTCTATTTGCCCTGTGTAATCAGAGAAAGCTATTTGCAGGTCTATTGCCAAAGGTAATACTGCTTCAAATTGCTTTTTACTTAAAGGAATCCTGATGACATCAGGGTCATAACCTAGTAACTGACTGCAATGTTTGCAACCTGAATAGATGACTTTAGTAATTAAGTGAATATAGAGAGACAGTGTTTTACTTCCAGTATGTGAACAAAAAACCCATTTTAGGAAATGTAGCCCAGGGGTCATTTGTCCTAGTAACCCTGTAGGGGAGTGTTTGTTGGGAAATACAAACAACTGAATTGAATATCATAGATCAATATGATCTAGCTGCCTCTGAGAGATGGCTAGCTCCATTTCCTCAATTTCTCTTGTTGCTGCAGGGATTAAATATCTGGAAGAATCAAGAGCTGGATTGCCTTTTAAGATAGAAAAAAGGTTTTGTAGTTTATTAGTAAGAATTCCTAAAATGGGATGGAGCCAGGTAATATCACCCAGTAATTTCTGATAATTACTTAATGTGTGTAATTTGCTAGTATTTAGTTTAACCTTTTGAGGTCTTACTGACTGGGAGGTTAACAGATATCCAATTTATTTCCAAGGAGAGAGCATTGGACATTTGTACTTTTCCAGGTGCAATGACTAAACTTCTCAGCTGTGCATTCTTTATGACAGAAGTAAACAAATTTAAAAGTGTTGGCCCATTTGGAGCTACTAGTAGAATATCATCCATAGGATGAATAATTTTATAGTCAGGAAATTCTTTTCTACTAGAGAGCAAAGATTGATTTACATGAAACTGACACATGGTAGGACTATTTAGCATCCTTTGAGGAAGCATTTTCTAATAAAATTGACAAGCTGGATTTTCATTATTGATAGCTGGTTTTGTAAATGGAAATTTTTCTCTCTCCTGTTCTGTTTTACTGGCTTATTGGACACAGGGGTGGACATCGGATAAATGGTATAGAAGCAATCTTTTAAGTCAATAACAATTATAGGTCAATCTTGAGGGATTGCTGCTGGGGAGGGGAGGCCCTTTGAAGGAGTCCCAGGGGCTGTAAATTAGCATTAATAGCACATCAGTCATGTAAAAGCCTCCATTTCACAGACTTTTTGGCAATGATGAAAATAGGCAAATTCCTGGGGCTGGTAGAATGTTCAAGATGTCCAGCCTTTAACTGCTCCTCAACTAACACATGAATCCTCTGTAGTTTCTCTACCTTCAGAGGCCACTCTTCTAAGCAGACCGGATCTTGAGAGAGCCAAGTCAGAGGTAGCGGAGGAATAACCACAGTGGTCATTGTTAGAAAGGGGTTTGCAGTGTGCCCCGCCCCCCAACAATTGCGCTAATAATTCCCATCCCCAGAGATTAACAGGGATAGGTGTAGTGCCTAACCTTGTTTTTACTCTAATGCGTTACTTTTAAATTTTCCTTGCTTGTCTCCTTAGTTACCCAGCCTTGTTTTTCCCATACAAGTAAGACTTCCTCTTGTCTGGGAAAGCCAGACAAACTCCATGTGGCTTCCTGATTTACCAGACATTAAGGGGTCCTTACCCAACCCCTTCCTCAAGGAGTTAACCTGTGTAAGCAGATCCTCAGCATATGGCAGGAGCCCAATTAACTGATAAGGTACTGAAACAAACAATGTAAGAAGTTCCCAGGATTTTACTCAAAGAAATAACAACATAAAGCCTTGAGACCATGCCTGGCATAACATCTATATCTAACTCTAATGAAGGATTTAGAGCCCCACACCTGGTTACACTGCTTTTTTTGTAACCATTTGTCTTTTAAATTGTTTGTCTCTCTGTAACCATTTGTTTCTTTGATTCTTGCATGTTTTTACTTCTGTAGAATTATTGCATTTGAGTTCCCCTCCCCTTCCTAAACCAAAGTATAAAAGTTAATCAAGCCCATTCCTCGGGGCTGAGAGAATTTTGAGCATTAGCCATCTCTTTGGCCGCTGGCTTAAATAATTCATCTCAAAGTGCGGCGTTTTCTCTCACTCATCTGGGTATAACAATGGGCGTGATCAGAGGTTGTATAACTGCCTTTCTTCCTTCTGAATCATAGCATGTTCAGGGGTGTGTGCTCTGTTTGGCTGTGTGTGCTTCCCCGATGCTGACAATTTTCTATTTCTCAGTGATCCAAGTCCAAATTTCTGGCCAGTTCTGATCACTAATGACTGAAATGTCAACCCCTGTGTCCAATAAGCCAGTAAAATTATTATTACCAAGTTTTAAGGTAATCATGGGTCTCCGATCAGTGATTAATTGATTCCAATATATTCCTGTAGCTCCTGTGCTTCCAAAACTTCCCTTTCCCCTTTCCTTCCCATGGGTATTAGGGTCTCACTATGGTAAAGTCTTTCACTAAGCTATTTTTGATCCAGGGGGAAGAATATGCAGACCTTTATATTCCATTATAACCAATATCTGATCTTGGTCATCACTATCAATTACCCCAGAGAGCATATTAATTCCTTTACTGGATAGGCTAGGCTGCCCAAGGACTAATCCTGCTGTTCCTAGAGGCAGCGGGCCACAGATCCCAGTCTCAACCATTTTAGGGCTTTCTCCCTCTTTTAGCTCTAATTTGGCAGGGCAGAGAAAGTCCAGTCATGCACTCCCAGTAGTGGCTGCTCTAAGAGAGAGAACTGTGGGCTTTCCAGCTGACCAAGGAAAGCTGTCGGCATTGTCCCAGTTGGGATCAGGGCTTGGGGCTGGCCCCTCATGAAGTTTCTCGACTGATTTCCTATGAGATTGCCATTTTTATCAAATTTAGACCTGCATTGATTTGCCTAATGTTTCCATTTCCTACATTCGGAACATATAGAAGAGGGTTCTTTCCCTGAGTTAGCTCGGTTATCACTAGGGGGGCATTGCCTCTTCACATGACCTTTCACTCCACATAGAAAACAATTTTGGTGTCTCTCCCTTTTCACTTTCGGAGGGCTTAATGACATAGCTCATATTCTGGCCTTGTTTGTCTCAGTTCCTACCAGGTGAGGCACTTATATGAGCTCCTGGATGGTGCTTGCCTTTCCTTTGATTGCCTGCCATTGCCTGCTGGCAATCCACATTAGCGTTTTCAAAAGCCAGTTGCAGCAATAAGATAGGAGTGGCCTGGGTGTGACTAATTTGCCTCTTAATTGCCTGAGTTAACGGATCCATAAACTCAACAAATGGCTCCTAAGTCCCTTGTCAAACATTTACAAAAGACCTCTGCTGAACTCTGGTCTTGGGAATTTGGTCCCAAGCTCTGAGAGCACACAGACACTTCAGCAAAGGCCTGGGGATCAAAATTTAGTTGTTTTTATACATCAGCATGAGGACACCTCCCTTGGAGCTTATCAGCTATTATATTTTGCCCGGCTGCCTGATTCTGGTTGGCTTGTTGTTTGCACAAGCCGTCCATATCCTGCCTTCCAGAGGAGGAATGGGCTAGGCTCCAGAGTTGCTTTAGCTAGCATTGACCAGTCCCATGGGCCCACACAGAATTGGTCTGCTAAGGCCCCAATCATTCCTTTTGTAAATGGTCTAGTGGCTCCATTTTCTTTAATGCTTTTTCTTCATTGTTTATAAGAGTGAAAGGAAATGGGTTCATGTACTTGATTACCATGTTGGTCTTGCATTACTGGACAGGCTAAGAGCTCTCCTTCTAATGCCACTTGTTTAAGACAAGGTCCCATAGCTGAAGTATGTTTCTTGCCTTTTTTTCTACTTACAGTAAGACGGGGCTCAGGCAAACCCTCCATTTACTCTTTGTTATTTTGGCCCGGTGATAGTGGGACTGAGGGAAAAGGAGGTGATAAGGCAGGTGATGTTTCTCCCTCCTTCTCATTTTTAGGCTCTTCTGTGTATAATGGGACTAAACCATCCTTAGTAAAGCCCGCCATGTTAAAGCTGATGCTGGGACCTGACGACCCTGTGCATAACATTGTTTAAGATTTCTCCCTACTTGTTCCCAGAGTTCTACGTCTAGCATTCCTTCTTCTGGGAACCATGGATTATATGACCAAAGTTTATATTAATTTCATTAATTGAACCTGGGAAACTGAAGCCCCGCTAGCCGTAAGCAACTGTTTTAATACTTTTATATACTGTTTCTGAGGTGCTGATAACTGTTGTCTTATAATGAAAACTCAGCTTGAACCAACTTCCCCCAGAGCTTTGTGACCTCAAGTGCGGACCAATGACTTACTGATTACTCAGTGAGTTAACCATGCGGTTCCTTTCTTCACCTTTTTTTTGGGAGTCCAAGTCTTTCTATTGTGAATAGTGCCACAATAAACATACATGTCTTTATCATAGAATGATTTATAATCCTTTGGTATATGCCCAGTAATGGGGTTGCTGGGTCAAATGATATTTCCAGTTCTAGATCTTTGAGGAATTGCCACACTGTCTTCGACAATGGTTGGACTAATTTACGCTTCCACTGACGGCGTAAAAGCATTCCTATTTTTCCACAAGCTCTCCAGGATCTGTTGTTTCCTGACATTTTAATGATTGCCATTCTAACTGGAGAGAGATGATATCTCATTGTGGATTGATTTGCATTTTTCTAGTGACCAGTGATAATGAGCATTTTTTCATGTATCTGCTGGCTGCATAAATGTCTTCTTTTGAGTAGTGTCTGTTCATATCCTTTGCCCACTTTTTGATGGGGTTATTTGTTTTATTCTTGTACATTGGTGTAAGTTCTTTGTAGATTCTGGATATCGGCCCTTTGTCAGATGAATAGATTGCAAAATTTTCTCCCATTTCGTAGGTTGGCTGTTCACTCCGATGACAGTTTCTTTGGCTGTGCAGTAGCTCTTTAGTTTAATTAGATCCCGTTTGTCAATTCTGTCTTTTGTTGCTGTTGCTTTCAGTGTTTTGGACATGAATTCTTTGCCCATGCCTTTGTCCTGAATAGCATTGACCAGGTTTTCTTCTAGGATTTTAAAGGTCCTAGTTGTAACATTTAAGTCTTTGATCTATCTTGAGTGGACTTTTGTAAGTGGTGCAAGGAAGAAGTCCAGTTTCAGTTTTCTGCATATGGCTAGCCAGTTTTCCCAAACCATTTTTGTACTTCTTAAGAGTATATTTGAAAATTATTCCTCATGATTAAGATTTATGTCTTTTAGAAGGAGAAGCAAGCTAGTAGCATTTTAGATATAATATACACTGAGCTGTTTTCTTTTTTCACAGGAAGTGTCTTTATTCAAAATTTCCACTAGTTTTAAAATTGATCAATGTAAACAAATTATAATTAAAAAAACTTTTCCTACAATTACAAAGTAGTATTTGCTAAACAAATTCTCCTTTAAAATGATTTGCATCAGGTAAACTTAATTTTGTCTAAACTAAAGGCTATAAAAACCTTGGAAGAAAATATTTAGTACCATGTAATTAAGGGAATTAGTATCACATTTTCAGGTACCCAACAATTACTACGTTTTTACAAACATGAAAGTAAAAGAAAACAACTATGACTCTTATTATATCACTACAGTCTGTGATTTTTCTTCCTTTTTCTCATTTATTTATATTCATCATAGGTTTAATTGCATGCCTCTGCATTTCTCTGTATACCTCTGAAAGATTAATATATGGTTCTGCAATTATATATTTATTTTACCTTTGAAAAGGTATACAGCATATCATGATACATTTTCCATTAGTGTTGTACCCAAGCGAGTTAGAGGAATGTCACACTTTGAAATGAATTTAAGGGTCCTTTATTTAGCCGGCAGCCGAGAGGCGGATAACGCTCAGAATTCTCTCGGCCCCGAGGAAGGGGCTTGATTTTCCTTTATACCTTGGTTTAGGAAGGGGAAGGGGGCTCAGTTGCAACAATTCTACAGAAGTAAAAACATGCAAAAAATTAAAAAGACAAATGGTTACAGAGAAATAAACAGTTCCAGGTGCAGGGGCTCTAAATATATTATAAGATGTCAGGTATGGTGGCTCTGCTGAACACAAACTCAAGGCTTTATGGTGTTATCTCTTGAGTGAAATCCTGGGAACTTTGTACATTGCTTGCTTCAGTACCTTGCTTTGTGCATTGCTTGCTTCAGTTAATTGGACTCTTTGATGCGTAGACAATCAGCTTACACAAGTTAACTCCTTGAGGAAAGGGGGTGGGTAAGGAGTCCTTGATATCTTGTAAATGAAGGAGCCAAATGGAGTTCGTCTGGCTTTCATAGCTAAGGGAGAGCATATTCACATGGAAACAAGGCTAGGTGATTAAGGGAGAAAGGGAGAGTCTAAAAACAAGGTTAGTAAAAGCAAGGTTAGTAAAAACAAGTTTAGGTATTGCATTAGTATACCTATCTCAGAATGCACATAACTTTAGAACCTATAAAACTTTTGCATGGGTTAGAAACTAGGCAATGTTAAGCAGTATTTATTTACAAAACATGTCTAATTTATAATGGGAATAGGATGAGAAAAGATGCTTTCTTTTTGGTTTGACAACATTATGGGCTCTGAGGGTTACTCAAAGAAGACAGATTTCATCTTAGAAGTGGGTATTTGCTTACTAGGGTTGAAAGCGTTATGGTGGTGGCATGCTCCCAGATTACCACTTGAGATGCATCGCTGGTTGATCTACAGAGCAGCTTTGATGCGGTTTTACCCAGCCAGATTCCTGCTATCCTGGCTGCAAGGTTTGTTTTCTTTTGCTTGTAGTCAGAGGGGAAGTGATGCTTGATTTTCTACTTGCCTCTGAACTTTAGAGCTTAATTTTGCTCCAGGAAAGAGGAGAATTTCTTAAATCTGAAGTGTTTCACTTAGCTTTATGAAAGTAGGAAAAAATAAAATAAAACAAAATAAAAACAATCCTTGCTGGTTTCTTATTCATATTCCATCTATTAACTGCTGGATTGAAACTCTTTTTAAAAATTTTTTGATGACTTCTGAATCAAAGTAACAATGCAGGCAAAGCTCCCACACCTGGAAACTAAGAAAGGACTTGCACAAAAGAAAGTAAGACAGAAAGAGAAAATATGAAGGTTCTGAGGTTACCATGAAATTGATTCTAAGTTCCTTTGCCTGAGAGTCGAATCCTTTCTACAATTGGTTGGAGTTCCATTCTCCTTTCAGGGCTCAGCTCGTGTTACACTTTCTCTCCAATCTCTTGTAGCTTTTCCTTACATTACTTCATTTTCTCTGGCATGAAGAAACGGTGCAGAGGAAAATACAATATTGAGTAGATTTTGCAGTGAAATATTTTAATTGCAGAATGGTATGGAAAACAATGGATGCTAGGATAAAAATTGTGTGTGTAAGCTTATTGAGAAATTTGAATGAATGTCAGTTTCAGGAGAGTTTAGACTTGAAAGTGTCGTTAAAAGTATGTTTTCATATCATGCTTGTGTTTGACATAAAAATGTGTAATATTTTTTATGTCAGAGAAGGTAGTTTTCATATATTGTGCATCAACCTATGGATCTCCAATTTCCAAATGTGCAGTACATGCTCAACAAACTGTGGAACAGAATGATGAATGAGTAACATTAACCGAACTCTTTAGAAAATTGGCATACTAAAGTTCATACTAAAACATGAATGCATTCTCTTTATTCAAGTAATTAATTTCTAATAATCCCATTCATCTTAGATACAAAACTTAATTAGCTTAGTAATAAAATTACTGGTGATAGCATATTATTTTACTAAATATATGCTTTAGAATGTACTAACAGTTTCTGTCCAAGTTTATCCTTATGGAAACCATAGTAGTAAAAGCATTCTTATGTCCAGCTTTCTTTTTATCAGGTTCTAAAGAGAGGACATATTAATAGTACACACGTAAACAGTAGCTGACTGAATTTTTAAAAGATTAAATAAAGAAGCACTAAGACAAGCATTAAAATTTTATAAACAATTATTGCTTATCCTTCATTAGACAGCAACAACATTGATAAGTTAACAGGCAGCATTTTTACAAGTTCAGAGGGTGTCTGAGTACTCAGTGGGATTTATTATGTGAAACAATACTCACATAAACCTGAAGAAAGTGTACTTATTTTATATACATAAAAGGTAGCAGGTAACCTACTTAGAGATTACTTGAAATTTCTACTTGGATGGGCCCTTTCATCTCTGTGAGAATGTAGAGCAGGTCAAGTTCTCCTGGGAGGCTGTGGTAGTAGTCTTTTGTGCAGATTGTTTTGTGTTTTTAGAATTTTTAGTTTCTCAGGTCGCTGATATGGCTCAGTCATTATAGTTTCTCTGGAGTGGTTGGTCTGGAGCAGACATTCCCAAACTTCCTGGTACCAGGGACTGGTTTCATGGAAGACAATTTTTCCACAGATCATGGGTGGGGAGCTGATGGTTTTGGGATGATTCAAGAACATTACATTTATTCTGTACCGGTATTTCTATTATTACAACACTGCAATATATAATTAAATAATTATATAACTCACCATAATGTAGAATCAGTGGGAGGCCTGAACTTGCTTTCTGTCCCAGGGTGATGGCAGACAGTGACAGATCATCAGGCATTAGATAATCATAAGAGTGCACAATCTAGATCCCTCGCATAGACAGTTCACCACGGGGTATGATAATCTAATGTCACTTCTGATCTGACAGGAGGTGGGGCTAAGGCAGTAATGCAAGCAATGAGGAGTGGCTGTAAATACGGATGAAGCTTTGCTGGCCTGCCAGCCACTCACCTCTTGCTGTGCAGCCAGTTCCTAACAGATCATGCACTGGTACCTGAATGAGTGTTTAGAATCATCAACGTCTTTAAAGTGGTTAGCATATCCAGAACAAACAGTGTGTCCAGGTAAGAAAGGCCTACCTATGGGGAGTGATTAGTCACTCCTGTAGAGTCAGTCTATTAAGGCTGATTGACATATCTTACAGTTTTTATCAAGACAGTGCTTGGTGAATAAATATGCAATAAATGATAACCATATATTCAAAATTAGTGTTTCCTGCATGTTTCAGCTGGGTTTGTTTTTAGGTGATCATATTGTTTCTTCATGGACTAGTCATAAGAATACTCAGTTGAATGCTCAGTTGAACCTTGGAGGAAACATGCATCACTGTTTATACAGCAAAAATAACTGAAGTAAATTGTTTGTTTAGAGTCTCCTGGCTCTGCTAAAGTCACCAGAATAATCACCGCTTAAAAGTTACCAAACACTGCATGTTCTCACTCATAGGTGGGAATTGAACAATGAGAACACATGGAAACAGGAAGCGGAACATCACACACCAGGGCCTGTTGTGGGGTGGGGGGAGGGGGGAGGGATAGCATTAGGAGACACACGTAATGTTAAATGATGAGTTAATGGGTGCAGCACGCCAACATGGCACATGTATACATATGTAACTAACCTGCACGTTGTGCACATGTACCCTAATACTTAAAGTATAATAAAAAAAGAAAAGTTTATCATAGATAGTACATATTTGAATCTATGCATATTTATGAACTATGAAAATGACTGCCATGTTCATAACAACGGTAATATAAAACAGTTTATGGGCACTCACTGGAAATCAAATGTCAAAGACTCAGAGACTAAGTCATTTAGAAAAGAAAATAAATTCATTTGCAGAAAATTATTAATTGGAGTACAGGTTTTAACAGAACTTGCTGTAAAATTAAAAAAAAATGACTAGATATTTAATTTATCAAAGCTGTAATGTTCATGATGGACAATTAATAACTTCTTTGAATTATTGTCAAATTAGATGACATTCTCCCATTTTTATATATCAACATTTCAAAGGCCAAGATAAAATTATTTTTGTTAGGGAGTCAGTAACTTACAGAAAAGCTCAAGATTTGATTTAATTTTTGGAACCAGACAGAATGAGTCTGTTTTTCTTGTTGTTGTTGTTGTCATTGTGGTTTACCTTAGGGAAAATGAAGCATTTAAAAATGTTTTCCTTGTGTGGAATATGATGTAAACCCTCATTCCTTTAATGGAGCAGGGCAAGGTGATACAGTATTTCCTTATAGACACTGTGCAAGGCACTCTATTCACTTATCTCTAACAACAAGCCCATGATGATCACAGGGCACTGCTTACTCACTGAATTTTACAGTTACACTAGAGGTGGAGTTAAACCTGCATTGGTAATACATTAGGCTTAGTAAATAATTTAGTGAGCCCCTTGAGAATGATCTAAGATATGAGCACCTAATTGTACCAAATGTATGGTCAATATTATTTCCTGTTAGAGACTCATGATGAGATTACAGAGAAATTAGAAACTAATTAAACATATAGAACCAAAGTTTTCATTCCCTAGTTCAAGCTCATCAGTACATTTTACTTTCTTTCAGATGCAGACATAATTTATTGTTTTTGAAGAATCTCTATCTCTTTATCTCTCTCTGTTTCTCTCTCTCTGTTTCCCTCTGTTTCTTGGTTTCCCTCTCTCTGTTTCTCTATTTGCTTCTCTCTGTATGTTTCTCTCTCTCACTCTCTCTCTCTCTCCTGCTTTATATTATATGCTAGCAAAGGATTAGGCAAGGATAGATGTTCTCTAAAGACAGATATTGCCTGTTTGAAAAGCTAAGGACAGGCCAACCAAAAAATAAAGAAACTAACACTGATTTTTTTAAAAAGCCATACGTAGCGTCAGTGATGAGGACCTCTCATTTTTGTTATTACTGCTGTTTCATTCAAGAAACTGAAAACTAGGACAAGATTTGTTCCCACATACACAGGTAAGAGCAGCTCAGCCACAATAAAGAGATGTCTCACTGATTTGAGTGAAAAATGCAGGACCCCATTTACATGGAAATATAGTATTTTAAAATAAAAAAAGCTGAAGTTTTAAGCATTCCAATTCACAATGTAAATTTTGTCTTTTTTATGTAAAATGAGATAATGTAAGTAAGACACTTCTGTTGTAATTGTTATTGCTATTGAGGTTATCATCCCTGTTCTTGTTAATATTACTTACTTTTAATTTTCTGTTTTAATTGTTATTGCTACTGAGGTTATCATCACTGTTCTTGTTAATATTACTTACTTTGAATTTTCCTGTATAGGCCTTAATCTAACACTTTCTGTACCAATGCTTGTTTGGCAAAACTATTTTTTTAGGTAAAGAGTATACAATTTAGTGTCTCAATAATGTTGCATAATTACCCATACCAAAACTTGGTGGTATTTTATAGTAAGCATGTATTTTTGCCTTTGTAACTGCAGAAAAAGAGGGATTTTTTACTCTTCTAAGCTTAGTTGGAATTGGTTTTGTCTCAGTCGATTCTAATGTGTTCTCTTTAAACCTACAGCTAAGTTATTTTCTTCTTGTAAAGAAAAGCAGGAAAGCAAGACGGTAAGTTCAATTGCCAAACACATTTCAAGACCTTCCCTGTTTTTCATGTCTGGGCATCCCATTAACCCCTAACAGGAAGCAAAGGAACGGGAAACACAGTTCTGCCATGGAAATTATGAATATGTGCTAAGCAACAGGACTATTAATTTTAAATAATAAGCTGTTAGGTGGTTTTTATTCCATGAACAATTAGATTGCAAGTGACTTGTACATGTTACCTTTCTACTAGAAATCCATACCCAGAAAGCTTTATCCATCACTCCTGATTTTAGAGGTGTTCAGTTGTCAGATTTTTTTCTCACTTCCACTGGCTGCATTGCTCCACTCTTCTAACCATCCTCCTATTCATTTTAAAGTCAACGTGAATTATGTCTTGCTTGTCAGAGTTTATTAATGTTGGATCCTGAAATTATAAAGATTGTTATGTATCTTTCCAATTCTTACGGTATTATTTTTATGGGAAAATGTATACCCTTTTGAAAATAACTAATTTGAAATAATTTTGTAACATAATCCATTTTACAATAAGAAATCTCCTCTCTCAAACACACACACACACACACACACACACACACACACACACACACACAGTCTCCATGGCAAATTTATTATAATTCAAATAAACATGAAATATTAAATATTTAAATGTTAAATATTTAATTTAATATAATATAAATATGTTTATATCATATAATGAAGGGATTTTTTTGTTAAATACAGGGTAAGTTGATATGTTTTTTCTTTTTGTCACAAAATTGCCAAACACATGTGTCAAAGTATTAATACACAGTATCATATGTATGACATTCCATCTGACACATTTTGACATTAATTCATCTTTTGATCCAAAAATTTCTTCCTATTTTAATAAAGATACACATTTGAATTTTATCCGTTCTGCACCTTTTTAAGGCTCCCTTTAATAATGAACTTCAAAATTAAACTTTTATATTTAATATTATTGTTGGTATAGTCTCATTTTTATAAATATTTGTCCTGTTCTTTAAATGATGATGTATGATACATAGGCAAAAGGATATCCTGGAGCTTTTATATTTTATTTTATATATATTTTTGAGACAGAGTCTCACTGCCTCACCCAGGCAGGAGTGCAGTGGTGTGATCCTGCCTCACTGCAATCTCCAACTTTGGGTTCAAGTGATTCTTCTGTCTCAGCCTCCTGAGTAGCTGGACCAAAGGCATTCACCACCATGCCTGGCTAATTTTTTATTTGTAGTAGAGATGGGTGTTCTGCCATATAACCCAGGCTGGTCTTGAACTGCTGACCTCAAGTGATTCACCCGACTTAGCCTCACAAAGTGCTGGGATTACAGATGGAAGCCATCGCACCTGACATTTTGCTAATTTTATTTCGATCTCGTGGATAGTTGCTTGTAGTGAAAGAGCCAAGAATTAATCAACACATCATAGATACACACAACTAAATTTCCGAGAGGAATATATTGCCCAGATCAAGTAAGTTTCCATGGAAAATTATTAACAAAGACCTCATTCAAGAGGATTGCAGAAAGTGAGCTATGCTCAGCGGGGTTGGTATCATAATGTGGTACAAAGAAAGTGAATAAAATTATATGATTAATTTTTTTTTTGCGGTTGCAGGTCAGCATCCATTGCTTATACCACGTACAGTGCCCCACTCAAACTTGAATGGCAGTGAGGCAGTCAGGATTTGGAGGAAGGCCCAGCAAGGACAATCAGGGCCCAAGGATAGAATGCTGGATTTGCCTGTGGTGCTTTGTGATCTTTCACAAAGTAACTGCGAAATGATGAGTGTAGACAGCATATCTTCTGTCATAAATTAGACATTTCAACCAATATTATTACCTTAAATATATCTGTTCTTACTCTAAATAGTTAAATCCACTGTATTTCAAGATTTAAAGTTGAATCCAAAGACTCTTTAATGTTACAAAGAAGTATGAAGTTACCTTAAGTTAAAATTGTTCAGTGGACATTGAAATAACTACGGCTGTCAACAGTGGCTGACGCCTGTAATCTCAACACTTTGGGAGACCGAGGCTGGTGGATCATGAGGTCAGGAGATCGAGGCCATCTTGGCTATGGTGAAACCCCATCTCGACTAAAAATACAAAAAATTAGCCGGGCATGGTGGCAGGCACCTGTAGTCCCAGCTACTGAGGAGGCTGGAGCAGAGAATGGCATGAACCTGGGAGGTGCAGCTTGCAGTGAGTTGAGATCATGCCACTACACTGTAGCCTGGGCACACAGCATGAGACTCTGTCTCAAAAAAAGAAAAAAAGAAAAAGAAAGAAAAAAGAAAGAACTACAAACACCTCCCAAAATTATTCTTCATGTTGACATAAATAATGTTCTATCAGGAGTATATTTTAATATGTGCTTCAATAATGATCTCTCTCCATTAGAAGCCTCTAGGAGAGAAGGAATCATTGAGTTTCAATCACACAACTATTACCAGAGACAGACTTACAGTTGCTTTGAAAAACGTGCTCTTTTACAGTTTTCATTGGAGGAAATGAATATCTGACAATAGAGAACAAATTTTGTAATTCCTAAATACCTGACTAGTAGTATCATTTGTATATATATTTATTTTCATTTATCAGGAATTATTCTTGCACCTACCTTAACTGTAATTACCAACTCAGCAACGTAAAATCACACTGTACCTAAAAATACAAACAGTATCCTACTGAAGTTAAACATGCTATCATGCTGAGGTTGGGTTGCCGTCTTTTCCTCTGAAACCACAAAGAGGTTCTGCATGTTACTGCCTTCAACATATGCACTTGCTAGTTTCTGTTTCCATTGTTAAAAATAGACTCCTTTGACAATCATTTTTAAATACTTTCCATCCTACAAAGCTTATTAGCTTTACTTTACACAACCATTCAGCACATATTGCTACTAAATAGTTGATTTGTCATCAAATAATGAAACCTGTAATTTGTAGGAAGAACGGAAACCTAGGCTCCAGGAATCCCAAAGTAGAAATCCTCCTAGGAGTTATAGTAATTTGAAACTCTGCCATAGATTATTAGTGATGAAGTGATCCATAAAACTTTGTGAGAGGTACTGCGTCCGTGACATTGTGTCTAGCAAGAATAAGGGATACTCAAGATACATACTAGTTTTCACTTATTTCACATTTATACCCATGAATCTGTGACACAACTCTTCAAAATGTTGTGGATCAGCTACCCACAAGACAGGGAGAATAAGATACGACTGTACACTGTGTTCCAGACATTAAGAATTTAATCCTCAAACTCACCCAAATGAATACAGTTGGAATAATGGCTACCCACTTCTGGGTAAAATAAAATGCATTGTAAACCTTAACTTTTTCGTTAAAATGTAAGTATAGTATTAACCGTCATTGTTCATGCTATCTTTTAACCTCATTGCAGTGAAGAGAATAGTGGATGATATGCAGACCATCACTCTCCTGCCTTTTCAGTAAAATTATAAAGGATGATTTATTGAATGTTCTTGGAGAAGCAAATTAATTTTCACAACTTTTCCAGGTTTCTCATTACCAAGTGATCACTTCTTGTAAAGAAATAGAAGACAGTTCTGCTGAATTAAAACATGATGTATCAATTGGTCTGAAATTTCTGTCTTCTGTTTTAACTGAGGCCTTATTTGACAATATTCAAGATATGCATTTTCTGTTTTTGTTTTGTTTTGTTTTGTTTTAAGTAGGCACTATGGAGCCAGAAAAAGGTGCCTTGCTGCTGAGTTAAAGTTAACAGAGGCTATACTGGTCTTACAGAAGATCCAGGGGGCAGATTGGCCAGGAAAGAAGGGCCATGGTCAAGAGCCATTAAAGTGTTCCCCTCAGGGTGCCTTAATAACAGCCGAGGCATTAGAGGGATTCCCTCTAGAGTCATCAGTTTTGATTATTTAAGTCTTTTTCCCCCTGTTGACATATAGAGAGACACAAAGCTAGGAAACCAGTAACTCTACTCTAGTTACAGTAGGTGCTGGTGTAAAATCACAAGTCTCCAAAGCCACTTGTAAATACACGACCCATCTGACTAAAGAGTGTTCCTCTTGGGAAATACGCTATATTATCAAAAGGCGGAATTTTGTGAACTGATACTATAGTTTAAACTCAGGTTACCGGTTGTTCTGAAGTTCTTATAATTATAGATTGAAATGATGATGGTTTGTTTTATTCCAACTCATTGAAGGCACAGTTATTCCCTTCTACCCACCTCCCCCCGCCAAAAAAGTGTATTCTAAACACTGAAACAAAGTGATGGTATTCCTTTGGAAAAGTCCATCCCCACATCTCTGCCCATCCAATGCCAAGATTTATTTTGACAAAAATAGTTTCAGTGGTACCTCACTGATGGCAATTGTAATTTTGTAAAGATTTATGAGTTGTAATTTTGTAAAGATTTATGAAGTTCAATTAGAGCCATCACTGCTGTTAGAAAAGCAGTCTCATTTACATTGTTGAAAAAAGGAAGTTCTTCCTAGAAAGGGGAGGTGGCTGGCAAGGTCCAATTGGAAAAGCATTCAGAAGACAAGAAGGTGAATTAGCGAAGTGGAAAGAGATGTTGAATGAAAATGTATACAATTTTTTATGACAAACTGGGTGTAAATCATAGTTTATGTATAATTCTAAAGACAGAGGATTGATGGCCCTACATCAACTTTAGTGCCAGAGTAAAACTAAAGGAGATGTGTGCCACTGGGGTCTTTCCTAAAATACAAAGTTAAAAAAAAAAAAAAAAACACATAGAAATAATAAACTGAGAGGCTGAGAGTGAATAAGGGACTGAAAGTTAATAAGACTATCTGGAAGTCACTGAAGAAATAAAGCCATAAACAGAAAAAATGAACCATGTTTAAAAAGCTGTAGGAGCATGACCAGGTCATGCCAAACGGTGCAAGTTGGGTTTGACTGGTTCAGTTGAAGCCAGAACCTACAAATAATATACAGATAACAGAGATCCACTTCCATTTACACTTCCTGCGTAGCACAAATTTTGGCTTTCTTATTTAATGAAATAATATAGTAACAGAGTTCATGATGATTACAAGCTCTAAGTTATCTTTAGCTTTTTGCTGGCCCCTTTCCTTCCTTCCTTTTTCCTTTCTTCCTTCCTTCCTCCCTCCCTTTCTTCCTTCTTCCTTCCTCTCTCCCTTCCTTCCTTCTGTCTTCCTTCCTCCTTCCTTTCTTCTTCCTCCTTCCTTCCTTCCTTCCTTCCTTCCTTCCTTCCTTCCTTCCTTCCTTCCTTCCCTCCTTCTTTCTTTCCTTCCTTCTTTCCTTCCCTTCTCCTTTCCTCATTTTAAATTAGGAGTCCAATTGAACCATGCCTTGTGCTTTTTTTGACCTAACATACAGGCTTTAAAATGTTCCTGATTGGACCATAATATCAGGTGGCCCAGGAAAAGCAGTGAATAATTCAATCTGATTTAGTTTGTCTTTGATTTGAAACTTAAGACCATGAAATGGTATCATCTCCAGCACCCTGAGTAGGAGTAGTTCACAGAAATAGGTGATAAGTAATTTATTTAACCCCTCAGTTTTGAAATCTTCGAGAACTTAGTTGAAATAAAGATGGTGTAGTCTACCAATAAAATCAGCTAAGACTTTAAGATCAAGCGGAGGTAAGGCACTGAAAATTTTGAATTGGTAAAGCTGATGTTGTGTTACTAATTTTCTCTGAGAAAATGACATGGAGCAAGATATGAGACCATCAAAAAACAAACAAAAAGAGGTACTTAATTGAATTTAAAAGAAGTTAGATGACTTTAAATTGATTTAAAGATATTTTTTAAATCTATGTCTGATTTCACAAAATTGAATGTTTTATAATCAAATAAACTTGTTTTGAGTTTTAAAGTCACACAACCATACCCACACATTATTTTTGTTAACTAATGGAGAAGAACACAAGTTCTACCTATTGACACAGTGGCAAAATAATTAAAAGGAACACACAACTCAAATTGTTCTACACACACACAGGCTTTCTAAGTGACATACAGGGTTAATTCTATGTAGATTGCATAAAATATTTCAGTCTTGTGTCATGTTCTTCTCTTTAAAAATGAAGAATAAATACAGGCAGAATAAAAACTAACAAAAATGAAGTAAACTTTTTTTTTTTAAACAGAAGTAGAGAATAAGTCAGCACAATGTCATTGGGATATCCATGAGGGCTAAACTTAAGTGAATATAGACAAGATGCTTAGAGATATGTCTTAAAGCAGTATCTGCAAAGTAAGCACACTGTTTTCACTTACTTTATATGTAATACATTGGGCCGGGAGTGCGAGGAGGGCCACTGCTTGTCCCTGCACTGATCCTCAGTCACAAGCTATGACAGTGGTAGTGAAAATTAGATAATAGGTCTGATATAGAACATTCAGATTGAGTGCAAGATAATAAATATTTGTAGACATCAGGCAGAGTGCAAAGGTTCCACATTTGCAGCAACTATTGTTTTTTGAATAAAAGTTTTTAAATGCTGGGAGAAGTAAGCTATACCATTATAGATCTGAGACATCTGGAGAGGGAAACTCATTATCCGCAACAAGTCTTGACAGCTGGAACTTCACTGATAGCTGATGCAAACATTCCCCTATGGTGACTACGATTACCAATACTGTACTGTATACTTAAAAAACTTGCTCAGAGAGTAGAAATTTATTGTTCTCCCCCAAAACAAACAAAGAGAAAACACCCTAAACAGATACCAAACGCAATGAAATTATCTTAAGGGGTACTAGAAATAATGACAAATTTCCTATATGTGAATGGCATTTACACTAGCAAGAAGTTTCTAAAAAGCAACAATTAAAAATAAAGCAGCAGGGGTTTTTCAAGCCATGATCTAAAATAATATATATATTTTTAAAAAACTATCATTAAAATGTGATTGTGAAATAAAGATACTTCATGATATATAAAACTTGAAAGGATGTAGTACAAACAATTTGTTTGCTGAAATAATTTCTTAAGGTTAAGTTTCAGTAAAAAGGAAATTCACACAAAAGGGAAAATTCAAGAAGGTGAGTAGACAAATTAATAAAGAAGAGCATATCCCTAAGCTAGCAATAACAATATAAACAATAACACTAACAACGAGTAATTAAGCATATAGGTAAGTTGTGCCTAAAATTCTAAACAATATGATTAGAATTTAATTACAATTGATAGAGTTTATGAGAACAAAATTATGAGCCATATAAAAATAAACATTTAAAAAAACACAACAATTTTCAAAGAGAGGTACTAAATTTTATTGAAGGGCATAATAAATGAAAGCCAAAATATACATAAAAAGGTGGCCAGGCAATTGTTAAAAAATCTTCACATGATAAGACGTGCCTTTCTATATTAATACAAAAATTCAGGCAATCATAATAAAAGTTACAGCAAGATGCTTCATGTACATTGACAAGCTGATTCTAAATACAGAATTGAAAAGGGATGGGACTCATCTGGGCAAATTTGTAGTAAGTGTGGGAGAACAATGATGTTGAAGAGGAAGATGGAAAAGAGGACTCTTTTTTTAAATTGATTTTTGAAAAGGAGTTTTGCTCTTGTTGCCCAGGCTGGAGTGTTGTGATGCAATCTCGGCTCACTGCAACCTCCACCTTCCAGTTTCAAGTGACTCTCCTGCCTCGGCCTCCTGAGTAGCTGGGTGACGCCTGCACCACACCTGGCTAGTTTCTGTAATTTTAGTAGAGACATGGTTTCACCATGTTGGCCAGGTTGTTCTCGAACTCCTGACCTCGTGATCCATCCCCCTTGGCCTCGCAAAGCGGTGGGTTTACAGGTGTGAGCCAATGTGTCCAGCCGAGGACTCTGTTTAATAGGGAACACTTTCATACAGCTGTTTCTAAATATTGTAGTATGGAAATCTATTGCAAATAGAAGTAACCCAGAAGTAAATACACTATTATGACAGAAGTTGCAGTCTAAGCAATGCTGAAGTGATGCACTATTCAATAATATCCTAAGAAAAAAATTGAAGGCAAAATGGACTAAACACATTTGTTAAAGACATATAAAAGTAAATCTTTTCATCACAGTATGCACAAGAGTAAATGGACTATGATTTTAAGAATACATGTAAAAACCAAAGCTGCCAAATTGCTAGAAGAAAATATTAGAGAATAGTTTATAATATCAGAAAAATACTGTTAATAATGTTCAAAAGGCTTTAATAAAAAATGAAAATTTTAGCTGAGTGTGGAGGCTCACGCCTGTAATCCCAGGACTTTGGGAGGCCGAGTTGGGCAGATCACTAGGTCAAGAGATTGAGACAATCCTGGCCAACATGGTGAAACCCATCTCTACTGGTTAGTAGGGATTATTTTAATTATATTATATTTCATCCTCCAAACATGTTTCCCCCTACAGTATTCCACTATTTCAGAAATTCACAGCACTATATACCTTGTATTTCAAGCTAGAAATGTAGAGGATGATCCTTGAGGCAGCCTCTTCTTGATGAGTCTTCATCCTTCACGCCCAACACTTCACAGGTTGTGTGTCCTCTCCGAAAATTACATAGTCTTAGTAAATAAAGACTGGCCCCTAAACAACCTTCAATCATCCACTATTTTTTTTCTTTGCAATTCACGTCAGTTTCTTTACAGAACAGCTGGAGCTCTGCAAAGTCAATGTTGGAGTAAGTACCATTCTCTGCCAGTATTAACTGTTTTCTTTATCACAATATAAATATTCCTTAAAAATGCCCAAATGAAGCTATACTAAGTAACAAAGTTAAATAGTTAAATGATGTCTTTGTTTTACAGAAAAGTACCAGGCCAACAGAGTCAATTATTATTATATGATCTTTATAACTACACACACAGTTGCTAGATATTTTAGACCCCACTTCATACATCTGAAATTTGGGCCTCAAAATATTTAGCATATATTAAAGTCTAATGTCAGATGACAGAACTGCCTCTTTCCACAGTATTGTGCTACCTCGCTTTAAGAACCAGCTGGGAAATCATTAAGAATATAAAATGTCCTTTTCTTGAACATCTCCCAGGTGAGCCAAAAATCTAAATTTTCTGTGGAGATGTTGTCATGTGCAATTTCATGAAAACGTATAAAATTTTAATCACAGCTATGCTTCAGTGGCATACCTGTTCATCCAATACTGCACACCTGCTTTAACACAGAAAAATGTGGAAGTTAATACAAGTATTAACATTATAGACGCTGATATCTGAAGACACTTTCCAATCTCCCATGAATATGTGAAATTCAAAATGTCAGTACAGTCTCCAAAATATCAAGGTAATCTTAGTAGCAGTGGATCGTTTAGAAAAGATAATTTTGCCACCGTGGTCAAATATTTTTGTTAAATACTGCTATTTTATGGCTATCCATAGCATTACCTGACACACAGTGTATAGCTAGAACCATGTTCCTAAAGAAAATGTTCAGAAGTAGGTTTCTTGCTTTTTGCTAAATTGCAAATTAACAGGTTAATTACTCCTGTGAAGTGCTAGATAGATGGAGTAGTATTTATCAAGAATGAGAAAGAAGACAGGGGCATATGACTTGAGAAGGCAGGAGTGAGGAAAAGATAAGGTATTTATTCCTGACTCCTGACTTGATGTTCTTTGTGTGTTTTCTTTCTGTTGCTGTTGTTGTTGTTGTTGTTGATGTTTTACTTTATCTTAAGTGTCAGACCAGAGTTTCACAAATATCCCCAAATAATTACATGGGTCATAAAATATATATTCAAATATTTCTCATTATTTGGTTCAAAATCCTTGTTCAATCATTTGAAATGAGACCTGGAGAGCCAGCAATTCTAACAAGTATGCTAAGTGATTGTTACCAAAATGACAATTGTGAAATATTTAGAAAACCATGCAGGAGATACGTAATCAACATTTAATAATTGGTTCTTATTGTAGGGGAAAAGATTTTGTTGAAATGACTATTTAAATGCAAATTTTATTAAAAAGATAGAATTGAGCACTTCAGTGCTTTCTAATTAGTATCTTTAAAGTATGTTTTGCTAAAGTGGCAAAATTATTTTTTTCCATTAGAAGTTAGCATTATGGCCACAAATGACTTCTGAGTTAGCTTTTTGAAAATCTTCAGATCATAAATTCTAAAAATTATCTTGGGGGTTTATAAAACTCCAGAAAATCACTAAGAAAAATATACATAAAATTACCAGCGCCCCAAAAAATCAAAATAACTACACAAGAAAATCTATAAACAATCTAGCCCAGTAGAAGAAAGCAGGACAGGTAAATAGATACATTTTAGAAAAGAAGAAAGTCATATGACCAATGAAAAATGGCTAGATGTTTGAGCTCATTAGTAATCTGGGGATATAAATCAAAACCACATTACGTTCCAACTTTTGTTCATTTGTTTGGCAACTATTAAAATAATAATATCAAGTGTAGTCAAGGATGTATGGAATGATAATTTGGTTCCATCAATCACAGGATTATCTAATGATATTTAGTAAAATTAGGGTGACTAAAATATTTATTGTTCCAATGGAAACTTTTTTTAGAATAAAAGGTTACCAACATATGCAAAATTATTTAATATTTATTATGTTATTTCCTTACAGGCATTTTTTTTTTTTACTGTATCAATGGAGCTATGAAATCGTTACCTTCCAATTACTTCTGAAAATGAAATCCCTTCAGAAATTTAAATTCACAATTACATATCTTGAGGCAAAATAGAAAAATAACTTCTTTGTATTTATTATTGAAGTATTACAAATAAGAGGAAGAATAATTATTCTAGAACATATTTATATGTATTAATCTGTTTCTTAATAATTACCTGTAGTTTTTTTAGGAAAATGCATTTGTTTTAATTTTATATTGATTTTTAAATAAAGTTACTTGCAAAAACTTTTCCAAAGTTGCTTTTTCTTGTCACCAATAAAAGTTATCCACAATGTTTAGCTTTTCAAGTGAACTTTTTTAAAAAAAGTATCATATTGTTCAATGTTTTTTTTCCTGACACAATAATATTTCAACAGCTTTATTTTGGTTCCAATGATTGATTAAAAATCAAACCATTTTTTAATCCAATTTTCTGTTTGAAACATCTAGATGGCATTATTCAATTATTTTGGAATTTCTTCTGTAGCTAATGGAGCTAATATACTAACAATTACTGATGCATATTTCTTAAGTGCAGAAAAATTAGAATTAAAAATGTACACGATTGTTTTTAAAAAACAGTAATTTGATGTCAATAAAAAGCCAATCATCTCAGAATTATATGTTCAATTTTTCCAAATTCACATATTAAATCTGTGAAAATGTCATCTTCAGGCATAGTTTTCTTAATGTAACTAAGTATTACCTTTTGAAGTAGCAGCTGGTTTTTTTCCTCAGCCTTCTATATTCTGGATTTCTGGATATCACTTTTAGACTGTGGTCCCAATCACAGAATACAAGGCTTTATGATTACACCATGCGTTTATAGACACTTTTCAACCCATAATCTGATTGAAAAGGAAATTGAGTTTTTTCTTTTTGTTGTTGTTGTTTTTTTTTTTTTTTTTTTTTTTTGAGATGGAGTCTTACTCTATTGCCCAGGCTAGACTGCAATAGCATGATCTTGGCTCACTGCAACCTCCACCTCCCAGGTTCAAGCTATTCTCCTGCCTCAGCCTCCCGAATAGCTGGGACTACAGGCATGCACCACCATGCGCAGCTAGTTTTTGTATTTTTAGTAGAGACGGGGTTTCACCATGTTGGCCAGGATGGTCTCAATCTCAGGACCTTGTGATCCTCCCACCTTGGCCTCCCAAAATGCTGGAATTACAGGCATGAGCCACCGCGCCCGGCCAGAGTTGTTTTTAATTAAATATCTACTTGCATTTTTTAGTCATTGCTGCTGAAACAGATTTTTTTTTAAATCGTCATAAGCAAATAGCCCATAAATAAATAGTTGTAGGCATATGAGAGATGACAAAACCACTGTGGCCAGACCAATTAACTACTCTCTCTGTGCTAAGCTTCTATTTCTAGCACATAATTTACATATATCTAGCCTATTATTTCCTTCATTTTCCCCAAACCCACCATATGATGATCTGGCAGTGTCATGTAAATGAACCATATAGAAAAAACAAACAAACAAACAAAAAACTATGTCAAATACTTCTTCCATCACCCGGGAAGATTGGAAGGAACTAGCCATTCCTAGCCAATACTGACTCAGTGCATATTGATTTATTATCAAGCACTCTGCTGCATGCTGTCCCTGAAAAAGAAGCATTATCTATGTATTGTATAAACCGTGTTAGGAAAATAAAGTTGATTTTCAGACTTATCCCCCTACCGAAGTCATCATTCTGTTAATATTTTATTTTCCTCACCTAATGATGGAGCCCTGACAATAGCTATAATTGTTAAACAAAATGAACATTTAACAAACACATGCTGGATCTAATCAATGTAACTTATAATAATACTTCATTAAAAATGAAAAATCTAAGACATATGCTAAGCCAATTAGCTTGGATAAACAATAGTAATAAAGTGGTAGCCCTGGGACCTAATGAGAATATATTTCATCCCCTCAAAATTAAAACTGTATGCACACTGCAGTCCAGCCATTCTTCTAGTATATTCATTAGACACTCTCACACATGTGTACCTAGATGCATAGGGAAGGTTTCTCTTTGTAGCATTTGGACAAACACATCATGGAACATGATGAAATTCTGTAGACTGAGAACTATGCCATCAATAATGGCAGCTCTCAGTAAGAATGTTAACAAAAAATGTGAAATAATACACACCTTATATATTCACAGAAACATTAAAAATTCACAAAATAGTATTATTTAGAAATAAATATTTTAATAAATTTATAAAAATATGAAGGTAATAACAGGTTGATGATAATGGCACCTCTGGAAATGGAGAAAAGCAAATGAACCTGATGGGGTGTATTCCAATTACAACCAGAGGTAATATACATAGAACAAGGAAAATATTAATAGCTTTTATTTTTAAGTGGGGTAAAATTAGTATTTATTATGTTATTTTGTATTTGTATACATATTTTAATTTTACTCAAAAACAAAATAATTTTACAATGAACAATATTCTGTATAAATTGGAATCACCTTGTGAAGTAATTGCTTTAAAATTTCCCTGTCCCCATTGCCGCTTTAAAGGAATTAAAAAAATTAAAAATTGGAGAATGTGGTATCTTTCAAAGAAAAACATTTTACATTTATAAGTATGAAATAAAATGTATTACTAGCACATCACATTTTTTGACTCATTATCCATGTAAAATCATGTAGTAGAAAAAGAGAGAAGGACATAGGCAGAATTTGACCTATGAGTAGAGGAAATAATTGTATGTTTATTTAAAATATCTTCTTAAGATATACAAGTGGATAAGAAACATAAGAAAAGTGCTCAACATCACTGATCATCAGAGAAGGGAAATCAAAATCACAACAAGATACCATCTCATACCAGTCAGAATGAGTATTATTATTAAAAAGCCCCCCCCAAAAAAAAACATATGTGGGCAAGGCTGTAGAGGAAAAGGAATACTTATACACTGGTGGAGAGAATGTTCAGCCACTGTGGAAAGCAGTTTGTGGATTTCTAAAAGAACTCACAATAGAACTACTCTTTCACCCAGCAATCTTATTACTATGTATATGCTCAAATGAAAATAAATTATTAAAGCTACCAAAAAAGACACAAGAATTCTCATATTCACCACCATAGCGAAGACATAGAATAAACCTAGGAGCACATCCGTGGAGGATGGGACAATGACAATGTGGTACATATGAGCCCTGGAATAGTACACAGCCATTAAAAGAACAAAATCATGTCCTTTGCAGCAGCGTGGATGCAGCTGGAGGCCTTAACCTAAGCAAATTAATGAAGAAACAGAAAATCAAATATTGAATATTCTCATAAATAGGAGCTAAAACTTGGTTGGGTGCACAGAAATAAAGATGAGAACTATAGACACTGGAGATTCCAAAGGAGGGACAGAGGGAGAGGGGCAGGGGCTGAAAACCTTCCTGTTGGGTACTATGTTCACTATCTGGGTGACGGGATCGATAGAAGACTAAATGTCAGCATCATGTAATATACCTCTGTAATAAGCCTGTGCATGTACTCTCTGAATCCATAATAAAAATAAAAATAAAAATATTAAAGGAATTATTAATGTATAAATTACATTTTAGAACTGATGCTTATTGCAGTCAGTCATACATGACTGAAACATGTTGATAAAATCTATGTAAGCTTTATAGAAACAGTGAATAGTCTCCTGACTGTCTTTAAAAGTCTGTAAGATGGGATAGCTACCTTTATGCAAATTAACTAGACTTCAGTTGCACTAATTAAGAGAGCAACAGCTGAGTCAATCAAATGATAATAGACAAGTTATAATTGATGTCAAAATTCTACCTTATTATAAATTACCTTTGAAATCATATCCCAAGTTTTCTTCTATTTTGAGAAACATCATTATACTAATATATAGAACAAAGATTGATTTTGCAGATTTGCATGATTTCAGTAGAGCACATTTCATCTTCAAATATGATAAGCACTTTCCAATACATAAAACACTGTTAGAGAAAACTTTCAATCAGACTAGACGCACATTTCAAAGAGCCTATGATGTTGCAAATCACTTATGCCTCACTCTCGTGTTACCATGATAATGCATAGCACTTACATAGTGTTTCTTAGCTTGAAAGAGCCTAGGAACTTTAATCAATCCTTAGACTACCCAGTGAGAGAGTGATAAGAAGCCCCTGGAAGAGATCATGTAACTATACAATTCACATTTGCTTAAATATAATCCAGTGTATGTGCTGTGTTGTGTTTTCCTAGCTTTCTATTTCAATCTTCAGAGAAATAATAGTTATCTGTGAATATATGATGCATAGGCATCTCCTATGAATAAAATTATGTAGACTGCACTCTGTCTGCCATTAAAAACTAACAGATGTATGTATATCCAACACATAGAAAACATCTGGTACATTCTGCTGTATTTTCTTATTCATTTCGTATCTTATTTACAGGTATTTCAGAGTGGACTTGTTAGATTTGAATAGGCTAAAACTTTTTAAAGGAGGAATATACAATTATCTCCCTAATTTTTATAATTGCTTTATTTTTTTGGAAAGTGTTCTAAAATTAACTTTTATAATTATGCTGAATGTAAAAGAATATTGTATGTGAATGCTTCACCTAAAGAAAGAGTATTTAATACTCAATTTAGAATCCTCTCTAGTAGAATTTCTTTCTCTGCAGGTAGCTGGCTGTAGGGGTCTACCAAAAACAATCTATTTCTGCAATAAAGGCCAACACTGGCTTACTCAGGAAAGAACTCTTTCAGTCTGCAAAACACAGTACATCTTTTCCCTGAGTAAGAATAAATTCTTATCCAGTTTTACTGTTGCACTAAAATTCAATTAAAGTTAATCATTTCCTTTTTTATTACAAAGAAGTCTGCTTAATTTCTAATTACTTCGACTAAATCTATTCTCTGTAACTATCTAAAATTACATAAACATATACACACTCATACAAAAGAAACAGCACAACTGGAAGACCAAACAATGTGTACATATGAGCTGTTTAAAAAAAAAAAAAAGCCTTTCTACACCTTTCTACTCTGCTATTTTCATTATAGGTTACAGTTGTAATTCAATCAGTGACCTATTTTAAATGAGTGCCTAAGACATCACTGGAGAAAGTATATACAATGTGAGAAACATTTCCCTATGCATACACTTTATGTGTAAATATATTTATACCGTGTAGTTAAAATGGTTACCTTTGTTGTCAAAGACTGATACTGGCTGAAGTTTTCTTAATATATGTGTCTGATGTGTTGTTTTGTATTCCATAATCCCTTTATGCTATATCTAAGACTTAAAATGTTTTAAACATTGGATGTTGGTCTTTAGTGGGAGTGGGGGTGGGAGGGCCCATGCAGTTGCTGTCTGGGGGATCTTATCTAAAGAAAGAAGTCAATAACAGGCAGCTGAGTGGGCAGTGGTGCAGTCCAGTGAGACATGTATAAGTTTCTCAGGAATTCTCAGAAGTATTTGAGGGAAATGAAACTGGTTTACCAATGCTCTTTTAAAAAACCAGGTAAAGAACATCCTGCAGTGTCCTGAGGAGAAAAATGAGCAAGTCACATAATTTGAGCCAGGAAAAATACTAGATGATTGCAGGAGAATAGAAAATCTCAGGCAGCAGTTTCACATGACTAGCAAAAACACACTGTTAAAGTAGCTGCATACACTAGAAGCTGATAAGACTGAAAAACCAGAGTGTGGGCAAAGCTGGCTAGCAACAACTGGACCCAACATGGTGTTGGATTTGAGCTAGGTTTCACCTTGGAGAAAATAGCAAAAAAAAAAAAAAAGTCAGTGCTACTACCATGCAGCTACGCTACTTCCATGCAGCAATGCAACTGATCAAAGGCGCCAAATGCCTAACTGTGGCTGGTTAACATGTGAAAACCGGAAATTCCTGTTTATTTAATTCATGTTTACTTTTTCTGTTACATGAAGTAAAAAACATTCCTTACTGACACAATGTTTCATTTTTCTTCCTTATTCTCCACCATTTATTTTCTTCTCACATTATAGTTTGTAACTTATTTTGTCAAATATATGCAATGAGGTAACACTGCAGTATTGCAGAAAGCACACTGCATTGGAAACAGACTCATAGTGCAACGGGAAAACGTCCCTTATCCCCCGCTGCAGAGCTAGCAATGAGGACAGGCTGTGGGGCTCTGACCCCAGGCAGCATCTAGGGGTGAATGTTTACAGCTCCTAAATCCCCAGCGGGCATGTGTTACACGGTGTTACTTTAGTTTATCAATCTGTAGACGGCTTGTGTCAGCTCAATTAGACACTCTGCCTTTCTGCAAAGACAGAAGGCTTTCTGGATCCTGGGGTTTCCTGCCTTGGTGTAGCTGAAGAATTGGCTCACACGTGGGCTTGGAGAGTAAGTGCAGGTTTCATTGAGTGGAAGCTGTCAGCAGATGGATGGGGAGCCAGAAGGGAGACGGAGCGGGAAGGTGGTTTTCCCTTGAAATGGGGCAGGTGAGCGCTCTCCTTCCACAGCCCCACGCAACTCTGTGTTCTTCTGCGGTGGATGGCCTGCCGCCTCTGTCCTTGCGCTCTCCTTCCTCCGGTGTCTTCTCCAGGTCCAATTGCTTGTGTCTTCTTCTGCTGATGGTTCTTCTCGACGTCAGCTACTGTGTCTCTGCCCGCTAGGGTCTCGGGGTTTCTGATAGCACAGGATGGGGGTATGGCAGGCCAGGGTGCTCTTGGAAAATGCAACACTTGGGCAAAAAAACAGAAGCGCATGTCCTCACCAATTTGGGCAAGAAAACAGAAGTGCATGGCCTCACCTAGGTCAATGAGCACAAGCCTGAGGGTGAATCCCTAGCCAAGAACCACACCCTCCTCTATCAGGCACTTCCCTGCCCCCCTGTCCATATCAATATTTTTTTAAATTTTAAACTCCAAAATAGTACAATAGTACCCAAATCCTTCAAAAAGACAATTGGAGAAAACGGCATTAGAAGAGCCAGTCTAGGATTCGGGTCACTACATGGAAAATGGAAACACAGAGAGCATGTCCTGCAGGCATGGAATCACTGTGGAAACATACCCTGCTGAGAAGGAAGGCGACACAAACTGGCTTCTCTCATCTTTTTGTTCTCTAATCTCTGCAGTGTCATCCCTTGACTGAGCTGAAACAGGAAGTAATTTTTATGAGAGCCTAGGAACCCTGCCTCCCAGGGGCCAGGCCTCTCTATTACAGAATAGTGCCAGGGAGAGGTGAGTGACGTAGCTGTGGGCATAAAAACCCAGGACCTCACACAAAGGAGTATCAGAGACAAATATAGTATCAAGGGATCAAGAGAGAATTAGTCTCAGGAACGATATCATGCGTGATATTTGTGAAAACAACAAAAAGTAAAACAGAGCTTATGAGGTAGTAAACATAACAAGAACTTAAAGAACGGCAGGCAAAATTGTAAAGTCCAGAGTATTCACCTTTGTTTCACTGGATTTTGAAAATCCCTTCCAGCATTCTTTTCCCAGTATCTTCCATTCATGGATTCATTCAAGAAATATTTATTGAGCTAGTATAGTCTAAGAATTGGGCAGATGGCATCATATGCACTGTTAGTATGTCTATCATTGATAGAAATAATGTTTCTTTTTTTCTACAGTGTTTTTCTCCCAAACATTCGTCTTGCAAATTTGTATCCTTACAGATGCATCAGTTGTTCCTGACCTGAGAAAGTTCCCCCAACCCCTGTAAACCCAGTTAAGCACTTCCTTCCTCTCCAGCTAAGTTACTAAATTGTATCTATTGTAACACTTGTCAGAGTACATTGCAATTATTGCTCTTCTCTTCATCCTCCAATTAAACTATGAATATTTTGAAGGAAAAGTCTATAAACACGATGGCTTGACATTTGTCAATATTTATTGTACAAAAGGTTATGAGATATTTATATATAATATTCTAACATTTATCCTAATTTTTGGAAAACAATATAAACAATGTTCACTGCCGATTCCCCATGAACTGCTTAACTTTTTAAACAATGTCTATGCTTTGGAGCAATTAAGCAAACTTCCAAAAAACAAATAAAGTGTTTTTATTTTATTTTGTTTTGTTATATTGAATTATTTTGTAGAGACAAAGTCTTACCTCATGGCCCAGGCTGAAGTGCAGTGTGCAATCACAGCTCACTACGACCTTGAACTGCTGAGTAAATAGAAGATAGATGTGTGCCAGCATGCCCAATTTAATTAAGTATTTAATTAGTTACATTTGTAGAGATAGGACTTGCTATGTTGCCTGGGCTGGTCTTGAACCCTGCGCTTGAAGCAATCCTCCCTTCTCAGCATCCCAAAGAGCTGCAATTCCAGGCATGAACCACCAGACCTCAAAGAAAAAATTTTAGATTTTAGAATATTGCAATATATTAGACTTAATTTCTTCTTTCAATTTTGCATTAGCAGTGGCACTTGAGAATAATTGTATGTTACGGGGAGAGTGTGATTTCTCATATTTGGTCATCGAATTTTGAAATCTTTATTCTATTTACTTAAATCCTAATAACTGGTAGTCAGCCCAGCCAAAAGTCGAGTATATGAGTGTTTTTGTGTTGAAGTTATGAAGACAAATGTAGGAAGATATTAAGAACCAAAGACACTTATTTTTCATATATGTTAAAGCTTTATCCTTGCAGGTGAGGCATCATACATGGCATGGATAGTTTTATAAAATACCCCGAAATACATACTTCAGTAACCAGTTCAGCACTTGCAATTTCCCCACTTTGTTTTCATCAGGAGTTAATGATGTATGGCACTTCTAGTAAGTAAATGAATATTTAAATTGCTGTGAGTTATTTTAATTATTGCTCAGCTAATCATTTAAGTTATCAAAGATCTTTACTTGTGCAATATCATAAATGCTGGACATTAATCAACAGGATTTATGTAACTAGAAGCTGCCATCTAATGTGATATTTTTCAGTAAGATGACAGCAGTAATTATGCCGAAACATAGTCATTCCCGCAGTTTGAGCCATTATAGCAATTTCCACCCTAGGATTTCACAGTCAGAGTCCAGATCTGGGCAACAGTGATTAACATAATGGTTATTAATGAGAAGAGATTTTGATACATCTAGCTGTGTTTAGATGTCAGTGCCTTGAAGGGATGGGTTTGGCATATTAATAAGAAAGGGTGCATTGGATTGGTTACTAAGTAATGTATTGAATTGTTTTTCTTGTCCTCTATAACATGAAAGGTCAATTAGAGATACAGAAGCAATGGAACATCTAATTAGAGATACAGAAGCAATGGAACATCTCACAGCATGGCCTGACATTTCACTACAGTTTTATTTTTTAACCATGTACAAAGTTCATTAAATATGCAAAGGTAGGACTGTTATAGGACAAAAGTGGTAGAGTCAGAGGTCACAATCCACAGCAAGGTGTTAGTCACTTGTGGGTGGCACCCTGAGTGCTGAATTAGAGTGAGAATTAGCTTTCAGGCTGCCAACAGGGATCAAGGAGAATGAAGCTATCAGCAGTTAACATCAATGGATTAATTGAAATGAACGTTGACAGAGATTTTGTTGGCTTTACATCAAAGTACTATACATTCAGTATAGTACTTCGAATTGAGTATTTGATAAGGATAAACCCTTTTCAAATTTCCCACATGTAAAATTGAGGATTAATTAAAAGATTACACAACCCATACATTATGGATACCTCATTTAAATTTATAAACACATGTGCAAACTTGCAGTGTGCAAATATTTGTCTATATCTTAATATATCCAAATCCATGGATGAACAGTTAGAAATTTAGAAATTATTGTCCCGTTTTACCATTCCCTTTCCTAGAATTTTGTCACAAATATAATTTTTTCCATCTGTTTGAAGCCTACTATCTGGAGGAATGTAATATGTAGATACAGTAAAGCTGTGAGATCAAAAAGGCTTTGTATCAGAGAAAGCAATACCACTGGTGTTATAAAAGATCCATTGTGAGGAGAAAGTTATACTTCACATGACTACAAATACAGAAGTATTATTTCATCAAAAGCTGATATCAGTCAATACAATTTGTTTTTAATGTTTTATTTAAAATATTTAATCTCAAAAGGATTACTTGAGTAGAATAATGTTATTGGTAATAAATAATGATTAAGAATTTTATTTAATTTGTTGATTATTTAAAATGTAAGTAAAATACTAAAGAGTAGAGTATAATGTAGTTTCATGAAGTATTCTCTATGGGTTTTGTAAAATTAATGGCCTCGATGGAATTTGTTGACACAGAGAAATTTCCTTATATCGTTTTATTATTGTACTTTCACTGTATTACTTGCTTGCATGTTATAACTGATAGAAATAAAAATATTTTATTTACACATATATGAAGGATGAATTTTTGTTTATGTTTTCTAGTGAGAGAAAGTCACCAATAATTTTATCTGTATAGGAAAATTTTGACAAGCCCAAAGCTCTTAACTTTCTTTGCTTTTGAAGGTTCTTATTTCAGTCTAGGTATGAGATGGAATTGACTGTGATCATTTTTTGATTTCACTATGAATACTGAGTTTCTGATCTAGTGTTACAAATATTTAGACTTAAAAGCTTACTTTCTTCTTTTTCTCCCTTTGGACCTGTACATGTGATACCTGCAATAATGTGCACCGTTATCTGAAATGAGGTTGCTGAAAGATACAAGCATAAATGGAATTCTTTATTTCTGTGAACCTTTAGGAACAAACAAATAAAACTAAAAGATAATTATGATATGAACTTAAATCTGCAGTTTCTCACAGAAGCACAATAAGGGTGAAAATGCATTTAAAAATACATACCACATCCAAAACATGAGATGGAAATGAAAAATTTAATGTGACATAAAGAACAATTTAAAAGTTAACGATTATTTCTGATGAGAGCAAGTAGCACTAAAAATCCTATTTTCCCTGTTGTAATTCACGAAACTATTACTTTATCTTCAGGCTTTAAAAAGAGTTAACTCTAACTTAAGCAACAACTTTTTGGCCATTTCAAACAGTGGGTGCGTCATCTTAGAATTTCTCCGAGAATCTTTTGGGAGAAATATAATCTAATCTAGCCCTGTAAACAATTGAATTAATCAATGAAATCATTATGACTGTAGTCTCACAATTTCATTGTCCTTCTCTTTTTGGTGTATACATATCTCTTTAAAATTCAAAAGCCCCTAGAAAGCATGTGATAAATAATAATGACTGAAACAGTTGAAAAATAAAAACCGAGCAGCAGATGTGTTTCAAGGTTTCCTTTATGAGAATGCTACGCTAACTATGTAATATACACACGGTATAAATCACCATGAGAAAATAATATTTGGGTAGCACTTGACAATTTATCCAGCAACAGCAAATAGTCTCATTTGACCTTTAAGAGGATTTTTAAACACATGTTTCATAAATGAGGCAAATGTGATTTACTAATACAAATCAGACCTGTTACATCTCCTTAGGAACATGTCAGCCAATAAAGCAGAGGCATGAGTTTTCTTCTGGAGGGAAGAAGGAGGCAACGTTTATTAAAATCATGAGTCTTTTTTTTTAAATATTTCATTGTTTATTAAAGTTTTGTTTATCAAAATCATTGTCTTTATTTCCAGTTATAGTTCCTGTATTTGCCTATTACAGCAGTTATCATACTTATTATTCCTCATTTATCTGTGCCTGTAACAACTGCACTCTGAGAAGAGCAAGGACCATGTTTTTCTGAGCTTCTTGCAGACTGTCAGGCTTATTGTAGCATTTAGAAACTATCTGCTGAATGTTTGTGACATTTTCATGTAAATTACATTCTAGGCCACTTGATACTAATTTTCTGTTTAGTATTTGGGTTTGGAGAGCCATTTTTCCTTTTCAGTTTTTTTTCATTTTTTAAAATTATACTTTAAGTTCTAGGGTACATGTGCAGAACGTGCAGGTTTGTTACATAGGGATACATGCGCCATGTTGGTTTGCTGCACTGATCAACTCGTCATTGACATTAGGTATTTATCCTAATGCTATCCTTCCCCTAGTCCCCCACCCCCCAACTGGGCAGATGTGTGATATTCCCCCACCTGTGTCCATGTGTTCTCATTGTTCAACTCCCACTTATGAGTAAGAAGATGTGGTGTTTGTTTTTCTGTCCTTGTGATAGTTTGCTTAGTATGATGGTTTCCAGCTTCATCCATGGCCCTGCAACCGCAATGAGATACCATCTCATGCCAGTTAGAATGGCGACCATTAAAAAGTCAGGAAACAACAGATGTTGGAGAGGATGTGGAGAAACAGGAACACTTTTAAGTTATTTTTCTTTACGTATATTTTAAGGATATACCTATCCAGACGTGAAGGTGACAGTGCAGGCTGTAGGCAATGGGACCTCCAAAGGAGGCACCCTGTTGAAATTGGAGGCTCTGCAGGAGAGGGCAGCCAGGGCACGGAGTGTGGAGGTGCCCCTGTAGGAGGAGAAGGTGCTGGTGGTGGACGACGTCACGGCGGTGGTCTAGGTGGTGGTTGAGGAGAAAGCCGACATGGAGCGGCAGGTGGAGGACCAGTGAACACAGCCTGGCCCTGGCCCCAGCATGCCCCAGCCGGCCACAGAGTCGCTGGAGGTCCTTCACAGGGAGCTGGGCTCCGTGAATGCCCCAGGCCACATGCCCTGCCCATGGCTGAGGCAGAAGCTTTGTCAGAAGTGTCTGCCTGGCCTGGAGGGCACAGGGGCCATCATCCAGGGCATCTCCGGCTTCTAGGCCAGAGCCATATCTTTGTAACTGCCCATTCGGGATGACTGGCAGCAGGAGGTGGGAGTCGGGCTTCCGGGGGCGGGGAGCAACGGAGCCAGGCCAGGGGCACACAGGGTCAGCCAGGAGGCAGGGGATGGGAGACAGCGAGGGGAGCTGAGGCAAGGATACTGCAGATAGTAGGGCAGCTTGCTTGAGGGTGACCTGAGAGCATGTGATAGGGACTGGGAGCCAAGCTCAGCACTCACAAGAGAAAATAGGGGTGTCAAGGACCCTTCACTCACAGCAGAAAGTTGAAGGGCACGTTTCCCTGGGAAAGTCCTTGGAGGAAAGGGAGTCTGCATGCTCATACCAGCCATCGAACCACACCCACTCCCCATGTGTGTGTGTCCAGAGGCCTCACACCAGAAACACAAGGTACTCAAGACTCGGGTTCATGGTGCACGGGGCTGCTGTCCTCTGCAAGGCAGGCACCAGGTACCCAGACAGTCTTTCTTCCCTCTGCCTGTGTTGCACCCAAAGAGCTGCGGGCCCTGAGCATATATATCCTCCTTTGCACACATGCCTCCGTTGCACACACATGAGCCCCATGGGGAGCACCAGGTACAGCCCTGCAGTCCTTTCTACCCACACCGGTTCCCTCAAGTGGACACACCCACCCCTCAGGGAGAACAGAAGAGGGTACCACACACCTTGACACCCTCAGCAGAGCCTATCTAGCACCCAGTGCACAAGGGCCATGTGCAGCTCAGGAACTCTGAGGAAACAACTGCCTCACACCACAGCACCCCACACCCAAACCCTGCCAACTTGTGCTCCCCACTCCTTGTTGGCAGAGTCTTTCTGGGCCTCCCTCCACTTGCCCACAAGACCACCATATCCGTTACCGTGCCCCTCATGCTGGACAGAGACAGGATCACCAATGCAAAGTGCCAGGCCAAAGGTCTGGGGGATAGCCCTGCCCAACAGTCTCCCAGCTCTTGCAAAGTTGCAGGGTGTTTCCTGGCACACCCACCCAGTCATCTGGAGGCTCCTTGACCAGAGGCAGATTGTGCCGCACACCCAGATGTCGGCAGGTTTCAGAAACCATGAGGAAGTCCTGCTAAGTAAGCTACAGGATGGATTTGCAAATCAGGCTAGGGTGCCTGGGTCTGGGGGAGGGATCGAGGGTCCTGGTCAGGTTGAGGTCCTCTTGGGGTCTGGGGGTGTCTCAGTGGGAGAGCTGGGAAGGGAAAACGCATGCTTCACCCTAGCCAGCAGGCCCTCAGCCCAACTAGATGAAATGGATCCTTTGAGTCTGTCCTCTTCTTCTTGGTGTAGCAGGTGGAGGAACTCAGCCATCCAGGGTACTGGTGGCAGGATGAAGTGTTCCTTTTGTCACAGTCTTTATTTCCACAATGAAGTGATCTTTAAGGAATATCGTGTTGGCATCCTCGGTAAGGAGTGCCTCCCGGAATGATAGAGCGGGTGGAGTGTGGGAGGCTAGGCCTGGCATGAGCCTACCCAAATCTTCTTGCTCCAGGATACATGGCATCTGTCTCTACTGTAGTCCAGTGTTTCTAGAGTCATGCAGCAGAAGACCCCAGCTTCAGGCAGGACACAGCCTAACTGAGCTTCTTCCGCTGGTTGGCTGACCGTGACCACTAAAGGTCAGCCAGGATTGCTGAGGTGGGCACCGCTGAGGGGTGTCATGGGAAAGGACCTTGCTGGTCTTTCCTTGGCATCTGGGGAACTGGCTTTGAACCATGACCTGACCAGTCACGGATCCCTTTTCTCAGTCCCCCAGATCATCATTCAGGGCCTCTGTCTCAATCCCCCTGCAGCACTACCGGAAGGAGTTAGGCCCTCAGAGAGGAAACAGAGAGGAAACCAGGTAAGCAACCCAGGGCTGGGGGCTCAGAGGCCTGTGGGTCCTGGAGCTGGGACACACATGGAGAACTCAAGGCTCGGGGAGGAGCCTGCACTGAGAAATCCCAGGCCATCCCTGGGCTGAGGGAGAAAAGCCCATCAGGGAACTGTAACACTCATATTTCAGAACTGGGGCACCCAAAGTCACCTAAGACACAGAAGTGGCAAAGGTCAATGGGTGAGAAGCAATCTCAATGGATAGCTGCCGCATCATCCTTCTCTGGCTCCCTTCCACGCCTTGAGGCCTGCTACCACCTGGGGCTCAGTTTGGCCTCCACTAGGGCCCTCTTACCTGCCACAGAGAGGTGCACTTGAGGCGTGTCTAGGTCTGTGTCCTTCTAGAATGGCTATCCCAGTCGTGTCATGTTTTGGTTCAATGACCCCAGTCTCCCCTGACATGCTTTCTCCCCTCTGCCATCCTCACTCATGTTTCCCCGGCCCCTGAGACATTTCCTATGACATTAAAAAATAGACATAAAGTTTTTTAAATGCCTTAATAATACAGATGCAGATACAGGATTTTATTATAAAAAGTGCCCTTCCTCCTTACTTGTATCAAAGTCTTTCATGACGGGGGAAAGAATGCAACATACTTTGGTAAGTTAAAAAAAAGTATGAAAGTAAAAGTAAATACCATTGTAGATGATCAGTTAAATGGCAGGGAACCTTCTCTGTGTGTGTAGCGAAGGAATGTGGCTGAGCATTAAGGTCCACATTAGTATTGGTGTAGTCACCCAGTTTCAATCATACCAGTATGAGGGTGGGTATGTTCTAGCCTCCGTGTCTGAGCTGTGCACGCATGTGCACACTTGTGCCTGTGTACCTTTGTGTACCTTGATTTGGGGGGGGCCACACTCCTGCCCACATGTGTGCCTCAAACTCAGCTCTTGAGCTGGCAAGCAGGGCACTGCGGGGTTTGGCAGTCCAACTTCAGGACCTGTGAAGCCTGCCCTTTTGGGAGACAGGAAGAGTCCTCATGGTTTTCACAAATGGCAGAGGTAGTAGGAGGAAATGGGTGCCTGGTGCGAGCTACCTATAGGAGATGTCATGGACCTGAAATGACACCTGGCGGGAAATAAAACCTAGCAGCTGGGTCTTCCTGTGTGTTCGGTTGGGGAAGGCAGGCATTCAGGGAAGAAGCAATGGAACCCGTGGGGTTTTGGGATTCGCTATCCAGGAATCCCTGTGCACTAGACAGTGTCCAGCCCATGAGAGAGGAGGACAGCATGTGGGTCCAGCAGGTCCTGAGTCTCCAGGGAAGATGGCATTCTCCCCAAGAGGGTTGGTAGGTGGAGGAGAAACCCTGGGCTGCAGGGTCATGTAGATGGGACACTTACCACTTAGCCAGGTGGGAGCTCAGGAGAGGGCCTGGTGAGCAGCGGCCTAACTGGCTGGTGACACCCCGTTCCAGTGCTGCACGTGTGCACATGAGCTTCGCCCCGCATATCCTCTCCAGGTTGCCTCACCTGGGCAGACAGGAAGCAAGGCACACAAGAGCCTAAGCTTATGGTCATGAGTGGTCCCAGAGAGGGGGTCCCCAGGATGACTGGTCCCCGGAGAGGCAGGCATGCAGGGTCCCTTCAGGACAGGGATAAAAATGCATAAGTCCAGCTCTCCACCCAGTGGGTGTCTTGCCCTGATGATGTCAGCCATGGCAGATACAGCTCTTCCACCTAGATTGCAGAACCACAGGCTTAACGACTTCCCCCCAGGCTTCTCCGGGACAGGCCCCTGGACTCTGGAACAGCCAGTGCCCCATAAGTGTTCCTTCCCAGCCTCCAAGCTCACAGGAGGCTCAGTGAGGACTCTCCTCCTAGTACATGACCACCCACAGGCACTGTCAACAACCCAGGGCCCTTCTCCATTCCAGGGTCCTGCCATCTTTCCCAGCAGCAGGATAATGGGAAGGGAAAGAGCTGGAACAGACAGAGCAGAGGCCACAAACCTCACCCTCCCACATGGCAAGGGAATGAGGGGATCCTTCCCAGCCCAGGGAGCTGCTTCCCGAACACACCTAGAAACCCAGCACCAGCTGAGCAATTCACTCTGCCACAGCTGGGCATGGCGGATTTCAATGCCAGAGAACTTGATCCTGGTTGTAGAAGGTGTACCTCTCCTTCAGGTCACATTATGCTGACACCCTCCTTAACCCAGATGGACTCCTTGTCCTCACTACATGGTGTTGGCTGGAAGTGTTACTCCTGGTGCCCCAGCCGCTGTTTCAAGTTGCAGAGACTGACCAGCAGACCCCTGAGTCCTTGTCCTCCTGTCCAAGTCATATCCATAGAAATAGTAAAATAGTGGCACATTAGACCTCATGACATTTTTAAGGCTGACCTCTTTATAAGCATTTCATGCAGATATTTATGAGTTTATCTCATTTATTTTATTTATTTATAGCTCTCATTTCAAAGTCAATTTTTCCGTAAGAATTATTTCAACATACAACCAAATGTTCAGAGCTATGACATCTAGGTTTTAAGCTTAAAAGTCTGTATCTGCTATTATGCTTGGTAAAACCCATCCAGCACTTATAAAAATAAGTAATTATTAGGCATCGCCATTGTACTGGTCGAAAACACTGAAATTCTCTGCAAACCCATTTGAAAATATTCCTGATGGGACTGAACACAGCACTTGCTTCTAATGAATAGAAAACAGTGCAAGCATTTTCTGGATACTGGGCCACTTCTGGCCTAGGTTAGAAAAGGTATCACAGCTCTGCCTAAGTCTCCTGCTCTCATGGGGCCAAACTCCTCAGGAGCCCCTGACGAGTATATCACGAAGTCTAACACCCTGATAACACTATGCAGAAGGGACATCCCATGGAGAGACTCATAGAAATAGAATGAGATGCCCGAGAATCTCAGCAGTCCAGCCCCACTATTTGAGTTATGCTAGCCGTGGCACCAGGGAGATGAGAAGACACCTGACAATGTCACCGTCCTGAGCCATCATTAGATTGCATCCTCCTGAGTGCCCCTGAACCACAATCATTTGGCTGAGAGACTGTGGAAGACTGCAGAGACTGAAGTTAGTAAATTATAATTATTGTTTTAAGCCATTAAGTTTTACATAATTTTGAAAAGCACTTTAGACTCCTAGAAAAACTGAGTTGTCTACTGATTTGAGTAATTACGGAGAGCTTTAAAGGCCAATGCCACGAATGCTAATACCCTGGAAAAGCCAAACCATCGAGACTCTTCTAAACACAAACAGATCTTTAATGTCCCCTTGCTATGGCTGGAGAATAATCTAACATGTATCTGATGGAGTTTTTTGAAAGCCTCTGTTCACATCTCCTGGCTGGGTATGGGTCAACTCTGGTCTGCTTTAATGCTAGTCAACTGCAGCAACTCGTCTTTCATTTTAGGTCCTGGCCTACACTGATCTTTTGATCACTGACTGTATGTATGTTTTGAGTACTACCATATTTTATCCGAAGGGGCTAAATAATAATGCTATAGTTGTTTTGTAAACATAAAGCATTCCAGGAAGATAATATTGCTAATCAACTGAGCTTTAAAACAGATATGAGGCAGGGCACGGAGGTTCACACCTGCACTCCCAATAGTTTGGCAGGCCAAGGTGGGTGATTTCTTGACGTCAGGAGTTTGAGACAAGCTTGGCCAACACGGTAAAATCCCATGTCTAATATCATACCAAAGCTAACCGGGTGTGGTGGCCCATGGATATAATCCCAGCTACTTGGGAGGCTGATGCAGGAGAATCCACTGAACCCCGGGGAAGGAGTTTGCAGTGAAGTGAGATCACACCACTGCACTCCACCCTGGGCACCAGAGCGAGACTCTGTCTCAGGAATAAAAATAAAATAAAATAAAAAATAATAAAAGAGATAGGAGAAATGACTGAGGAAAGAAATGCATAAAACTTGGTGGGCATTGTGGCTCATGCTGGGAATCCCAGCATTTTGAGGGGCTGAGGTGGGTGGATCACTTGAGGATGGTAGTTTGAGGCCAGCCTGAGCAAACATTGTAAAACCTGGCCTCTACTAAAAATACAATTAAAAAAAAAAAAGCCAGGATTGGTGTCATATACCTGCAGTCACAAGTACTCAGGAGGGTGTGACTGGAGAATTGCTTGAACCCAGGATGGGGAGGTTGCGGTGAGATGAGATCATGCTACTGCACTCCAGCCTAGGCAACAGAGTATGGTTTCACCTAAAAAAAAAATCAAAGAGAGAAACAGAGATACAGAAAAATAAGAAGGAAGGAAGGAAGGGAGGGAGGGAGGGAGGGAGGAAGAAACAGAGACAGAGGGATGGAGGAAGGAAGGGAGAGAGGGAGGAAGGAAAAAAGGAAGGAAGGAAGGAAGGAAGGGGAGAAAGGAGAGAATGAAAGGCATAAAACCAAAGGAAATGAATAAAAATAGAAGCTTGCCATTTTGCCCATTATCCACATCAATTCTGAACTATGTTTAAAATAATATTTTGGTGTCTAGTGGACTAACTGAAAGTTTAAAATAAGCTGGTTTATATTGTCAAAATTATTCATGTAACTACGCTGTTAACTAAGATTCTTGTAGTTTTCAACAACCAAGTCTAATTGACATTTGTCATCAAATCGCATACTATTAGGGGCAGGGTAGTCTGTGTTACGCTGCCTAATCTACACTAAATTAAAAATGAAACCAAATCTGCAAAAGATTTTATAGTTACTATTATCAGTAAAAACTGTTTTGTTTCCTGATTTGTGGAGGGTTTTATTTCCACAGTTTTGATGGCTCTGGCAGAAAGACTTCCTGATCCAAATTCACCCCTTATCATCATCACAGTATATACATGTTCAGGGATTACGGGGAAAGAGCATCTAATCCTACTGCTTTCCTGCGTTGGTTCCCATACACAAGCAAATGTCCTGTGTTAGTGACTATCAAATATTCATTTATTTGATCAAGGAAATTTGTGTTTCCAAACTGTAAAACAAAAATATTACTATCAGTTGTATTTTTCTTATTTATTTACTTAGAGGCAGGGTCTTGCTCTGTCACCGGGCTGAATCATACATCACTGTAGTCTCAGACTTTTGGGCTCAAAGCATCCTCCAACATCAGCTTCTCAAAGTACTGATATTACAGACTTGAGCCATTGTACCCAGCCTCAAGTTTAGAGATAAAGGTTAACGAATATATTGTAAACCATACAAATAAACATAATTGCAGATTCTCTAAAGAGCTGTAAGAAACCACTGAAAAGATGCCATTGTGGACAGGGTTGCTGGCAACAATGTAATGCAAGCAAAGGCGTGGGTCCTTCCCCACTGATCCTTCGGATGATACCAGAGGCTGGCCTGGCATTTCCACTGCAGCTTTTTGAGGGAACATGAAACACAGGTGTGTGCCTGTGTGTGTGTGTGTAAGCATACATACACAACCAGTTGAACAAACTGGGATCACCCACACAATGGAATATGATGCAGTTCTTTGTAGATCTGGTAGAATTCATCCGGAATCTATCGGTTCCTGGGCTTTTTTTTTTTTTTTTTTGGCTTGTAGGTTATTTATTACTAATGATTCCATTTCAGAAATTGAAATTGGACAAGCTGAAGCTGAGACTGTGTCCACTTAGATTCTGTTGCAGAACACAGAATGGAATGCCTGTAATTTTGGCTGTGATGGTTACTGGAAGGTCTCTGCACGGTTGAGCTAATTTTCTGCCTGCCGCAGAAGGGCCTGGGGCTGACAATCAGGTCCCTTGACACCCGCTGTTGAACAGATCATTTAGAGCCTGGTCTCTCCTAAGAAAGTTGCATATTGCCCAGAAAGTTTCTCAAGGATTATAGAGTTCCCTGACTAAAGTGGAAAGGCCAGAGCTGAGAGTGGGTCATCCCTATAGGGGACAGAGGCTGGAGAGTCTAGATCCATTTTCTGCTGGACAGAGCCTGGACAGCCTACATTCATTAGCTCAGACAGGCCCTTTCCCCAGCAGGGTAGTTGCTTCCCAACAGCAGTGGGAGGGGCTGGAGCCGAGACTGGAATTCTGTTTCTCAATAAAGTCATGTGCTCTAGGGATTCTAACACCCTGGTGATTTCCACTAGATACATCAGAAGTGAACTTCCTTCCAGGGGTACCAAGACTTATCATATAAGCTACTTGCCCACTGGGTCCAGGTAGGGCCAGAAACTTCATCCTTAACCACTAAATTGCCTCTGCTTTTCAGCCTGGGGATGGGTGGAGCACACAGGGCTAGGATGGTCAAAAGTATGGCAGCTGGGAATGGGTGGGGTCACATGACCCTTCCGTGGATAATCACCAAGCTGCCTCTTTGTCACAGCCTTGGAAGTTTTGCAGAGAAAACCAGGGTGGGATTTGGCAGTTGGCCAGTGATTTGAGCCTGGCAGACCCATTAACCATGTTTGGTTGCTGCAGAATGATGCTGTTGCCTAGTTTTTCTGATGGTGCAACTCTGCTGGCTGGAATGCAAAGCCATGAGTAAGATTACTGTTATGGTCACTGTGAGCCCCATCCATGTACTTTGTTTCTAATTGACCGCCATTGTCCGATACCCCCACTGTTTCCCACAGGGTAAGACTAGAGAGAACTTCATGTGACGAATTGCAAAATGGAAAAGAAAGGACAGAATGTACATCTTCAACGCTCTCCTCTGTGAAGAAACTTGAGTTCAGGGGAATTTTTTGTATGCAACATTGTGCTGGCTTGGGGAGGAGAAAAAGCATCAAATTAAAACTGTTCTTTTATCCTATCTGTGTGGCTATTCTCAGTTCTACAGTCAAAAAAATGTGTCAGAGATCCAATCCCAAGCTATAGAATCATTCACTCAGGTGTCCGTATCTAAGGATAGTTGTGAGTTGAGGTTTTTTGCAGAGAGGGTGGGAATTAGTAGAGTCACAGAATGCCTGTTCTGTCGCATCAGACCCTAGAAACAGGCAAGTTAAAAGTCTGGTCCAGGCTGAGCACAGTAGCGCAGACCTGTAACCCCAGCATTTTGGGAGGCCGAAGCAGGCATATCATGAGGTCAGGAGGTCAAGACCATCCTGGCTAACAAGGTGAAATCCCCTCTCTACTAAACATACAAAACAAAACAAAAATTAGCCAGGCCTGGTGCCATGTGCCTGTTGTCCCAGCTACTACTCAGAAGGTTGAGGCAGGAGTATCTCTTGAACCCAGGAGGTGGAGGTTGAAGTGAGCTGAGATCATGTCACTACACTCCGACCTAGGTGACACAGTGAGACTCAATCTCAATAAACAAACAAATAAATAAAAATGAAAACAACAACAAAATACTGTTCCTAAGGGAGGAGTTTAAAAGGTTGGGTGCTTCCATGGAGAAGCTGAAAGGTAGAGCAATCCAAGGGTTGGGTATAAGGAAGAGCTCATGGGACCTCTGAAAACCACCTCTTTGTCCCGTATGGAACACAAGAAATAGTGAATGCTGATCTCCACTGCTTACTGATATAGGCAAGTTACCAGCCAGAGATACACGTCTTAGTCTCTTTGTGTTCCTATAAAAGAATATGAGACTGGAAAATTTATAAAGAAAAGATCTTTCATTGGCTCCTGGTTCTGCAGGCTGTAAAAGATCTGTGGTGCCAGCATCTGCATCTGACGAGAACCTCAGGAGGCTTCCACTCATGACAGAAGGTAAAAGGAAATAAGCCATGTCACATGTGGAGAGAGCAAGAGAGAGAAGGGGAGAAGGTAATCAGGCACTTCTCAACAACCTATTTGGATGTAAGCTGCATTGTGGGAACTAATAGAGCGGAAAACTCACTTATTAACCATGGCGAGGGCACCAAGCCATTTATGAGGCATCCATCCCCATGACACAAACAAACAGCTCACACTAGGTGCCATTTACAGTGTGGAGGACCACATTTCAACCTGAGGCTTGGAGGGACAAATGTTCAAACTATATGAATAGGGAAGTTTAAAAATCATGCTGAGTTTTCACAAAACAATCCTTTTTCCTCTTTAGAATCTCGAGATTACAAAAAGCTGGGATTCATTAGCTTCCCGAGATTGGCAAGATGGTATTCAAAATCTTAGTCATCACCCTGAGAAGTCAGGGCAATAGTTGGGTAGTTTGACTTCTTGGAAGGAAAATTTAGAAGCTCAGTATATTGCTAGAGTGAGTGATGATGAAGACTGATGAGAAATGCCTACGTGCCTGCTCTCAGAGGACCCTGACAGATACAAAAGTCAGGAGGGTTAGAAGCAAGATACCTGGGCAGAAGCTATAAAAGTCAAGACATGGCTGGATGTGGTGGGTCACGCCTGTAATCCCAGCATTTTGGGAGGCCAAGGTGGGTGGATCACCTGAGGTCAGGAGTTTGAGACCAGCCTGACCAACATGGCAAAAACTTGTCTCTACTAAGAAATACAAAAGTTAGCCTGGCATGGTGGCAGCCACCTGTAATCCCAGCTACTTGGGAGGCAGAGGTTGCAGTGAGGCGAGATCGTGCCATTGCACTCCAGCCTGGGCAATAGAGCAAGACTCCATCTCAAAAGAAAAAAAAAAGTCAAGACGTTAGATGTACAATAGAAGTTCTTTGAGGTACAAAGTGGGAGCTGAGCTTTCTTGACTGCTTGACATCCAGTAAGCCAGGAGGAAACAGTTTCAGAAGTGCTTGAATGTCTATTTAAATCCCTCTTTTATCTTGGAGGTCCTAGGAGAGTTATGAATGCCAGTCTGTGTTAGAATCCAGAGATAGGCAAGTGAGGAATCATTTCATTGAGAAGCAGCTGTTAACAGCTGGGGCTTTACATATGTGGATTAATACTTCAGTTCTCTGAGAGAAGCTGTGAAATAACAGTTCCCTATTGATTCTAGGGCAATGTGTCAGAGATAAACGCTAGAAAAAGATCATGATTCAGTTTTTCTTACCTTTTTTTAAGTAAGTATTTTCATAACCCTACATGCAAGAGTATCCCAACTTGTTTGTAAGTTTATCTCATAGGGAATTGATGTGGGTGTGGCTCTTTATTTGTTGCATTTGTGGATGGAGGAACAAATTAGAGCCTCCTATTTTATCACTTTGTTGGAGATACCCTTTTTTATTAATTTTTACTTATTTAAAAAATTTGTACGTAAAAGTTGTAGGTATTTTTGGCATACATGTGATATTTTGATACAAGTAATGTGAACTGGTAAGCGAGGGATCAAAGAGGGGATGGGGGTGGGTTAAATTATACTTGCTTAGAAGGAATAATATCTAGTGTTCAGTGGCACAGGATGACTACACTTAATAATGATTTATTGTACATCTCAAAATAATTAATAGAGCGAAGGTGGAATGTCGCTGATACCAAGAAAAGATACGCCAGACTCAGTGAGGTGGAATGTCGCTCATAATGAGAAAAGATATGCCAGACTCAGTGGCTCACGGCTATAATCACAACACTTTGGGAAGCCAGGGAAGGAGGATTATTTCGGTCTGGGAGTTTGAGACCAGCCTGAACAATATATCCAAAGCATTGTCCCTACCACACACACACAAACACAAAAGCTGGGCACGGTGGTTGGTGTGTGTCTGTAATTCCAGCTACTTGGGAGGCTGAAATGGAAGTCTTGTGCATTTGAACCCAAGGAGTTCGAGGCTGCAGTGAGCCTTGACGGTGCCACTGCAGTCCAGGCTGGACAACAGAGGGAGACCCTGTGTCTAAAAAAGAAAAAACAAAGAATAAATGCTTGAAATGAAGGATACCTTATTTATTATTTACATATTTGTAGATTTATATAATTATTTTTGATTTGGAGTCTCGCTCTGTCACCCAGGCTAGAGTACATGGTGCAATATTGGCTCACTGCAGCCTCAGGCTCCCAGGTTCAAATAATTCTCCTGCCTGAGCCCCCCAATTAACTGTAACATACTACAGGTGTGCACCACCATGCCCAGCAAATTTTCATATTTTTGCTAGAGATGGGGTTTCATGGTATTGGCCAGGCTGGTCTGGAACTCCTGACCTAAAGTGATCAGCAAGCCTTTGCCTCAAAGTGCTGGAATTCAAAACCTGAGCCGTCACACATGGGCAGTAAGATACATAAGACTAGGGAGTTTTATTTTTTCACTTCATCCTCACAATCCTACATTGTAGGTGAATGAAAACACAACTTCATAACACAAATAACTCACTTGAAAATCCAAGTTGGTAACTTCTCCCTTTAAAATTATTTGCACCCTTACCTATAGAAATTGAAGATGTTGTCAAAATTTTATCAAGAAAATATTTCCTCATTGCAGATTAGTCTGTTAATTGTAAGAATTATGGATTGTAAAACTTCTGGAACTTCATGTATTTCATTTCTTTAGGTTGTACAATGTATAATCAGAAAAATTAATTGGTTTAGTTATTTAAGTCCAAATCTTTTTATTTTTACCATTTGATGATTTATTAAACCTTTAAGCAATCCCCTGTCTGAAATGTTATGCTGCTGTTTTGTTTTATACACTTCACTTCCCAAAAGTATGAGGTTGAAAGTGCTTCCATTCATATAACCAATTAAGTCTGATAGGCTGAGAGTGGTGGCTCATGCCTGTAATCCTAGAACTTTGGCAGTCTGAGGAGGGTGGATCAGGATTTTAAGAACAGGCTGGCAAGTGTGGTGGAACGCTGTCTATACTAAAAATACAAAAAATTAGCCAGCTGTAGTGCACACTTATCTAATACCAGTTACTCAAGATGCTGAGGCAGGACAATAGATTGGACCCAGAAGGTGGAGGTTGTAGTAAGCCAAGATGGAGCCACTGCACCCCTGCTTGGGTGACAAAGCTACATCCCATCTCAAAACAAACAAACAAACAAACAAACAAAAAACTGATAAAATTCCAACCACTCTAGATTATTCCTATTTGTAACAACTTATTACTACACCATGACTTACAACAACCATTGTCAAAACTTTTAAGAAAAAAATAACATGACTACCTCCCAAGACCAAACACTTACTTTCCACCATTTAAACTAGGAAAATTTAATTTCATTATGCTATGCACTTGAGAAACTTAGCTGGTTCACTTTTCATTTAGGTAAAAAAAAGTTTTCATTAGCATTATCCCTCTTCAGTCACAGAATGCTTCAAGTAGAATGTTCTGGATGTCTTAAATTTTAATATCAACCACATCTAATTATTTCCTTTGACCTGTACTATTCCTCTAAAGGATAAACATATGGTGAGGCAGAGAGTCTTGTAGTCTTTCTGAAGACTACTCAAACATTGTAAGCTTGTAAGTTTTTAAAGAGAAACAGCCTATTTAGAAAACTTGTGCAGCTTGCAAGGGAGACATAACATATGCCTAATTTTGTATCTATTTATGTTCAAAGAAATAAAGGAAAATGTTCAACAAACAATGCAATTTACTCTCTTATTGAATTTGCTTTTAAGCATGTGCAGCTGAGCAAAAACATTAGGCATTTTGCATTACATGTAAAATTTTATTCTGAAAATTTTAATGTAGATATTACATCTAAACAGATAGTTTTCAAATAGCATTAGCTAGTATGAAATTACTTGGAAATAAAATTCCCTTTATTTATTGGAAATAAAATTCCTTTGAATACCTCAAAAAATTCATGGAGGAAGTTAGTATCTACCTCTCTCCACAAAACATACATGTTTCTTTTAGTAAGACGCAGGTAACAATGCAGAAATAACAGGTCAATTTTCGATTTGCAAACAAGGTTTAGTATGCAATAACTATTATTTGAATACTTGCTTTCATATCTGCTTCAGCCTCTTTTGTCAGATCCACCTTCCCCACCATCTCCTGTAGATGACAAATATCTTGAGCTACCACATGTTTCACAAGGAGCAGGGTGTACCCTATCCAGAGAAGGTAGATTGCTTTGGTCTTTTCTGTCAACGTGCCCACAATCACGGGAATAAAAATCACCACAGCTCCTTGAGTAACTCTCCCGACTTATGCCATATCTATCTCATTTATTGCTATAATCATGGTGGCTGCTTCCACCATAAGACAACAGAGGCACTCCTGCAGATGGTGCACCATGAGAGGTCCCTGCAGGGGACCCTGCAGGGTTGATAAAATAATATGTTGGACTATATTTAAACATTATTACTGCTATCACTAAAGCATGATTAAGTTAAAGTACTATTTGGAAATATCTACTTTCCTCTGTCTTTGTCGACAGGATATTAATTATGCCTGCAATAATCAGAAGGTTTTATTAATAAGAAGTGTAAGAGAAGTTATTTTGAAGCTTAACAAATTTAATTCTAAAGTAAAAGTTGAGTCACATTTTCTGAACGTGAACTGAAGTTCTCACCTTCATATCATTCCCTATGCTTTCTTCTGTTAAGAATACTCAATATTTAGACATGTTATATTTGTCCCTCGTAATTTTCCTTAGAATTTCATTAAAATAACGATCTGGTCTATTAAACACAATTCTATAATTTACAAATCCATCCCGGACCCTTACCCTATCTCTGAAATGCATCTCTATAAGAACTTCCACTTGGACGTTCAGAATGATCTCTAACATCACCTCACCACAGCCATCACAATCACTAAATTGAAAAAAAAAATTCTTAATGTCAGAATGAACCATTTAAGAATTCTATTTGACAAGTCCAGGAAATGTTGTAATACCTATATCCTCTAGAGAAATGTTCATCCCAACTAGAATGACCATAATCATGGTATGCATAGTCTCTAGACAGTGGAGCATAATCCCTAGATTCTCGGGAAAGTGGATGATTTCTGTGGGCATAAGTTTAAACAACAAATATTAAATTTTCAACTTCTAGTATCCAAAACATAACTAACTTACAACTTAAACAAAATTAAAAGGCCAAACATCTAAACAGATATTTCTCCAAATAAAATAGGCAAATGCCCAAAAAGCACATGGAACAGATACTCATAATCGGTGATTCAGAAAAAGCATTTCAAATCCAAAGTGAGATACCATACTTCCCACACACACTAGAATGGCAATAAAAAGCAGGAAATAGCAAGTGTTTGAGAGGGTGAAGATAAATTGGAACCTTGATACAATGCTAGTTGGAAGGGAAAATGATGCAGCTGCTATGGAGACATGTGGTGTTTCCTCAAGAAAACAAACATAATTATTACAGAACCAAGCAATTCCATTTATATATACACCCAGAATTGAATAAGTGTACTCAAACAAATACTGGAGCATAGAAATACTGTGGTAGAAACAACCCAAATAAAATAATGGGTTAACCGCTTGTGGAAGGATTTAAGTGCTATGATGTAAATGAAACTTCGGGACATGATACAAAAGGAAAGGAGACAGATACAAAAAGTCATGTAGTGTATAAGCCCATTAACATTAAATGCCCACAACATGTAAGTTCAGAGGCAGAGCAAAGACTGATGTTTGCCAGTAGCTGAGGGAAGGAAGAAAATGAAAGGGACTGCTTAACTGGTAGCTGGAGTTTTAGTTTGTAGTCATGAAAATGTTTTGGAACTTGATGGAGTTAGCTGCTGCACAACACAGGATGTATTTAATGCCACCTGTTTACCTTATAATATTTAATTTTATTATGTGAATTTCATCACCATAACAAAAAAAATCAACTTCTAAAAAATATTTTCTTTACCTTTCCTTAATTGCATAACCATCATCTCTTGGTGACATACGGTCATTTCTCCAGGAAGAGATTGGCTCTCTGCATGGAGGACCTCCATAATTCTCTCTTCCACGTGATATGGGACCTTTAATATTAAAATGATGAAACAGGGAAAGAACAGCAAATCCGAAATACTATTTTCTCTTCTCTCAAACAACTTTTTAAAATTATTTCTTCTATGACTCCACTATGACTCCATTTTTCATTCCCTAAATTACTAGAAAGTCATGACACTGTGAATATTTCTTATGGCTTTGGATAATCCCATGGCTACTGCAAGGCCAGTTCTTCTAACAGAGCTGAAGACAGACATTAATTCTTAGGTAAAAGTTCATCTGTAATGGTAAATAACTAGTTAGTTATTGTTTTTCCTTTCATATGAATTACTGATGACTACCAATGATACAGGGAAGACATGTAAAAGCACCAAACTCTTCACAGATTTTTAAGTTTACATCCATTGTCCCTTCTCAGCTGAAGAAGGTAAATTTTCCTATGTTGTTCAATCCACCTCACACACACAAATGATGCTACCTTTGAATGATTGGATGCTAAATTTTTACATAAAAGGTCTTCTTTATCTCTAAGTGGTTGGCTCTACCTTAAATGTTGACAAATTGAAATATACTAGTGAAAACTTTCTAATGATGGCCAAGATTTACTTTTACTGCAATAAGCAATCCTGTTAAAGGGGTCATTACGACATTGTTGCTATTTCAAAATAGAAAATGTTCTCCTTTAATATACTCTTTATGTGCTATTCCTTAGAGGTCAGTCTTTCACCTATGATATGTTCACTGGCTAATTTTCCAATGGAAATGTGTTGGCTTATGTATGCTGAAGTCAATAAATATCTAATTTCACCGATACTCTACATATGAAATGTAAAATTGAAAACAGCAGTTTTCAATTTCCTCCATATTGGGGTGGAGGACTAAGTAAGAATTTTAATTTGTTCTGCCTAAACTTCTTTGCTAAGAACTTTTATTTACTGTCTTGCTTTCTTCTGTTCTGTCTGCAATCTTAACAATTCTCCTTCTCAAAAATATTACTTCTATTCAATCCTACCGCTCACCTCAGGTTGCTTAGTTCTAAATTCTCTCCTCAAATAATTTCCAGTCTTACGCTAAGGATCTTGTGTTAATGTTTAAACATCCCGGTAAAATCTTAATTATTGATTTACATGACCTTATATTTCACATCTCTGCACTTCTATGATATCCACTTAATTTAAGAATATTGGACTCCTTCATGTCTACCTTTCAAGACTTGATTTTATTTTTAAATAATAGGTAAGCCCAGTGACTCCTTTTCTGCTAAATGCTCTTGTAGTTCTTTTGAATCTTCATAGAAGCAGTAAGAATGCCTTGCACATAAACATTATTGAGGTCTCAGAAGCTGGATGGTCAGGCTCAGCAGCTCACAGTGCGAGTCAGTGTGGAAGGCAGAGACAGCTGGACTGCTTGAGCCGCTGGCTTTTATGTCAGTTTTGACAATGTAGTGACATCCTCTGTCTACAAAAATACAGGAAAAAAAAATTAGCTAGGTGTGGTGGTGCATGCCTGTAGTTGCAGCAACTCAGGAGGCTGAAACAGGATAATTGTTTGAGCCCAGGATTTTGAGGCTGTAGTAAGCCATCATTTCACCAATGCACTCTGACCTGGTAAGAGCAAGACTCCAACCCAATAAAGAAACTGAACAAGCAATTTTTCAATTGGCTTGCCAGGGGACCACTACCAGGGGACCTAGGAAATGGAAGAATTCATTAGAAGAAGAAGCCTATCATCAAAGAATACTGCTAGGGACTTTTAGAAAAATTAAGGGGAATTATCTAGCAAACACAGGATTAAGAGGAATGTTGGCCTCACTCTAATCACTTCTTTCAACTGCAGTGAGAAGCTCGAGTATTTCTTCAACATAAATCTGAGTGTACCTAGTGAGATAGAAAGTATAATAAAAGCTATTGATCAGTAATTATGCCCAATGATGTGTCACTTCTGTTTTGTTCAATGAACTTAAATTTAAGAATCCAGTTAAAATAGCTCATTTTTAGTCATACAAAAAATATGGTCTTTTATCAGGTAGCATTTACCTTGGCCTCCCATCCAACTATTGCTTCTTGCCATAGCAGAAGGAGCAGATGTTTTAGGAGGAGGACCTCCACTTCGTGAAGATGGACCTCTTTTAATTGGAATGGCTCCCCTAGAAGAACTCGTGTTGAGATCAAGAGCGTATCCACCATCATCTGTATTTCAAACAAAATCATTTTAGTTAACTAGCATCACTGTTTCTTGAATGGCTAAGTTTTGTTGTTTTTCTACATATTATAATGTTACAAATTCACATTTGTCTAAACTAATAAAATTAACATTTCTATATGAAATTAGTACAATTCAAGCAATAAAAGTCTGTTTAGAAAATCTAGAAGGAAACTCAAGAATTATAATATATTGGTGTGAGAGAGAGATGTGGGAAAAATGGGGAGTGAACAGGGAGCAGAAATCTATCAGTAAAATATCTAAGTATAATATACATAAAGAAAAAATATTAAAAAATGATAAATGACTGTTTATATCATTCTATTATGAGGAAAAATTTTCAAAGCATATCAAAAAGATAAACTAAATTCCATTCAAAGAAACTCAAATATTTGCAATATCAAAAGGTGACACATCAGGAAAATATATTATCTCTAAAATTTGTTAACATAGTATAGAATTCTTACAATTTCCTTGTGAAACACTAATTTTCAGATTAGACTATGCTAAATTTTAATAATCTTTAAGAATTGCTTATTAAATAATATAAAAATATTTATATATCTACAAATCTGTAGATATATGCCAATTACTAGGTGGTGTTACAGGTTAGAGTACGCACATTCTCATACATGGCAGAGTATTATTGAATCTCACCCTCAAGATCAGTGGAGACAAAATTACCATGAAGCTATGCATCGTAAAATGCAGCAAACACTGCAATTTCAACTTTAAAAACACATCTCCAATTAATTACACATCTGGTCATTAAAACACAAAATTAAAGATCGATTTTTGAAGGTTGGTTAATAGATAATATGTTAACCAATAGGTTGATTGATTGATTGATTGATTGAGATGGACTCTTGCCCTATTGCCCAGGTGGGAGTACAATGGCATTATGTCAGCTCACTGCAGCTTCTGCCTCCCAGGTTCCAGTGATTCTCCTGCCTCAGCCTCCCGAGTAGCTAAGATTAGAAGTATGTGCCACCATGCCAAGCTAATTTTTTGTATTTTTAGGACAGACAGTTTGCACCATGGTTGCCAGGCTGGTCTGGAACTCCTGACCTCGTGGTCCACCCACCCCATACTCCCCAAGTGCTGAGATGACAGGCGTGACCCACCTCGCCCACCCCCATCCAATATATATATATATTTTTAAATACATAGTTTGTTTTTCTTTTTTATGTAGAAATTGACCCCTCATTTCTACTGTGTAAATCACTCATAAATACCATTTTCAGTGACTCACCTTCCAGCAAGAAAGATACATACATATCTGTGAAGCAGTGGTGTTTTGTCCTTTCCAGAGTCATAGACTTTTTTTAGAAATTAAAGTTCTACGTTTCTTAAATTGAAAATGCTTTATGGCAGGCCAATGTACAAACTCTCCATATGAAAATTACAAAGCAATAGATTTGCATACATGTTTGCACATGTATACACAAAAAAAAACAAATATTGGAAAATCAATCCTAAGTACTGAATTACTTTTTTTCCTGTTGGAAAGTTTTAAATATTCCATTGTATTTTGATAATACAACCGATATGAAGTTCTGGGCCCCAAAGTAGAAAACTCTATGAAGTATAATTAATATAAATGAGTTCTTCAGAAAACCTGTTGAGTACAGGCAATCAGCATTCATAAACTCAATTCAGTTTGAAATTTGTGTTATTTCAATGCAAACTTATTACAATTTTAAAACAAATTTTAGATATTAGTGCAATCATTCTTATAATACACCTTTAGTACTTAGAAATAATTTTGCTTCTTATCAATAAGTTAATTTTCTTATCAATAAGAAAATTACTTCTTACCAATAAGTAAATTTCCCAAAATAAATAAAATTGGGAAATTTTGATATCTTCAAACTTATTTTCTTTCAGTCCTATGGTTCCATCTTTATATTTTAGAACATTACCCAAGTGTCCTTCATGTGAGGGCAGCCACGGTCTTGTTCCTCCACTACTTCCTCTTGCAGATCTCAGACTTCCTGAAGGGCTTCTGTTTCTTGAAGAAGGTGGTGGTCTCCGCCTACCACCACTTGGAAAAGATGGTTTCTTTGCTTGTTCTACTTTTATTTCTTTTCCATCCAAAGACTAAAAGTATTAAGAGTACTATCAATAACGTTGGCAAGATTAAACCTAAGCACATTTTACAAACATTTCTACATCAACTATAGTTCAATTCTAGATATTTTCTCCCAAAGCAAATTTTTTTCCTCCTAAAATGAACACGTCTTTCACAATACCAAATTTGAGACATTTACTGAACACACGCCTTCCATTAAGGGATCAAACACAAATTCTATTATTCAAATTCCTTGAAAACTCCTCAATTATTAAAAAAAAAAAAACACCTCAAACAAAAAAGATTAACCCATCACACATTCTATGGAAGAATGTGGCATGTCTTTTTTTTACAATATATCATCCACTTCATCTTTGTATTCGCATCACTGATTTAAAAGTTTCAGTGTCCCAAGGAAACTTGTGTCATTTAAAAAAATGAGGTTACTTATTCAAAATGATTAGTCACATTAGTCATATGAGTTGTTTCTTGTTTGATCTGCTAACACTTACGTAAAATATCCCCATATGATTTATAATTTTATATTTACTCTAGAAACGTTTCTGTAAATGTGATCCTTGTTTGATCTCATTAAGGTTTCTTGCCTTATTCATTTCTTATTTTGCCTTAGACGTGCCCCTAAAAAATGACTCTTAATATAGTACTTCATGTTGTTTCTCAGAAATGCTTAAATGTGCTAATTAATTTCACAGTAACATTTTTCAGTATGATCTTTTCTATAGGCCAAAGTAATTTTTGAAAACAGTTCAGATAATAAATAACTCTATTTTAAAATTACATGTTTTTTGTTATTTGGGGGAAGATCTTAAATCCCTTACAAGACCTCTTGCAGCCAAATTGCCAGTTGTTCCTACCTTGAAACTTCTGCTGTTATTTCTGGGCCCAAAATATTTTCCCCAGATTTGCGCATGGCTGCTTCCTTCCCAGTGTTTCAAAGTCAGTCAAAATTCCTTAAACTGTTAATTGCCCCTGATAACTCTAAGAACCTCCTTTGTTGGCCGTCTTAACATTTATGTGCATATAACTTCATATTTATGTTTACACAATAAAATATGTGAGATGAAGTAATTCAGAAATAACATTGGCTGGGCGCAGAGGCTCATGCCTGTAATCCTAACACTTTGGGAGGCCAAGGCGGGTGGATCATGAGGTGAAGAGATAGGGATCATCCTGGCCAACTGGGTGAAACCCAGTCTCTACTAAAACTGCAAAAATTAGCTGGGCGTGGTGGCATGTGCCTGTAGTCCCTGCTACTTGGGAGGCTGAGGCAGAGAATTGCTTGAACCCGGGAGGGGGAGGTAGCAGTGAGCCGAGATCGTCCCACTGCAATCCAGCCTGGCAACACTGTGAGACTCCGTCTTAAAAAACAAAAAAACCAAACAAGCAAAAAATCTATGCAAATTGCCTGCTCTTGTGCTTGAAAACTAGGGGGGAAAAGGAAATTATCATAGATTACTATACGTAAGTAAAAATTATCTCCACAACTACCACAAATTTACTCTGGGTTTCTACCACAGCTTAAAATACTAATTTATAAGAGTGAATAAAAATGTACTTTCTGCTATGTGTCAGCAACTCTACTAGATGCAACAAAAATAAAAGCAACTAGGAAGCCTTAAATATGCACTGTAGACAATTTAACCATCAATAGATTAATACATGGTACAGTGAGTATAAAATATCTACGATTTGCAACGAGGAAGAAAATAGAAAATTGAAGTTGTTTTTGAAGGATGAATTGTTATTTCTGAGACATACATAGGAAAGAATAATTGTCAAAAAGTCCAAAAAATCATTTTAGGGGTACCATAAAGAGTGACAGGAGCTAAAAACAGATTTGGATAATGTTATAAAGCAGAAAAACAGATTTGGATAATGTTAGAAAGCAGAAAAGCTCTAAAGGGCCCAGAATGGAATGATCTTGACTAGAATGTAAAGGAATTCAATAGTTAATAGAATTACATAAAATTTTAAAGCTTTAGTAAACACACAATCCCTAGATTTAAGACTCAATTGGACAAGAGACCATTGGTTTGATCAAAACACGTTCTCAAACACATTGGGAAAATGAGCAATTAGGTATTCATGTTACATAAATCACTCTGGTGACAGGAAAAAAAACATCCTTAGGAGAAAAGAGCAAGGATGGGGCAAAAAATGCCAGTTACTTCTTCTGTTGTCCAACTTCAATGTTCTGATATTGTTTTCTATTTTCAAGTACTTAACACATCCTTAAATGTGAAGGTCTTATTTAAATGTACTTTCTCAAGAATATATTTGCAGAAAATGGGAGAGAATCTTTCCTTCCTGTGAGTCTGTCTAGATGTCTATCCACAGTTTGTATATGCTATAGAAGTATTTCCATGAATTGGAAGTAATTCCACTGATAGCATTTAAAAAATGTTAACTTAGTCCTTTCATTTAGAGGAGGGTTCCTTCTAGGTTTTAATGCTCTTGGAAACCTTTGAAAATCTATTTACACCCATATTGAAATACAAAAATAGAAAAAAAGTTACCATATATTAATTTATGTAATGTTAATTGCAGTACCCTTCCAAATACACTTGCATGTGTATGGCACAAAGAAGACGATGGCTAAAGCATTTCAGTCCATATGGCATTCTACTATCTTCAACACTTTAGTTATACTAAAAAGACCTAGAAATACTGTTAACTGAAAACCAGAATTAGAGTATTATTAATAAGGGACTCTTACCTTTCCATTCATATCTCTGGCAGCATTCTTAGCATCTGCAGCATTCTCAAAAATAATGACCACAAAATCTCTGGACTTACTGGTTCGACCTTTTATCAAAAGAACTAAGATACATAAAAACATTTTATATTTATAGAATGGACTCACCAAGTTACTAACCATCTGAAAGTTACATCAAACCAAAAAATAACTGCATTTCACATCACTACTATGATTCTTAATACTAAGTCACCCCTATAGTCAGCCTATTTTATTCCAGTTTGTTCCCTAACTCCATAACACATTTACTTTTCCTCATTTTCCTTTCTAAGCAGTAAGTGATTCTTACCCTTCACCTGCTGCTATGAGAATTTTCCAAATATCAGATAGATACTTCAAAATAAGAGTTTACAAATCACAAGGCGTTTTAATGTATGTATACAATGAACTTTGAAAAATACATACTTTAAAATACATACATAACCTACATATTTTAAATAACATATTGAAATATACATACGAAAATACACACAAACAGAGACACGCACACACACAAAACACATGGCTTTAAGAGTTACCTTCCAAAAGGGGACCATGTTTTGCAAATACTTCTTTAAGCACCTTTTCATTGGCTTCTCTATTGAGGCCACCAATGAAAAGCTTGCCATGACAATCTGCTTCTACCATTGTGCTGTAAATGGTTAAAAAAAATCTATATTAGATAAAAATAGACAAACTAAAAAGATAAAATTTTATTACATACTGTGTTGGAAATTCAAGTAAAAGTCCCTTCCAGAGGCTAACATCTTTTTAGTATTTCTTAGTTTAAATATGTAAAATTCATAACATACAGAGCAAAAGGGGCACTGACTTCATGGACAAATGCTGCATTTTATTATGTAGGTGACAAAATCTAATTTATAAAAATTAGATAAGAAAAGCTACTGTAATTTTCCTAAGTTGCAATATGAAGGATGCTCCCAGTTAAATAATTTTATTTGAAAACTATATATTTATGAGGTATGGTGTGATGTTTTGTGTATTTTTTTTTCTTGAGATGTATATCTCCTGTTGCTAAAGTGCACTGCTCACTACAGCCTCCTCCACCCAGACTCAACTGATCCTCCCACGCTTCAGCTTCCCAAGTAGCTGGCTGGGCAATTTTTGTGTGTGTGTGTTTTTTTTGTTTGTTTGTTTGTTTTTAAATAGACATGGTTTTCCTTATATTGCCCAAACTGGTCTCCAACTCCTGGGCTCAAGCAGTCCACTGGCCTGGGACTACCAAAGTGATGGGATTTCAAGTGTGAACCGCCACACCCAGCGTGATATTTGTATGAAAGATTAAATCAAGCTAATTAAAATGTTCTAGGGGGAGATCATTTTAAGTATTTTAGCATCTTTTAGTGATTTGAAATATATAATAGATCAAGGATCCCCAAACACTGGCCTTCACGCCATACCTGTCTGTGGCCTGAATGTAATGCCTGAGGATAACCTGTAATACCTGTCTGTGGAGAATGTAACGCCTGAGGATGACCTGAGGTGGCACAGTTTCATCCGGAAACCTCCCTAGCCGCCTCCCACCCCTCCTGCCCCACCCTGTCCCGGTGACAGCCCCACTGCCCCACCTGCCCCCTCTCACACCTCTTCCACCAGAAGCCCCGCCCCACCACGTGCCCCTCGGGGCCCTGCCGCCAGCCCGTACCCCTAAACGTGTCCATCTCACTGCCTTCTTCCGCTGGGCAACACTTGTCTGAGGAAACATTGTCTTCCACCAACCGGTCCCTGGTGCGAAAATGGCAATAGAGTAAAGGAGCCCATTATGTTATTCAGGCTGGTCTCCAACTCCTGACCTCAAGCCATCCTCCTACCTGCACTTCCCAAAATGCTAGGATTACAAAAGTAAGTCAGTGTGTGAAGATAGTAGAATAACAAGCAGATTTATTTTGTTTTCGTTTAAGTCTATCCAACTCCATTTAACTCCATTACACCCACTTATTCGGTTTAAATTACTTAGGTGCCACAGATACATGAAACATGTTTCAAATACTGTCATACAAGGAAGGAGACAATTACAGGCTTTACAGAGGCAAATTTAAACCGAGGTTATTTATGGCCCCAGACTTCTACATACACTAAAATACGTCAAAATTTGATAATTCCCGCCAAGCAAATCACATATGTGACATGTGCTGACTAAAGTACGGGTTTTTAATCGCAGTGGTTAAGTATGTTGCCTGTATTTTGAATTATGACGACATTCACAGAGAAAAACTGCTTTAATAAAAAGTGCCCATGAAAACAATGGCGCCTTAGCACCATCTCCCAGAACTTGCCCACATGTCAGATATGTCCGACAGTTAAAGGTAGAATCTTCAAGAAAAATCAAAGAGTTTAACAAAAATGAGTTTCTTTAGAGCACTAAGGAGTTCTCTCCCCACTGTCTCCTCCCTTAATTCAAGCCCACATATAGAAAGCCCATTCGCTTTTATAGACAAAATCCCAAACCTTTGCTTTCTAGTCTTGCCGAGAGACCAACCTGTCCAGAGAAACAGAAAATACAGGTGCTTTTCAGGAGGACAAACAGCCTCAGGGTCTCCCGTCACTCAGGTCGTATGCATCCGGCTTCGGGACACCACAGGGCCAACTGCAGGAAAGACCGCTGCAGCTGGCCTGAGTGGGAAGCCATGCCCGGAAATCACGCCTACCTCCAGCCAATCATTGGGAAGGCAGTGGGCATCTGCCAATTATTGCAAGAGCGGTAGGCGTCTCCTGAGGAGCCCCTCCCCTGGGTGGCCTGCAGCTCCATCCTCCCGCGGTAGTCCTCCTCTGAGAAGATGCTTGTGCAAGGTGGTGGTGGGTTCAGGCACACGCAGACTGTGAGCCCTTTGGAATTGTGACATGGAAGACCTATACCCTAACTGGCATCCTGAGTGCCGCAAGCCATTGACTCACAGGGAACACATGAAACATCTCACTTCATTAGGCAGGCTAGGCTGATGGTACTGAATATTGGAGATCCAGAGGCAAGAGAGAGGGTCTAGTCCTGCCTGCTGGGGCAAGGGCAGCGGCGGTGGTTTTCGGGGAGTGGGGCCGAGGGGGCATCTGGGAGGAAAGTCATCTGGCACCTTCCTGGGGTGGAATTCGTCAGCACCGGAATTCAAAACCCCGCAAGGACTCTTTCAGATCTAGGGAAATACAGACTCCAAGTTCCATGCATCCTCCCTAGGATGTTGCACTCCCAGGGGTATTCCAAAGGATCTCTTGTCCTATGCCCTGGGCACACCAGAGACAAGCTGCCGTGGTCGCCCATCCAATGACCTGTGTTCACTGCCTTGGTGGCGCAGAGGCTGCTGTGAGTGCAGCACCCACCGGCCGCGGTGCCTGCTAGCGGGGCTCTGGAAGTCCAGGGCCTCTGCCTATGGCTCCTGTATGCAGCTAACCATGCAGGGAATCTGGACCTCATGGTGACTGCGGCGGACTGTGGGCCCTGCGGGACTCCCCAGGAATCCTGGGTCCACGTAGGTGTGAGACCGTGATTCTCAGCTAGGCGAGGCCCCCGGGCCTCTCGAGGAGCGGCCCCCAGAGTCTAGGGGTGCCAGGGGCGTGGGGTGGGCGGCTCAGACCTTGGTCTGTGGGAGCCCTAGGAGGGCACCGTGTTAAGTCTGGAGGCTCTGCGGGAGAGGGCGGCCTGGGGGGAAGAGGCGTGCTCCTGGTAAATGACATCACGACAGAAGTGGAAGTGGTGGCCAAGGAAGAGGCCGACGTGGAGCAGCAGCAGGAGGACCACTGGGCAGAGCCGGGCCCTGGCCCCAGTATGCCCCGGCCCGCAACGGACTCGCTGGAGGTCCATCATTTGCAGCTGGGCTTTGTAAATGCCTCAAGCCACAGGGCATCCCCGGTTTCCGGGCCAGAGCCATGTCTTCGCAGCTGCTAATTCGGGATGGCTGGCAGCAGGGGGTGGGCGCCTAGGTCCCAGGAGCAGGGTTGCGGGGAGCCAGCTGGTAGGCACTGGAGGTCATCCAGGAGTCAGGGGATGAGGAACAATGAAGGGAGCAGAGGCCAGACTTCTGCAGATAGGAGGGCAGCTTGCTTGCAGTTGCCCTGAGAGCACGTAGAGTAGGGACAGGAAGCAAAGCACAGCACTCACAAGAGAGAATAGGAGCGCAAAGGACCCTTTATGCACTGCAGAAAGTCGAAGGGCACATTTCCCTGGGAAAGTCCCTGGAGGAAGGGGAGTCTCTATGCCCATGCCAGCCATGGAACTACCCCTATTCCCTGTGCCTGTGTCCAGCAGGCTTACCCCAGAAACACATGGTGCTCAAGACTTGGGCCCAGATATGGACCAGGGTCACAAATGATGAAGTCCTGCTGAGCTACATGATGGATTTGCAGGTTAGGCTGCTGAGCCTGAATCTGTGGGAGTGGTCCAGTGCCTGGGTGAGGTTGCGGTCCCCCTGGGGCCCAGGGGTGTCTAAGCAGGACAGCTGAGAAGGGGAAACACATGCTTCACTCCAGCTAGCAGGCCACTTCAGTCCAGCTACATGAAATGGTCCTTTGAGTCCATCCTGTTTCTCCTTCTTGACCAGGTAGATGGAGGAACTCAGCCACCCCAGGTACTGGCATCAGGATGAAGGTTTCCTTTTGTAACAGCCTTTACTTCCACAATGAAGTGATCATTCAGGAGTACTGCGTTGGCATCCTTGGTAAGGAGTGCCTCCCAGCAAGGTAGGGGAGGTTGTGTGTGGGAGGGTATGTCTGGCATGAACCTTCCTGATTCCTATCCCTCCAAGAAACAGGGTGTCTCATTCCACTGCAGTCCAGTGGTTGTGGGATCATGAAGGTCAAGCCTCCAGCTGCAGGCAGTACACCTACATCTGACCTTCTTCAGCTGGTTGGTTGCCCCTGGCTACCCAGGTCCCGGCAGGATTGCTGAGATGGGTGCCACGGTGGGGCATCATGGGAAAAACCTTGCTGGTCATTCCTTGGCCTCTGGGGAACTGGCTTTGAGCCATGACCTGACCTGTCCTGTACCCCCTTCTTCAGTCCCCCAGATCATCAGCCAGGGCCTGTGGCTCAATCCCCTTCAGTACTTCCCGAGGGAGGGAGGCCATTAGAGAGGGAACAGAGAGGAGGTCAGGTTAGGAGAACCCAAGCTTCAGGGAAGAGACTGCAGTGAGCAATCCCAGGCCATCCATGGGCTGAAGGAGAAACGGACTTCAGGGAACTGTAACACTCACATTTCAGGATTAGGGCACCTTAAGTCACCTGAGAGGCATAAGTGTCTAAGGTCAGTGGGTGAGAAGCAAGTCTTAAGGGATAACTTGCTCAACATCTCTAGTTGGCTCCCTTCCCCACCCTGAGGCTGACTAACACTTGGGGCTCAGTTTGGGCTCAACCAGGGCCCTCTCACCCTCCATGCAGATGTCCCCCCAAGGCCTGTCTAGGTCTGCGTCCTCCCAGAATGGCTCTCCCAGGCCCATCATTTTCGGTTACGATGAACCCAGGCTCCCCTGACGTGATTTCTCCTTTCTGCCGTCTTCACTCACACTTCCCTGCTACCCAGACAAAAGAGGCCACTACACAGAGAATCTGGAGGACCACATTGGGCTCAGAGGAGGAAATGTGAAGAGACTGCAAAATGGCTGACTCCTCTGGTATGTGCCCAGGGAGGGAAACTGGCCGGGAATTAAGACCCACTTGGGTACTGGTGTGGACACCCAGTGTTGCTTATCATGATGAAGACCTGCTTTGTCGCATCACCTAATATTAATATGGAGGTTATTTTCTTAGAATAGTGAAACAAAGAGTATGAAGAAATAGTGTTTGTTCAGATTTGTGTGGAAATACTGCAGACACATCCATTTTCTGTTACAATTCTTATGTGAGACTTGAAGTGCTTACTGAGTTTTAAGATAGATTTTGATTGTTCTGCTCCTGCAAATATTATGATCATTTTTGCAATATAGAGACATAGAATCCAGAAAATTTTTAAGTGACTTTCAGCTTCTTTTAGAGTACATACTTATAAATTTTGATTTTTTTCCCCTTGTGGTTCTCTTCAGTATATTATTTGTACTTTATATGCAAGCTGATACATTTGTTTTTTTTAAATTTGCCTCTTGTGCCACCTTTGTTTAAAGGACATTTTTTTCCTGTTAGATATGTGAGTTTGCCTGTGAGCTCTTTTTCTAGTACAGATTTTTTTTTCCATTTTTTTAGATTTGTGTGTGTGTGTATGTGTGTGTGTGTGTGTTGAGACAGAGTCTGGCTCTGTAACCCAGGCAGGAGGGAAGTGTCATGATCTCAGCTCACCTCAACTTTAGTCTCCCAGCTTCAAGCGATTCCGCTGCCTCAGCCTTCCCAAGGAGGTGTGATTACAGGCGCATGCCACCATGTCCAGCTGATTTTTGTATTTTTAGTTGACATGAGGTTTCACCATATTTGCCATGCTGGTCTCAAACTCCTGACCTCAAGTGATCTGCCCGCCTTGGCCTCTTAAAATGCTGGGCTTACAGGTGCAAGCCATGATGCCCGGCCTCATTTGTTTGTTTATGTATTTTAACCCTTGTTGTATTGTCTTCGTGAACACGTATTTTAGAGTTATTGAAATAATATGCTTTATTTATTTACTCAATACTTAAGTAGGATTTTAAAAGTAATGTTTTCATTCACTAAATACAGTATTGTGAATAGGTTAAACCTTGTATAGTATTGTCATTTTCTTTTTCATAAATTCTTCAAGAACTCTGATACTGTTTTTCCCCCACCTGAGGAGAATATGCAGATAGTTACAAAACATTGTGTGAGTTAGTTGGGATAAAAATATAATTTGAAAGACTAATATTCACAAATACAATTCCACATTTGTATTTCGCATCATTTTGAAAATTTTTTTTGCTGATAAATAAAATCCTGCATTCACGTTCATGTTAAATATGAACTTTTGAATCATTTTCAAGAATGAAAACAATCCAAGGCCATGCATTAGTTCAGGAAGTAGTAGAAAGCAGTTATTACGAAGAAAAGCCATATTTATTGAAGGTATATTTAGATAGATTTTGGAAGGCTAAGTCAAAATTTTCCTTGTTGATGCTCTGGCGTTTTATCATACTGTGACCAGACTGTGGCATCAGTAGTTATAGTCACTAGGCTACCAAAGTCCCTGGGCTGCCGTAATTATTATTGAGGAAAGTGGCAGTGTGGTTGGTTGTTTAAGGAGACTAGAGGAGTTCGGAGTTTCTACCCAAGGCACAAGGGCCTGGTTTATTGAGTGACCTTCTTTTGCTGAAGTAGATAATATCCAGGACAAATGTGGACTCACTGTAGTAGCTAGGGCTTTGAGACTGGTGAAGCCTATTTGTCTCCAACTGCCATTGTCAGATACTGGTCTGCACATAAATGCTTTTCGTAGGCTCACTGACTCCTGTAAATTCCAACATAGAATTTGGATTTAAATCCCTATTCCAAATTATTAATCATAGATTTAATAAGTAGATATTAAAACATGTATTCAGAAGAAAAGGAGACATCAGATAAGTGCATAATAAATCATCCTGATGAAATACCTTCAAAAATATTACTACAAAAAATCACTGAAGATTAAATGTTAAAAAGTTATTTTAATTGGGGAAATAGAAAAAGGTGAGACTCGTTTTAAACTCTGAGGTGTAAAGATACTATTATTAGAATAAGAGAATAATATAGAATGTCTGATTTGTGTGTACAGCAGCATAATAGCTATACAGTATGGCTAGAGATTGAAATCGTATGTAAGAAAACTCAGAGATTAAAAACAGATTTTTTTTAGAGACTTTGTTCTGTAATTAAAGAATTTTAAAATGGTTTCCTACTGATCAATAATTCACTTATATTTATCATTTAGGCATATGCAGTATACACCCCTTTGTATAGGAACAAAGTTATAGTTTCTATCATGTAGTAAGAAAAAAATTGATGATGTACCACAATTTCATCAGAGTTTTTGTCCTGAGTAATGAAGCAAACAATGGAACTGCCTATGTCAGGGTACAGGTGGGCACAGCTGGAAGCTTTCATCACTTGTGCCTAACATTTCTGGATTGTCATTGGTCCCTCCTAGAAAGACAAATGGACTATATCCTTAAGAATATATGTTAAATTTAAACCCTAAGTATTAAGATAAGACTACGATTTGTCTCATCACTTCTGTCTCGTCATTACTTTAAACTTGTATCTATAACTTTTACACAGAAATTCAGTTCATTTCATCACCATTAACATTTTACATCACACAATTTTTCTATTTCATTATCTTTTTGGTCACTTTTCTTTTCTTTTTTAAGGTAGAGTTTCACTCTGTCACCCAGGCTGGAGTACAGCGGCCTGATCTCAGCTCACTGCAACCTCTGCCTCCAGGATTCAAGCAGTTCTCCTGCATCAGTCTCTTGAGTAGCTGGGATTACAGGCACACACCACAACTCCTGGCTAATTTTGTATTTTTAATAGAGATGGTGTTTCCCCATGATGGTCAGATTGGTCTTGAACACCTGACCTCAGGTGATCCACCACCTCAGCCTCTCAAAGTGCTGGGATTACATGCGTGAGCCACCATGTCTGGCCTTTTTTTGTTTGTTTGTTTGTTTGAGACAAGTTCTTCTTTGGTCACCCAGGCTGGAGTGCATTGGCACAATCTTCACTTACTGCAGCCTCGACCTCTGGGCTCAAGCCATCGTCCTGCCTCAGCCTCCCACATAGCTGGGACTACCTGTGTGCAACATCAACCAGGCTTTGTTTTTGTTTACGTGTTTAGTGATGAAGTCCTGCTATATTGCTGAAGCTGGTATCAAATTCCTGGACTCAAAGTGTCCTCTTAGTTTAAGCTCCCACATTGCTGGAATTACCGGGGTGAGTCAATGAAGACAGACTTGTCACTTTTTAATAACATTTTAAATTCTACTCTGCAAAATTAACAAGTCAATTTTTACCTTTGAAATTCAAAATTCCAAGTCAAGTTAAGCTACATTTTCATAAAGAAGTAAAAATGAAACAAAACAATACAAAACCCTTCTTTTTCCTTTGTACCGAAGTGAGAAAAGAGTTGGGAAGGAAGTCATCTCTACCTTGCTTTACAAATCTGGACTGTACAGAGAAAGTTCCTCATATAATTTTTGTTAGATCTAAAATCCTGTGAAGTCATCATCAGAACCATCATCTTATAAAACAAAAACAAATCTCCTAGTGGGTCTCTGATGTGGATTAAATATCTTATAATTAATAATGTATACAAATGTGATTACACTTATGCCTTGAATCATAATATTAAAAATATGAACCTCATTTTTTTAGAACAACTACGCTAATAAGAAAAATAACCACTGACCTGGTGTAACAATATGTGGCCTAGAGAGCCAGCATTCTGAACTATTCAGGTTCCTCAGATAGCCCAAGAGTGATAAGAGCCAAATGGGAGTCTGGACATCGTGGAGGAGTAGCAATTCCAGAATATTTCTTGCTGCCTCAGTCACCAACCAGAATCTGTCATGCAGTAGAATGGTAGACACCTTCACAACTCTCAGTGGTGCCTCAGGGTGCCTCAGGCCCAGTATCACAGCAGTGTCTTCAGGATCCCTGAGTGCATAGGCAAAGATTTATTACAGTACAATCATTAGAAAACCTGAACCTTAAACCTACATCAGGCTTTCCGGAATATCGCTTTTGTCATGATACACAAGGTTCCTAGCTCATCTTCATTGAAATCAGAAATCTATGAATAAAGAGTCCACAGACAATGGGGTTGCAGAGGAGATAACTAACAGAGGTACTAATAAGCCAAACACAGTGAGGCAATTTCTTTTTAGCCTAAAACAAAAAAGTTATTGTATAAGTGAGATGGTCATGCATTATAGAAGTGAATTTGGACAGATAAACTTCCAGCAATGTAATTATGGGATAATGAATTATAGGACATGGGAAGAGGCAGGCACAAACTTACATGTTCCTGACACAGTGGGCAGCTGTGAGAATCCAAGAGCTGCCAACTATGGAACCACTGCAGATCTGACTCCCACAGATGATGATGACAGCCTTCCAAGGCATGGCATATCGCAGATAAATCTGATCTGCCAAAGCCAAGGGGAAAATTCACACAATTAATTTGAATAGAATTGCCACATGTAGACCATTTAAAAAAAAATTTAGATCCCTCCTATTTCTGCTAACCAGGTCAGCATTGTTAAATATGACTAGCAAACACAAACTTCTACCTCTTTTCTGTTTTTCCTTTGTTTTTGTTTTTACATTTTTCTGAAAAAAAAAAAAAGTTTTCCTTTTACTATTTTTCTAAGTTCACAGTTTCTTTATGTCCTAACTTAAATTTCTTCAGTCAAAGTACTGGGAGTCATTCCAGCTTTCTCCCCATTGCAACCTTTACATAGCTATGATTTTAGCTACTTAAAAGTTATCAAAGTAGATGGGCAACAAAAAATTATTTGATTTGGAGATATTAGATAAACAAGGAAAAATTTGGAGATAAGGCTCCTGTCTCTAAATTGGAGGGAGCTTATCTTCCTGAACTTACAATCTTAGTGTGATATCAGAATGACAGTTTAAATAGAACATTCAAGTTTGGGGTTAAGGAAATAGCTCATATTTTAAAAAACATTTGAGAGTTTCTCAGAAAACTGAGTTGAAGCAATGCCAGTTAATGCACATATTACAGATATAAAAACGATGAAGATAGGCTCTCTCTAGAAGAGGTGAGGAAATATAGATGAAATTAGAAGCATAACTATGATCTTAAGTGTAGTTGTCTTTGAATCAGACTTTGCAGAATGTGAGCAAATAATTGTGGCCTCCTTTGTGTTTTAATGTGTTATTCACTGTAGCTATGACAATAGGTGTTAGCTATAATATAGCTGTGGTTAAGTGCACATTTAGTACATGACACCAAAAGAGATCCCTCAGTTTCTAAGGAAATAAGTGGAAGTACAGTAATGTGAAATAGCCATTGCTAATATTGTGATAGGTTTTCTGATAGCCAAGGGAAGGAGGAAACTGATAATCACAATGTAATACAGTCTAGTACACCAGCACCTAAAACACATTACTTACCAACTGCTATGCTGTTTCCAAACATCATAATGTCTTTAACTTAAAATATATTCAATTCAAAATAATTCTATTACACATGTAAGATACTGTGTGGTAGAAATGACTTTGTGTTAGGAGAGTGTGTCTTAATGTTAGTCCTATTCATCTTTTGCCATAAGAACTTGAACAATCCATTCTACTTATCTAGTATAAGAGTAAGCAATTAACATAACTATAGTAATCATGTTTCATGACCTATATTATACAGTAATCTATATCATACAGGGATACAATGGAAATTGAATCATAGATCAAGTGTGAAATACCTTTGTAAACCACGATAAAAATAATTTCTGTGATTTGGTAGATAAAAAACTCATATATTTTACAGGAAGAGCTTTCTTTCCTCTCTGCTTCCCTCTCTTCTTTTCTAATTCCATTCTCTTCTTCCTTTATTACCTCTACCAAGTTTTTGAGCCTTACTCTGAGGCTGTGGCAGAGAGAAGTGTGGCCAAAGAGAAGCAGGGGTGGAGGTAAAAGCTGAAGCATTTGTAGAGGTAGAGACTGAATGGGACATAGAAGCAGAGGTAGTCATGGGCCCTTGCTTGTACCAGGGAGCATAGCTAGACTGTGTCACTCCCTGGAGTCAGAAAAGGAAAGGGTGCACTTGGCTGAAGACCTAGGGCTTTGTGCAATGGTCCTCAAAGTGACTCAAGATTCCCACTTGCACCCAAGTGTCCTCTTGCTGTAGATGGCATACGAAAGGTGCTCCCAAGTCACCTTGCAAGAAACAAGAGGCAAGATATCAAACAATATTTTAAAGGAGGGCCAGAAGTAACTTTTGGTTTTCAAGATATTCCTCTTTCTCCCTGATATTTATACCCCATGAATTTGTCACCTGATAGTCAGCCATCCACATGGCTTTCTTGGCCTCCACCCAGAAAGTGAGTTCATTCAGCTTGAGCCAAAATTGGGCACAAGTGCTGACTTGTAGGATGCTCAGGTGCCGTTTTTGCACAATTCCAGGACTTTCTGATAGAAAACAGAGAAGAGGTGTTTGTGTTTGTCTTCAAATTTTAGCCCACATTAGAGGGAGAAGTATGGTGAAGGGAAAGACAAATCTTTTATTATTCATGAGAGGATACTATTCTCTTCCTAAACATGCTTCTCTTTCATTCCAGTGTCTTCTTCTTTAGTCACCCCCTCATAAGGGACCAACTACATAGCCAACAGTCATATAGTTGTATATTTTCTCTTGTTCCAGACATTGCTCCAGGCGTATAGGAAGGAACCTGGGTTGAAAATGTAGTGGTTGCTTCAGGAAGATCAACCCAGGTCCTAGAGGTCCCTTGGGACCTAAATAGGGCATGGCATGCTCAAAGGTTACAATCTCAGCTTGGGCAGGATCCTGGAGGTCAATAAGCCCCACTCGGACCACAGCCAGGGCTTCTGCATTTTTTTGGGGGAAAAAAAAATCAAGGAAAAAATCTTATTATTTCCACATTTCAGTGTGAAAAAACCCTGGAGTTCACGTGAATCACATGAAGTCCAGGTAAGCACTCAGTTGCAAATAGTACTTTAGAAACTATTTTCAAGGATCATTTGAGACCAATTGGTCAACATGATGAGAATTTTTCCTTACCAACAGCAAGAACAACAACAACAAAATTATCCAGATGCAGTAGCGTGTGCCTGCGGTCCCAGGTACTCAGATGGCTGAGGTGGGAGCATCCCTTAATATTGGGAGTTTGAGGCTAATGTGAGTCACACCACTGCATTTTAGCCTGGACAATAGAGGGAGAGTCTCTCTCTCTCTCACTCTCTCTCTCTCTCTCTCTCTCTCTCTCTCTCTCTGTCTCTGTCTCTATCTCTCTCTCTTTCCCTATCTCTGTCTCACACACACAAACAAAAATAAATAAATAAATAGAAAAGAAACATATTCAGTAACAGTCTCAATGTTTTACTTGCTTTATAATGATATCATAATCTTGAAATGAATTGCTCAGACTTACATAAAATTGACACATCTAGCTGTGCTAATGATCCACTGTTCATGTAGTATGGAGCCAGCACAAAAATGGGAGAAAAACATTTGTGCAGAAATCACCCAACAGAATTCACCAATTTCTGCCTCCCAGCAGTTGGGACAGACAGGGATAATGCCAGGGCATAATCCACACTCTGCAGAGGAACCCACACATGGTATAGAGTGATTAGTGTTACTACCCTTCCTTTTCTAACATCTAAATTTAGACTTTTAGAAAAATGCTTGGAAATTCATTATCTTCAATTCTGAGAAAATACATAGAAATATACATTATTCATCCCACAATTTTAGATATAGTACAGAGGTTATCTTCATACTTCCCCTTCTAACAATAAAGCGTATATATATATACACACACACTATTACATATATACTATATATATACACATATATACTATATAGATGCTATATATAAATATATGTATATATAGTTTATATATGTAGTATATTATTATTTATATCTGATACTAGTATCCAAGATGTTATACTATTATCCAATAGTGTGTGTATATATGTATATACCTCAAGTGAAAATAATAAAACCTTTCTAAGGAGTAAGGCTATCTTTAAAATACTGCTGTCTGAATAGAATTGTGTTCATAACACATAGCTCAAACATCCTGTTTGGCAAAAAAAAAAAAAAAATATTCTCTCAATATTTACACATCTCTGCTGATTCACACAATAACCTAAATTTTGGTTTTGCAACGGTCTGAGAACATAACCTCTGTTGCTACAAACTCTGGTTTTAGGGTTCAACAGGAGTCTTCATACCAAGTACATTAACTCAAATATCTGACTCGACTAAAGCTGCCTGTGGTTTCATGGGAAATAACAGCTGTCCTGAAGAGCCAGAAAGCCTGGAAACTTTCTTTCCAAATCACAGCTAGTTGACACTCACCCAGGGAAACACTGAGTTCTGAATACCTAAGAGGTTGTTGTTCAGGCTTGGGTCCAGACTGAGATCCAGGCATCAGGAGAGGTTGTTTTGTTAAAAATGCGGCTGGAGCAGTATGCAAGGATGAAAAAGAATGAGAAAGAATTGACTCTTTAGTAAATGCTGAGGGAAATATATTCTGAGGAGGATTAGCAAAAGAGCCTATGGATAGCAGAATAGGAGAGGAGACCAGAGGAGAAATACCTGAGCAAGATGGGAAAATACAGAATGAAAGGAAAGTACAAGAAGAAAAGACTGAACAAGAAGGGGTCAGTGTACATACAGATGGAAGAGAACAAGAATGAATAAAGAAAAAGCATAAAGAGAGATAAGAGAGGTACTTGGGACATGAGGGCTTTCTTTTGTCTTGATAATTTTTAATTTCCTGCCATAGAGCTGGTAAACAACTCTTCCAGGAAGCCAAATGCTTGTAAACTGGCTTGGTTGGATAGAATTGATTTTATATTGGCTTTGTGTGGCAGTTATCTCAGTTGACAAAGCTATAAAATACCGATCTGGGGAATAAACAGTTTTTACTGGCAAAAAGGGTACACGTTTGGACAAGCAGCCAAAATGACTCGTTAATAGTGTTTCTCTGTTCGGCTCAATTTCAGGAGGAGAAAATGATCAATTATAACAGCTTTATAGGGTTCTGGGTCTTAGTATTTCTGTTTCAGGCTGGATCCAGGTTCTCACTTTGCCGGCTTTAAAAACACCGAAGGATTCAATAAGATGAACTTCAGACTGGATCCAGTGTCTGCTCGGGTTACAGGCAGTATCCAAGATATGAGTGTTCTTCCTTTAAGCAAGATCCATGGTTTGACTACTGGAGATAGAACCTTGGGCCAGAATCTTAATAGGAAGGTTTCAGACTGGATAAAAGAGTGAATTACATCAAGTTCAGGCTGGATCCAGGCGCCGACTATTTGATATTTCAAATAAACCCATGGTCTGCCTTTATTCATTTGAATGTAAAACGAAGATCTGTCTCTATCTTCAGTTTCCTGCTTGATCCAGAGTCTCTCTGCTTGGGTTTCAGGGTGGGTCCACGAACGATTTGTAGTAACTCTTTGCTGAGTCCAGGGCTGAAATATACAAACTGTCTCACGTGTCCGTGTGAAGAGACCCCCAAACAGGCTTTGTGTGAGCAACATGGCTGTTTATTTCAGCTGGTGGCAGGCAGGCTGAGTCCAAAAAGAGAGTCAGCAAAGGGTGGTGGGATTATCATTGGTTCTTATATGTTTTGGGATAGGCAGTGGAGTTAAGAGCAATGTTTTGGGGACAGGGGGTGGATCTCACAAAGTACATTCTCAAGGGTGGGGAGAATAACAAAGAACCTTCTTAAGGGTGAGGGAGATTATAAAGAACCTTCTTAAGGGTGGGGGAGATTACAAATTACATTGATCAGTTAGAGTGGGGCAGAAACAACTCACAATGGTGGAATGTCATCAGTTAAGGCTATTTTCACTTCTTTTGTAGATCTTCAGTTGCTACAGGCCATCTGGATGTACACGTGCAGGTCACAAGGGATATGATGGCTTAGCTTGGGCTCAGAGGCCTGACACCAGCTTCAGTGTGGGGCCAAGGAGAGAGTGGCTGACTTTCAGGATGAACCTAGGGTCTAATTGTATCACACTGAGTCTGTAAGCAAGATGTGACTGTATCAATTTCAATGAAGTTTTGGGGTTTTATTACTTGGCTTACAGTCCAAATTTGGAATACTTCAGTTTCAGGTTGGTCCCAGGATTTAATGAACTCATTTGAGTCTGGAACCAGTATCTTATCACTGTATTGGCTTCAGGGTGGGTGCAGGGTTGAATTTCAGAGTAAGTCCATGGTCTGATTGCAGCAGGTACATGCTGAGTCCAAGGGTAATTTATACTAAGTTGATTCTGGGTCCAGGAGTGGGTCATTTGTGATTCCACTTGGGTCCATGGCCAAACTGCATCGTTTTGTGTTGGGGACCAAAGTGCGAACATATCCTCTTCAGGCCACATCCTAATTGCTTGAGATTCAGGCTCAGTATATTGTTTTATTTTATCAGTTTCAGAATGGGCCCAGAGTCTGACTGTATTGCTTTCAGCATAGATCCAAGGTTGCAGAACATCACCTTCAGACTGGGTCCAGGGTCTGACTGCATTCTTTTCAGATTGGTTCCATGGGTGGATTATTTGCCATTCTGGCTGCATCCAGGTAGTACCTGCTCGAGAATGAGGTTGAGTAACATTTATTCTTACATTGTTTTGAGTCTGAAACCAAGAACTCACAGTATTAATGTCAGGCATGGTCAAGCATTTTGCAGCTTGCATTTCAGCCTGATACAACAGTGTATCAGACAAGGACAGGGTCCAGGGTCTGACTGCTTGAAATTCACATGAGTCAAAAGTCTGATTGTATTAGTTTTAGGTTGAGTCCAGGGGTGGATTGTGCCTGCTTCAGTCCAGTTCCATAGTTTTACTGTATCTTCTTCAGAAATGGTCTGGGATCTCATTGTACCTACTTCAGATTGGGTGCACGGGTAGAAGACATCAGTTTCGGATTAGATCCTTGTTTTCAATGTAGTAGTATTATGTTTGGCCCAGGATTCTAGTTTACCAGGTCCAAATGGAGTAAATGTGCTCAGTGTTTGAAATTCTGGTTGAGCCCAAGGTTTCATTTTCTTCTGATCCAGTTTTAAACAAAGGTGTGCTAAGCAGAGCTTCAGGCTGGGGCCATGGTTCTGCTGCTTGTGGTACAAGCACTGTCCAAGATATAAGTGTTCCAAATTCAGACAACGTCCATTCATTGATATTTTCAATTTCATGATGTGTCCATAAAATAGATGCTTGATTTTCTTCATGAATCACAGGTCATGAGTATCAGGTTGAGGTGGTAATGAAACTCTAAATATTTTAGCTTCAGGCATTGTTCAGAGTTTCTTAGCTTCATTGTTTTTTTTTTTTTTTTTTTTTTTTTTTTTTTGAGATTGAGTCTCGCTCTGTCACCCAGGCTGGAGTGCAGTGGCACAATCTCGGTTCACTGCAAGCTCCGCCTTCTGGGTTCAGGCCATACTCCTGCCTCAGCCTCCCGAGTAGCTGGGACTACAGGTGCCTGCCACCACGCCCAGCTAATTTTTTGTATTTTTAGTAGAGATGGGGTTTCACTGGGTTAGCCAGGATGGTCTCGATCTCCTGACCTCGTGATCCGCCCGCCTCTGCCTCCCAAAGTGCTGGGATTACAGGTGTGAGCCACTGCGCCCAGCCTCTTAGCTTCAGTTTTACCCATTGTCCAGTATGTGCCCATTTCGCTCTGTGTATAAGCATTTGCATCTGGAAAATCATCATGAGTCCACTTTGAGAGTGTGGAAGCTGCAGCCTCTGTCCATGTGTTCATTACTGGAGACTCAGACTGGGTCTGCGGGGTGATTGATTCTGACACAGGTAGATGTCCAGGTTTTTCCTGCTGAAGGGATAACTGGTTGCATGGTAACACGGTGGAAACTACAGCCCATGCCCCTGAATTTTCTGTTGAGATTCATCATTGTTTCATGATATAAGAAGATATAAGAAGATCAGATCAGTCTGTATCCAGGTAATTCCTACTGGAGGCCTGCAGCATGCAGCCACAGTATAATTGTGTCAGATACTGCCTGTGTGGAGGTAATCGCTGCAGAAGATTCAACCTGGGTCCACAGCATAAGTATATCAGATACAGGATGTGTCCAGGGTTTTGTTTCTAAAAGTAAAGCTTTGGTCCAAGGTATGACTATGGAAGCTATTGCCTCTATTCACAGATTGACTGCTAGAGATACAGGCTTGGTCCACAATGATAATATATTAGATATAGGCAGTCTCCAGGAATTCACTGGTGAAGATTCAGATTGGATCAATCCTATGTATGTATCAGATGCAGGCTGTATCCATGTAATTAATGCTGCAGATTCAGATTGGTTGTATTAAATACATAAGTTGGTTGTATTAAATGAAGGCTGTGGCCAGATCTTTACTGTTGAAGATACAGCCTGTGCCAAAATTGTTACCGTATGAGCAAAAGGCTCTGTCTAAGGATTTACTGCTGGAAATTCAGCCTGGGTCCAGGGTATAATTTTGGAAGCTACAGCCTCTGTCCAGGTATTTACTGGTAAGCATTCAGTTTGAGCCCATGCTTTCAGTGTATCATGAAAAGTTTGTGAAAAAACGATTAATGATGGAGTTACAGGCTGTGTACACAGTGTGAGTGTATCAGCAACAGGCTTTGTCCAGGGATTTACTGCCAAAGATTCAGTCTGGGTCCATGGTATGACTGTATCAGTCTCCACCTATAACAGAGGACTTGGGGCTAGAGATTCAGACTCTGTTCAGATCTTTACAATTGGAGGCTAAGATTGTATCATGGGATTTCTAGCTGGAAATTCAGCCTGGTTCCAAGTGATAACGGGTGTATATTTTGCTTGGGTCCATAGTTTGACTGTGCCAGGCAGAGGTTACAACCAGAAACTGATTGCTGGTGATTTTGTCTGTGTCCATATTATGACTGTATCAGCTAGAGCCTCTCTCCTGGGAATTATTACTAGAGATACAGCCATGTACTGCAGTGTGACTATACCAGGTACAGCCACTGTTAAGGGATTTATTGCTGGCAACAGATCCTGGGCCCATGATGTGACTATTTCAGTTTTAGACTGTCTCCATGGGTTTACTGCTACACAAACATCCTTAGCCAATGGTTTCACTCTATCAAGTAGAGTATATGTACAGAGATTGTTGATTTTAGAATGAGCCTGGGTCCACAGTATGAGTATTTCTGTTTCAAGCTTTGTGGAGGGATTTACTCCTACAGATTCAGCTTGGTTCAGTGGTATAACTGTAGCAGGTATAGGATGTGTCCCCTCCTTTACTTTTGGAGATTCAACCTCAGTACACCATGTGAACATATTCGTTTCATATTGTTTCCAGAGATTTATGGCAGGTGATTTGACTTGGTTCCACAGCTTGATTGTATAAGCTATTGCCTGTGTCAAATGCTTTAGTGCTGAAGACTCAGCCTGGGTCCATGGTATGAGCGTATCAGATACAGATTGGATCCAAGGCTTTACTGTTAAAAATTCAAACTGAGTCCACGGTGTGTATCAGCTACATGTTCTGTCCAGCAAACTACTGCTGGAGATTCAGCCTGAGGCCATGGTGTGTCTGTGTCATACACAGACTGTGTCCAAAGATTTCCTGCTGGAGATTCAGACTGTGACCACAGTGTGACAGTAGCAGCCCAAGGCAGTATCCATTGATATCCTGCGGTTAATTCAGCCCCTATCCACAGTGTGATGGCATCAGCTATGGACGTTCTCCAGGTATTTACTGATGGACATTCAACCTGGGTCCAAGGTACGACTGTGGAAAGTATAGGCTGTGTCCGTGGAATTACTGCTGGAGATACAGCCTGGGCCCATGGTGTGACTGTGGAAGTTCCAGCCTCTGTGAACGGATTTACTGTTGGAGACTCAGCTTGTGTCCACAGGATAATGGTATCAGATTCAGGTAGTGTACAGAGATTTACTGCTGAAGAGTCATTTTGGGCTCATGGTTTGATCATATAAGATACGTACTGTGTCCATGGATTTATTGCTGGAGACTCATCCTGTATCCATGGTATAGTACTATCAACTACAGACTTTGTCCAGGGATTTACTGCTGGAAATTCAGGTTTGGTCCACAGCTGGTCTGCATCAGCTATTGCCCATGTCCATGAATTTAGTGCTGGAGAATCACTCAGGATCCTCTTTGTGATTGTATAAGTTTCAGACGGTGTCCAGGCATTTCCTTCTACATAAATTCAGCCTGGTTCCAGGGTAGGACAATGTCAGCTGTAGCCTCTCTCCAGGGATTCATTGCTGGCATTCTACCCAGAATCCATGGTTGAATCCAAGATACTGCTGGACTTTCAGCCTGGGTCCATGGTAGGAACATATCACGTGCCCAGGGACTTAATCCTAGAGTTTCAGCCAGAATCCATGTTGTGAGTATATCAGTTTCAGAGTATGTCCAGTGATTTAATAACTGATTCAGCCTGGATAGGTGTTGTGACCGTATCACATATAGAAGAATATATCCATGAATTCATCACTAGTGATTCAGCATGGGTCCCTAATGTGATTATATCAGTTCCCAACTGTTTCCAGGAAAGTATTGCTGGAGACTCAACGTGGGTTCACAGTGTTATTGTTTCAGTATGGAACTGTGTAGAGTAGTTTCCTACTGACAAATAAGCCAAGATCCACAATGAGACTGGGTTAAATTCAGATAGTGCCAGGTATTTACTGCTAAATATTCAGGCTGTATTTTTTCCAGGGATTTGTTGGTGGCATTTCATCGAGGATCCATGGTATGGCAGTTTCAGCTATAGTTTTTGCTCAGGGATTTATTGTTGGAATTCTATCCTGGATCTATGTTGTGACTGTCTTAGCGATAGGCTCTGTCAAGGGAAGTAAGGCTGGAAATTCTTCTTGGTTCCAAAGTGTGACTTTACCAGACACAGAATGTGTCCAGAGTTTCACTGCTGCAGATTTGGCAATAGTCCACAGTATGATTAGATAATCCTCTGGACAGGCTGGGGTGAAGTGACAAGATCATAAGTTACAGCAACATCAAACTCCCTGGTTCAAACAATTCTTTCACCTCAGCCTCCCAAGTAGCTAGGGCTGTAGGCACACTGCAAAACAAGCAGCTAATTTTTAAATTTTATTTATTTTTTCTAGAGACAGCATCTCACTCTATTTGCCAGCCTCCTCTGGAATTCCTGGCCTCAAGTGAGGCCCTGTCTCAGTTTCCCAAAATACTGAGATAACAGGCAAGAGCCACTGTGGCTTCAAAGGCTTTTTAAATAAGTTCCCTATTTCTTAATTTTTTTAAATCACTGAAAATTCTTCTGGTTTATTTATTTGTGATTAAGGAAAATGCATATCTTTATGTGTATTTACAGAACTGTTAACGTGTTTCTACACCTGCCCCCCCAACCCAAAAATGCTAGCTTTGCCTTTATGTAGTAAGTACTCAGCAGTCTACTTGTGGCTGATTCTAGATACATAAATTATTATTTCTAGTCATGTGACTATGTTGATGGTGGCAGATGGAGGGATCTAGAAGCTTAACTGACAACATCTCGATATTGCTGCCAAAGCTACTGTGATCTGAAGGAATAGAGATGAGAAGGATATGAGATATGCATTACTCCATCAGGCAATTGATAGCATGTTTTTCCTAAGAGATTTTATAGCATAGCTTTCAATCATTAAAAAATATCCCTGAGATAGTTCAAATTCTCCTTTCCTTCCATCCTATCTCATACAAACTTACTTCATAGACTCTTGGATTGTGGCAAATCACCTTACACCAAGTAACAGAATACAGAATAATTTCAATGCCTGATATTGTGACTTTACTTCCATTTTTACCCATATAAAGTTGAGTAATATGGACTCATTTGTTTATACATGTTTTATAAATTTCTGCTTTTATTTCTCCATTAATTTTCTTTTTTATTGTCCACCTCTAAATTATATTAATGATGTAGAGGACATGACTTTTGTGGCTTACTCTGATATTGGTATATAGCCAGCAGTGAGATTGCTGGATCATATGGTAGCTCAAATTTCAGATTTTTGGAAAAAATAAAAGATTTGGAAGCAACCTAAATGTCCATCAGCAGATAAAGCGATAAAGAAAATGGGGGAGGGATAGCATTGGGAGATATACCTAATGCTAGATGACGAGTTAGTGGGTGCAGCGCACCAGCATGGCACATGTATACATATGTAACTAATGTGCACAATGTGCACATGTACCCTAAAACTTAAAGTATAATAAAATAAAAACAAAAGAAAATGTGGTACACATACACAATGGAGTATTATTCAGCCGTACAAAAAGAATGAGATCCAGTGATTTCCAACAGCATGGTGGAACGGAGATCATTATGTTAAGTGAAATAAGCCAGGCACAGAAAGACAAACATTGCACGTTCTCACTTATTTGTGGGACAAGAAATAAAAATAATTGAACTCATGGACATAAAAAGTAGAAGGATGGTTACCAGAAGCTGGGAAGGGTAATGGGGGCCTGGTAGGGAGATGGGGATAGTTAATGGTTTTAAAAAAACATAGAAACAATGATTGTGACCTACAATTTGATAGCACACCAAGATGACTGTAATCAATAATAACTTAATTATACATTTTAAAATAATTACAGAGTGTAATTGTATTGTTTGTAGTTCAAGTGATGGGTGTTGAAGGAATGGATACCCCATTCTTCATGATTGGCTTATTCCAGATTGTATGCCTGCATCAAAACATCGCATGTACCCCATAAATATACACACTTACTATGTCCCCACAAAAAAAAATTAAAAAAAATAATATTATGAAGAGACTATACCAAGAGGGAAATAAGCCGTATCTTCCAAAGCATAATTTTTCTTTTACCAGGTTTGTTTTATTTATTTATTTTTTATTTCTCTATCTTTCTCTCTGCTACAAACACACACACACACACCCCTTCATACACACACCCCTTCATACACACACATACACAAGATGATAATCTGGCCAAATGTAAGTTTGGAGATATTGAATTACAGTTTACCATCCAGATTGTCAGGTCTGAAAGCTATTAGAAAATGAAGTATCAATCATCTAATATTTGGAAAAAATTTGTAAGCACATATCATGGAAGTTATTGATAATATGTTCTTTAAGTACTGTAGATTTTAATGCTGCTTTTAATGTTGGTTAAGTGGGAATTTTTATAATCTTGCTGTTTTATAAGAACAGTTAAATCAGAGATAAAATATAATGTATTGCTGCACTAATTTAGAAGGTGTCATGAATACCATACATATGTATGGATGGTTATATAGACATAGACCCTTTTTTTTTTACAAACTTCACTGAATTATAGCATTTATTTTTGATGTTCTTTTACTCCAAGTGGTAAAATTACCTTTTTTAAAAAATCACTAATTATGGTAAGTAAATACACTGTAGCCCAAATGTAGGCCCAGCACATTGCTGGTGTCTAGGCAAATTATTCCCCAAACTTACTAATTAGTAGAAGTAGCTTTAGACTTTTACTAGGATAAATGCAACTTTGATTTTATGATGAGATTTATATTTAGTGTTGAGGACTTGTTTGATTAACGAGACTGGTGAGTCTATTAGGAAAAATAACCAAGACCCTCAGGGAGAACTACAAGCCTGAAGATCTAGATCAGCATAATTAGGGAATCCAAATGAGCCTCAAGCCCTAAGTGGGAATCCAAATGAGCCTCAAGCCCTAAGTTAGACGATATTGCTCCCAGACTTTTATCACTGCCTTCATATTCATCTCTGGACTAGTCATTTTCAATGCATGGAAAAAAAATGGGTGCATGTATTTTTAAATTATTGAGGACAGTATCCTACTTAAGCACAATACTGTATTCATGCATTTAAGTGTCATGTAAGGATTAATATTTTGATTTACTCTAAAACAATAAGTTACTGAACTCCTAGAGGCCCATCCTAAATAATATAAATAAGATACAGTCACTATCTGTTGTTCACCTAATAAGTACCTGACACTATGCTAGGAAATAGGAGGTGGGTGGTGGGACTTAATGAGTCTGTCAGTCCATTGTTTTTATATATTTTATATAAATATATATATATTTATATATGTGTGTGTGTATAATTGCTGTTTTAATTATTGAGCATCTGCTATGTGTCAAGCACTGTAATGGACACAACAGACTCAGTAGTATGCAAAACTAGCACACACTTTGACCCCATGGAGTTTGCAATGTAACTAGGAAAGTATATGTGAAACTGAATATTACAAAGAAGAATGCCAGAAGAGCAGGAAATATTTCAGGAAAAAAGAATTATTTCAGATGTTTATGAACTTCACCTACAGTTTCAATCTTGTAAATATAAACATGCTGTTCTTTATACAAAATCCCACTGTGGACTCACAAGCACAGATAGGGTACACGCAGGGATGGTTTTCCCAAAGCTGAGATAAATTGAGATTGAATATCAGCCACCCTCAGCTAATCTCTTAAATAGACACGCATACTTAAGGAATGCTTGGACTAAGTAAGCCTATGACACAGGGTGAAGGCAATGTAACCCCAAATTAAATCAGCAACTTGTTCCCCCTTGGTTCACTTTAATTGTGCTAATTATCAAAAACCTGAATATGTGGTCAAGCTGGGCACAGAAGGCGGTAGAGAACTTCCACGTATTATTATTTACTTTTCAAGTCTCTACACCTGAAAAGCAGAAAAGGCAGGTGCTATTAATACCATTTTATGGATGAAGACACCAAGACTTATAGCTAATAGCCCACCCAAGATCAAAAATACATAACAAGAGCTATTTCCAAACCTCAAAGCACGAATCTCTTGGGTATGAACTCTTGTCTCTTTGCTGAGTCAGATTACTTACTATTCATATACTTTGCATCATTACATAAAAGAAAATTGCTCAGTTACATGCACTTTAAGCCTTTTAGGTATATTCTATCAAAAACACAAGATCAATTCAAAAATAAAAATTGCTTTAAAATTTATAAATTTGAGCTATTTACTTGGTAGTATTCATGTATTCATGACTCAGCAGGTAGCAATATAATGCATGCTTGTCAGATATTATTCACTATAAAATAATAAAATAGTGCATCCCTGGGTAAAATTAAGAGCAAGACTCCATCTCAAAAAAAAAAAAAAATTCTACTCCCAGGTCTACAGAAAAAACGCCAGTTTAAATTAAATTCTGCTTGCTCCCATAGAATAAAATAGCCCTGTGTATTTAAATTACAAAAACAGTAGCCTTTCTGTTATATAAATTTATGTCCCGAATGAGTGTAGTAGATAGTGCATATACCACCACTGATATTTGTAGCTGGGCAATTAGAAACATGTAACTTGCAAACATCTATAATATTTATATTTATAATATCAAATATCTATAATACAGAAAGCCAAACAAGAAGTACAGGTTGACCAAAAAAAAAAAAAAAAAGAATAAACAGGCCATATGCACAACTGCAGCTCAGTAAAGCATGCTGCTGTCATTTTGTGGTAGATTATAGTTTTACTGTAACTAAGAACCAAACAACTCTAGAAGAAGTAGGTGTGCATTCATGTATGAGTGCACACACACATATTTTTGTTTTCTCATTTTTACTGATAATAACAGTAATAATTATTGCAGAAAATTCAGAAATGGAGTTTTTAAAACTCTAAAAATTGTACAACCATTCAGAAGTAAATGCTACTACCTTTTCCCCACATTTTCTTGCAGATCACCAATTATACATCAGATTTTTATGTATTTATTATGATTATTTCCTCACTGCCATCTATTCTTTATAATGTACTTGAATCACTCTACTATAATTCATTTAAGTATTCCCTTTTTAAAGGAGGTTATGAATTTGCCAGCTCTTTTTCTTTTAAATGTTTGCAAATTCGATAGTTTGAAATAATAACTCAATGATTTATTTGCATTGTATTTATTTGATTACTAGTGACAGTGAACAAGCGTCTCAATGTTAATTGACTATTTTTATCCCTTTATTAGTTCGTTATTTGAGCATGTTCTTTATTTTATTGAGAACAGTATCTTATTTCTCTAAAAACAATAACAATCAAAAGTACATTACTGAGGAAACATATTCATATTTGGCAAATAAAATAATGTGATGGTCTCATAACAACCCTTTCAATGTGATAACTTAGAAATAGTTTTTTTTTTTTTCTAAGTTGTCTTAAGTAACAAATGTTGTCTTTCCAAACCTAGCTTCAGGGGTAAAATAATAATAAAAATGCATTTGAATCCAAAATATGCAAGAATCATTGTGTCCAGCTCCTGTAGGTAGACAATATAAGCTACTGAAATCTGTCTGATGCATAAAACGGGTCCTTTTTCCTCCTTAATGATTCAGTCTGCTGGATTTCCATATTCATATTAACAGTTAAATATTTCTAAGTCATCCAGACAGGACTTATGAACCAGAATGTGATCTTTGTACCAGCGATTCATTTAATACAATTATTTATGGCACTACAGAATTGATATTTTGAAAAAGTATGAAAAAATATCTTAGCATATATAAAAAATCTTTAAATGATATGAAATACTCCATTTTACCATTATTACTTCTAATAATAACACCAAAATTTGCATTTATCTTATTTGATCCTCACAGCAATCCACAGACCTAGAAAGAAGAGGCGTTTTCATCCTATTTTTATAAAGAAAGAAAGCAAGGTGCAAAAGACATTGAGTAAAAACCCAAGGTGATATGCTTAATTTGTAGCAAGGAAGAGGCTGAAAATTTACCCTTCGGTTTCTAAATCCTTTACTCCCTTTTCCTTAACACTACTGACCCTCCTTCCGCATAATTATAGCATCATTGTCAGAGTTCTAGTTTTCTGTTAACACCCTATTTGGTCTACAGGTGATGTTCAACTACACCTCTCTGTTTACCACCAAACTATGAAAGCGGAAGACAGGAGCTTTCCAGTGAAAACTTCTTAAGGAAACTTAGAGGGTGAACTGTCCTTTCAAATAATGTCTGCTAAGGATAAGTCTCTGGGTTAGCCTGATCTATTTTGTACTCTCATTCACCTGTAGCGTTATTCATACAATTCTCTGAGCCTGGAAGCCTGGAATGAATGCTTTTGTTCATTCTTTCTCTCTCCTTTCTTGCTTTTCTCTCTCCCTCTCTCTCTCTCTCCCTCCCTCCTTCCCTCTCCCCTCATCTCTCTCATCTGTCTCCACCCACCCCATTCTCCAAGGCCCACCTCGTATGCCATCAATCTTTCTCATTATCTTCCACAAATTGAATGTGATAATTCTTGCCTCTGAACCAATACTACTAAGTAAACTTATCTTTTAATTCAAACCTATACAAGTTGTCTTACTCCCTTATCTGACAATAAAATGCTTTATGGTTTTGCCTCACATATGAAAGTGTTCAATATCATTAAGAAAAATAATGTACAGATACACATCTGAGGAGGTATTGGCATATACAATTGATATAGGCATAGAAGTCTCGAAAATGGGTTTATATCACAGAACAAGAACTACCCATTAGTATTAAAGTACAACCTACTTGCCTAATTGTAGCATGTAGCTGAGAACAACCTCCAACGATGTGAATAGTTTGCACTGGGGCCCTTCAGAAATTGATTACCCTTCCAAAATGCATCCAGCTTTGACTTTAATGACAAGTTCAATTATTTTTTCTCTAAATTCATTGATGGCAATGTGTGTTATTGCCACCTTCTAATTGTAGCTTTCTGCCTCTTTGAATATGTCCCATGGCATAAGTTATGTGCATTTCAGCAATAGAAGCAAAAAACACTTGTGCCCAAATGACATTTGGGACTGACTTCACAATCTGCTCCAGGATTTACTCTAGGTGTTGTTTCCCTAATGTAGATCTTCCAAACTGAACCGCTTCAATCTTTTTTAGTACATAGTGCTGGAGTTGTAAATAACTGCTCAAAAGTCAACTGTGGTATGATCGAGACCCTAAGCAAGAAATTATGTGTAAAGAAAAGATTTCTTCTCTTTCCTAGGCCTGTTAATTCATCAGCAAAAGTAAGGAATTATAAAATAGGAGGGTTTTCCAAGTCTTACTGTGCAGAATCACCTGGGAAGTTTTTATTTGTATAAAAAGCACAGTTTTTTATCCTCATCCCAGTCCTATAGAATGAAAATTTCCAGGGATCGTTCTAATATATCTAGTCCATTGATCCCTGTTGAGATACAATAGGTTATACGGTCTCTAAGGTCTCAGGCATCACTAGACTTTTATAATCCATGAATATCTATGGACTTTATGTAAAAGATACAGCATGGAAAGCTACCTGTAATGAAAAGGCCAGGAACTTATTTATGAAAAAAAAACATAACTGAAAGAGAAATAGGCAATATATTACTTTGGTGAGAGCAGTCTCTTTTTGAAAGTAAGATCTACCTAGAAAGACCCATAACCGACAGTATTCTTTTGGTGAGCCTAGAGCCATAGCAAAGGGAGTTAGGGGAATTAGCAAAAAAATTTGAATACATCTCTTACTGTTTTGATTTCAACTCCCTTTACCCTTTCCCAAATTCACTCAGAAACTTCCACGAACCTAGACTTGCAGGAAGTATTCAATAAGGATCTGCCTTTCAGAAGCTGAAAAAGACAAATAGGGCAGCAATGAGGTAGGGTAAAGTAGTAATGAGAAATAAGTTTAAGGACAAATCGTGGAGAACTCCAAATTCCATAACAATGAGTATAAACAGAATTCGTAGGTATGAAGAGTGATAGAACCTCAAATTTCAGTTAAGTGACATGTCTGACATAGAATTGAATTGGAGTTAATTGGTGATATCTTGAAAAGTTAGAATGAATATTGAACACTATCCAATATGTGGCTAGTGATTAGAGGATTCAAGTGTATTCATGTGATATTCCAACAAAGTCTTGTAGCAACATATAGTATTTTAAAAGGGAGAGATGTTGGGAGTGAGTATAATTCAAAGAGGCATCTCAATTTCAAGTTAAGCAAAATATTAACATACATGTTAACTTAGTGAACTCCCACTGGACAGAAAAAGACATAATTTGAGCAATAATAACTTCAATCGTCAAAAACACATCACAAGTATAAAAGTAAATAAATTCAGAATGATAAAAACTTATTAGATATCATTGGAAGTTGCTAAGACATCAACCCATTTTTCTGAAAACAGATGAAGGGGAAATTTTAAAGCATTCATCGTCACTTTCCAGATGAAGGGCATTTTAAGATAAGCTAATAATTATGGAGAGAAAGTTATTCTTTGTTGAATTGATAGATTCAAAAGGAATGATAGAAGAAGAAAATCTCCATTTTGCATCCCCTAAAAGCATAATGTACCTTGACAACAATAATCAATTAATTCTAAAAACCTTAGTTGAAGTGTTGGTGAGAAATTTGATGATGGAAGGGTCAGGTTGACATCATCTGAACCCACAGTGACAGTTTCCATTACTGGAAGTAGGACAATCAGACATTATATGCCTCCAAGGCAGTGTAATGGAAAGTATACACCACCACTCACTAAATATTATTGCCTAAAATTGGAACAAAATACAATTAAGGCTCTGGGGCTACACACAATTTTAAGGGAAATACCAGAAAAAGAGGAGTATATTAAATGAAGTCATAAGGAACCAATCTGTGATATTCAGAATGTGGGATGGTCTATAGGACAAACAGTCCGGTTTCTCTCTCAATCAATTGCATGATCTGAGGGATTTTTGAGTATAGATGATATTAGATGGTGTTAAAGAATTTAATTAATTTTCTTAGCATAATAGGTTAATGTTATTAAGTATGCCAGTGACATGGTGATATGTAAAATCTATTTAAAATATTATTGTCAGAGATGTGTATTTAAGTATTTTCTGGTAAAATAACATAATGCTGTAATATTTTATAAACCCCTCTCAAACAAAATTAAAAAGAGTAGTTGGGCGATAGAAGCCTCAATATTCCAAAGTAATGATGGTTGTTGACTGTACATGATGGATACATCGCAACTAATTACTGTTCTCTTTACTTTCATATGGAATTCAAAAATTTGCATAATAAAATGCTTTTTAAAATTACTGAATATGAATTGATCTGACTAGAGCAGAATTGGTGGACAACACCTGTCCAAGAGGTACTGCAGAGTAGCAAATCAGGGATGCCCCTTCTAAAAGTTGTAATGCTATGCAGAACTTCCTCTAACATAGCACTTATCACTCTGTATAATACTTACCTACTTAAATGCCAGTTTCCATATATTGTGTGCTGCTTATTCTTTAGTTTTTGCTACAGATTGATTCTCTATCTGTTTCCATGTTGTACTATTTTCCATAAATCTGGCTTGCTTGGGCTTCTTTACCCTCTGGCTTCCAACTAGATTTGGCCAAAGGAAAATACTGGCTAGATATCTGCTATAGATTGATTCTCTATCTCGTTCCATATTGTAGTGTTTTCCATGAAGCTGGCCTGCTTGGGTTTCTTTACCCTCTGGATTCCAACTAGATTTGGCCAAAGGAAACTACTGGCAAGATATCTGAGGGTGGAAGGAGAGAATGAAGTACTAATTCCTTTGTTTCCTTCCCTTATAGGCTGCAAGTTGTCTGGGCTGATTTGTCTATCTGTTAATAGCTCCTGTGGTCAAAACTTTCATACAGATAGAACTTTCACTGTGGGTTCCAGAAAGGATTTCCTCCCCTTGACACTTTAGGCCTAGGAGTAGTAGTAACTTTTCAGTATGCCATCTGTTATTTGCTAAGACCCTGACTGATAAAGACTATAAGCTTCATTAAAGCTTACAAATTGTCTCACTGTCTTTTGTTCATTGTGATACCTACAATATATGACTGCCTGTCATCTAGGAGTCAAAAAATTAATATTAGCTAAAGGAAAAGAAAAATAGAAGGATATGAATAAAATCCCACATTAATTTCCAATTTTAAAAAAAGTAACTGAGAAATAGAAAATACATGCTTATTGTGTTCTTTTAAAAAGAGTCCATTCATTAGTCAGTTTCATGTACAATGAATTGGCCATGCAGACGGCCAGTGCTGAAGAGAAATGTTTGAAATATCTGCTCCTGTAACTACCAAACCTTTAAATTTATTTTCCTGAATACTTATTTCACAGGTAGAACAATTATCAGTAATTTGATTTACCCAATAAGCTGCTTTGCCTTGTTTATTTGTGCTTCCAAATCCTCCTCTTCATTTAATTTCACTTTTTCCCATTCCCAAATACAGCACAATCAGGAGCTGTGCTATACACTCTCCTGGCTCTACTTTCCAGCGAACAGAAGTAGACATAACAATTTGAATTTCCCCATTGTAGTCTGAATCAATGACTCCTGTATGTATTTGTACCTCTTTTAAACTTAAACTAGACCTTCCTAAAAGTGATCCTATTGTTCCCACTGGCAAGGGTCCACAGACTCCTGTTGGGACCTTATGTGGGTGTTCCCCAGGCGGAAGGCTCACAGCTTTTGTGCAGCATAAATCTACTGCCACACTACTGGCTGTGGCAGGGGACAGATATTGTACAGAGGTGAAGGAATGGCCTGAGCTGGAAATGCCCCAGTCTGGAGTGGGGGCCGGGATGGGCTGGCACCTCATGGCATTTCCTGAAATTGGGTTCCCATCTTTATCAAACTTAGAGTGACACTGACTAGCTCAATGTTTTCCTTTTTTACATTTTGGACACATTTCAGACTCAGCAGTTACTTTTTCCTGCTATCTGGCAGCCTGACTCACTGATTTTTTCTACATTCTTTTTTAGTATGAATAGCTTGTTTAAATTCTTGAGTAATTTAAAAGGAAAAGCCTCAAATATTTCCCTGCTGATCTGGGGGTTGTATTCTAACAGAGTACTGCCAAGCCTCTAAATCACCCTCTCTTCTAGCTTGCTGAATTACTGCCTGTATAGAACTGAGAGCACTCAAGGCGCTGCTTGAACACTCACTGGGGCAAAAAGTTTTCACCCAGGGTCCTCTGGAAAAGAAAGATCTGGAGGGCCTTTTTCTTCAGTATAATAATGAGGGGGTGCAGAAGGGTAGGGATGAACCTCTCCCTCCTTTGCCGCTTTAGCTTTAGTTGGCAAATAAACCTGCTCTGAAACCTCCTGTGTTACTTCGTTATACTCTCCTTCCTCCCCATCATCAGTGTGAAAAAGTTCCAAGGTGGAACTAACCACAGCCCGCACTTGTCCCATTGTTACCCTGATGCTTCTGAACTCCCCTTCTTACTCACCAAGGGGATTGCTTTAAGAGTACTTGGGTGTCCTCCAGCTGGTTCCACATTCTCCAACCATCACTCCAGTGATCCTTTGACCTGGATTCAACCCCTTGCGTATGGGTGCCCCTTGCCGAGACCAGCTCAGCTGGGGAAACCCTAACCCAGCAGTGCTAGAGGAATTAAACCACACACACACACACACACACACACACACACACACACAAATATAGAAGTGTAAAGTGGGAAATCAGGGGTCTCACAGCCTTCAGAGCTGACGGCCCTGAACAGAGATTTGCCCACTTATTTACTAACAGCAAGCCAGTCATTAGAATTGTTTCTATAGATATTCGATTAATTGAAAGTATCCCTTATGGGAAATGAAGGGATGAGCCAAAATAAAGGGATGGGTTTGGCTATTTATCTGCAGCAGGGGCATGTCCTTAAGGCACAGATTGCTCATGCTATTGTTTGTGGTTTAAGAATGCCATTAAGCAGTTTTCCACCAAGGGCGGGCCAGGTGTTTTTTGCCCTCATTCTGGTAAACCCACAACCTTCCAGTGTGGGTGTTATGGCCATCATGAACATGTCACAGTGCTGCAGAGATTTTATTTATGGCCAGTTTGGGGCCAGTTTATGGCCAGATTTTGGGGGACTGTTCCCAACAGGTGGTATTTACAAATATTTTACTGTGTACCTATTTCCTGCAGCTATTAGTAGGTTGGCTCAAGATCCAGGAATGAGATGATACAATTGAGGTAACAAGGCCCCAGAAGAGCAATAGGAACTGGGGTCAACATTGCAAAGAAAAAGGAGAATGGGCCTTGAAACGTAAACACATTTGCTTCCTCTGGGACAAGTAGAAAAGGAAGAATGTCAGAGGTAAACAGTCAAGTTGGGATAATGAGAAGCACACTCTAAATAAGCTCCATCTTCTCAGGCAGATTAGAGGGTTAGATCATGGGTTTTAGGAGCAGCTCAGAGGTACAGAGCAGCTCAAGTGTGTAACGGAAGAACAGCTCTTTAAGGCACAGAGGACTGATCACCTGTATTGAGGGCCCAGCTGTAGTTGGGGGAGCCTGAAATTAAGTAAGCCCAAACCATGTGCTTGGAGGGGAGTTTATTTTTTATTTTTATTTTTACTTTTGGTAGGTCCGTGGAGGAATTCTAAGCATCCATCTCTTCTTCACCTTTCAGTGAGGGTGGAAAGATGAAGATGTTTAAGGATTGGAGGTTTGCAGAGCCTACCTTATTTGATGTGAGAATGGCAGCCTATTTAACTGAAGATTCTGGGCTTATCTTGCATAGTGAAGGGAAGCAGAGGAGGGGCAAGTGGCAGCTAACCCAGGGGGAAAGGGAGGGTGGATTAGCGGTCTCAGGGATCAAGGACTAGATCTGGAGAGACTGGCAGGTGGAATTATAACAATTGTCCAAGAGTACAGAATTGCAGGATTAGGTTTCAGGTGGATACTGGAAAGCAAATGCACTGTGCTGCCATTGGATGGAGTCATGGAAATGAACAAAGTTCAAGGTCCCTGGGGTGAAGGAGTCACCAGGGCTGCAAAGGTCATCCATGTGGCCATTTGATCTGGTCATCTGGGAAGTAACTGGACAAGAGAAAGTGAGGATGAGGAGTGGCAGGGAGTCTATTTCAGCAAGTGGGATTGAATCTATTTTTTAAGAAATCATATTCTGTTTCTAAGTGTATGTCTTAGACCACACTGGATTTACAGCAGTATTTTTGGCCTACATCGTGAACTGCTGCTGCCAGATGTTAAAAGTAGCAAGGCTTTACCCTAGCATTAAGTCTTGCTTGGGGCTTCTCAATGAGACCTACTTGTTTAATGTTAAGTGCACACCCTTTACAATTTTATATAGCATTGATAGGAATTGGGCTTGCTCCAGCTATAAAAATGAGTGTTGGAAGCACAGTTTTTTGAGATGTTTGGATTGTGTTTAGACTAATAACTTCATCTGCAAGATACGGGACTGGCTAGATTCCTGTTTATTTAACTGTGAGTTTCTGAAGGCTTTGAGGAAGATTGTCATCCTCACACAAACCGCCATGGCTGTATTTCCTCACCTGGAATGTCAATCCTTTTCTCTTCCTGATAAAACCATACTGTCTTTCAAGACACAGCTGGACTGTCACCCTGGTGATATCTTCCCTGACTCCCACTGAGCAAATGATTTAGGTCTCGTTCCTGCATGCAGTCTTTATTTACCTCAGTTATGAAGTTATACCTTATTGTGATTATTTCTCCCTGATTAAATTGTGAGGTCTTTAGAGACAGTGACTATATCTGTCTACATTTGTATAACTTGTTCCCAGTATGCTGCTTGATATGTGTTAAGTAGTAAATTCTTGCTCTGTGAAAACATAAATGGAAGGATGGCCCATTCATTTAGGAGTTCATAAGAGCTTGCTAACTCTGAGTCAGAATGACCCATGAACTGAAACATACAGAGAGCACCATCACTAAAAACTGTGGGATTATATTCTTTTGCAGTTTTATTGCTGAATGCACATTTTGTTCAATGGTTCTTCCTGAAGAACTCATCAATTTTTAGTTAACGGGACCAGGTGTGGTGGCTTATGCCTGCAGTCCCAGCATTTTGAGAGGCTGAGGTGGGCATGTCATTTGAACCCAGAGGTTCAAGAGCAGTCTGAGCAGCTTGACAAAGCCCATCTCTATAAAAAACACAAAAAATTAGCCGGACTTGGTGGTGTGTGCTTGTAGTCCCAGCTACTCGGGGGGCTGAGGTAGGAGGATCCCTTGAGGCCAGGAGGCAGAGGTTGTAGTGGGTCAAGACCACGCCAGTGCACTACAGCCTAGGCAATAGGGCAGGAACCTGTCAAAAAATCTTTTTTAGATAAAGGACTGGAGATTTTAAAGCACTAAGTAGCATATATTACATAAGGGATGTTAGGAACATATGAAAATACAGGTAAATAGTAATTAGGAGAGTCAATTTGTATGCAGCTAGAATATCTAGTTGTATAAGTTTGAAACTTTGCTTTCCAATAGGTTGAAAAAATTCAAACTCAAGTCTGGAATTTTTTTTTTTTTTTAGATGGAGTCTCACTCTGTCACCATGGCTGGAGTTCCATGGTAATTATCAGGTCACCACAACCACCTTTGTCTCCCAGGTTCAGGTGATTCCCTTGCCTCAGCCTCCTGAGTAGCAGAAACTACAGGTTCCCGCCATGATGCCTGGCTAATTTTTGCATTTTGTTAGAGATGTGGTTTTACAATGCTACACAGGCTGGCCTTGAACTCCTGACCTCAGGTGATCCTACCACATTGGCCTCCCAAAGTGCTAAGATAACAGTTGTGAGCCACAGTAACCAGCCAAGTTGGAGTCTCTTGAAGGTGAAATTGTTGCTTTGTGGAATTTAGAAAACAGTATATTCATTTACATCAGTTTGGCTTTCATCAGTTTTCTTGCGAAAAATTAATAATTTTCTATGTAGATTGACATAAAAGAAATTTATGGCCAAAGGCAACTTTAAGTAAAAGCCATGGATTTGCTAAGAGGAAGAGAAGTAGTGCTGAAGCACTGGGTTGAAGCTTTTGAATTTTAAGTATGCATGTTTATTTTTGAAACTCAGAATTATGAGAGTAAAAAAATTACTATATATATGCATATATAGTATATATGTATACACAGTAACCGTGATATATATATATATATATATATATATATAATCACAATATTCTAATGTTTATTGCCAAGTAGAGTTCTTCTTTATAAAGGTGATATCACCTATAATTAGAAAATACAAATTAAGAGGAAAAAACACTAGGGTTTTGCTTTTGACATATTAAATATTAAGATGAAAAAGAGACTGAGATGCTATCACCAGCTTACAGTAAGACCAGACAGAAAATTTTGAGAGGCCACCAATACTTGAACAGATCATACATTTTGCAGTTAATTTCAATCCTTCAGTTCTGATAGTTTTGTTTGTTTATGTCCAGTAACTGAGTTCCATATGTCCAGAACTGAGTTCTACACCTGCAGCTTTTACCAGCTCTATGCTCAACAAAGAAAGTATGGTAGTCTGACTTTATTTGCATTGGGTGAAATTATTTCTTTTGTGTTATTCACCTTTTTTAAGTGCTCACAAATATTTCATTCTTCAGATCTTACCTGGGATTGACTGAAAGCTCATCTGTCTGTAGTTTGTGCAATAAGCCTTATTTTCAACTGGGAATGTTTTGTTAATTGACAAAAATAGATATGCCAGGAATCTTCGTTCATTAAAAAATGTGCCTCCATATTCTTTAATATTGTTTTCTCCCTTCTTTAGATTTGATTTGTTTGATTCTAACCTCTGCCTACCTTACTCTTCTTTTGGCAATAATGAAAAAGTAAGTTAATCAAGAGAGACAGAAAAAAAAATAAGGAACAACATTTTGGCAGAGAGTTTATCACTTCCCTACCTCAATTTCCTCTACTGCTATTTCCTCTTTCTCAGGATACATACAAAATAAATGTAGTTTTTACCTCTCCATGGCCTTCCAGATTGCCAGCAGAGGGAGGTAATACCTAGAGCCTTTAACTTTCCTTAGAGTAGTCAGTGCTCATAGAGTGGCCCTGTTACTATGTAAGGGAACTTCCCCAACATTTGTGGGCATGCTGCATAAGTCACCCTTTATTAAAGGACTCTTAGATGACTTTGTCTGTAGGAGCCATCTGCTTTCTGCCTGGATCCCAACTGCTGCTGACAGATGCACAGATTATTTTGGATGTTGGGGATGTCATCAACAGGTAGACCAGACAGAGAGCTCCTTCTCTTCATGGTATAGGAGAGAAACAGCTATTTAGGTTAATCTGAGGATTTGAAAGAGTTCTTTTACTTGGAGTAGGACTCCAAGAGTAATAACGTTTGCAATAAAATGCACTAAATACTTTTGTTCTGAAATTTGAGTGTTAGGACTACTCTGAGATCATTAAATAGAATTAATATTATATTTATTGCATGAGTACCAAGAAAAGAAACAACAATGTAAAAGCTGTTTAAATGTTTCTGTTAAATGAAATAAGAAAACTTAAGGTAGATAATGACTAGGATTTCTTTTGGCCTTCTTATATCTGGCTCCACTGGCTCATGAAATTGTGGTATTTCAGAAAGAACTGCAGAAAGCAGGAAATGCTATCATAGCTGAGCATGAGGAGTTCAAAAATCACAGGCCAGCTCTGCAGTACAACTGCAAGATGCAGTGAGTCTTGCTCCTTGCCAGTTCCACTTTGATACAAATACACTTCTTCAGTATGTAAACTTGGCCCAAGTCACACCTGTGCAAATCAGATTTATTTTAATATCAAACATTACTCCCCCAAATATAGTAAAGTTTCTCTTTGTCATCTGAGAAAATTCTCTAGTGATAATATGATCTTATATTCATAATAGCAATAACATGGAGAAGAAAGCAAACACACCTAAATGTAAAATTTTCAGAGTGCCAGATTTTTTCCACTGTTATCTCTGGATTCTCACCCTAAGGATTACAAACATTCACCGTGTCTTCTGCCCACATGCCCTAGAATGTTTTGATATGACTGAAAAAGATGGTGAAATCTGTTAAACCCACCTAGTTTGTGTTCTGTTTGTCATTTTTAAAATAGGGACCCTGTTGTTTACTGGCATAAATATTCTCAATTAAAAGAGTACAAACAGGATAAGAAAACGTCTCCTTGTGAAGCAAGCCGTGATTTGTTTTGCAATAATTTCTTTTCTGATTCTGAATCTTTTCAGAATGAGCATTCTGGGTGGCTGAAGGCCCAGATACTAGATTACAAACTTCCATAAAAAGTTAAGTATTCAGGTGACCGATTTTGTATTGCAACTGAAGCAAACTCAGACAGGTTAGAGACATTTTAAATCTATGAATATTTTTCTGTGTGTAAAGCTTCTGATGCTTGTGAAAATGTAATGACCCTAATTTATTGAATATTAAGTAATTGTTATGTTAGAGGAAAAGCCACAGAAACGTGTGTCATCTTAGAAGTAAAACTCCCTATCCACTTTGGTAATACCATCTGGATCATCAGCAAAAGTCACTTGTTTCATAGGTGCCTCATGGCTTGGGAGAGCCTTGTGTCTCAAATGGGAAAGGCGTGGTGGTGACATAGAAGTCTCCAGGTTTATCTTAGAAATTTCTTTTCTATTTGTTACCTCAATGTTAACAGCAGTTCAGTAATTTTATGGATTCCTTGATAGATATATGCACACACAGGAGGAGCAAGGCAGTTTAGCAAAGAGAACATTGCTCTCAGAATCAGACAACTGTTCTTTTGGATCCCTGTTTTGAAGTTAGTTGTTTAATCTTGGACATGTTACCTTAACTTCATTGGGCCTCAGTTTCCTCATTTTTAATGGGGAAAATAATGCCTATTGAGCCATGATGAAAGTGATGAAAGGAGATGGGTTACAACGCAGTGCCTGGGACATAAGAAAACACTCAATAAGTGGTGATTGGTATGATTGGTATGATTTTATTATTGTGTGTTCACTGTGGATACATCTGTGCCCCTTCCTACTTCATAATAAGGATATTGAAGCTTAGATGCTTTCTTCTTCAGTTGCTTTCAAGCTCAAAGAAAGTGTGTTTGTGTTACCAGTTAACTGGTTTCTCAAACTTGTTCTGAGCCTTCCTCGTTCCCCTTTGCACTTTTTCCTCATAAGTTCCTTGCTCTCTTCTACCAGCACTTGACTTATTTTTAACTCTTTACACATTTCTTCTCCTTTCTGGTCTCATTTTCCTTTCAGTTCTGTTTGTGAAACTTCTCACAGCTGAAACCATAGTCTCATGTTAATAAAAATAGTTGAATGGGAATAGAACTTTTGCACTTGCATGCAATGAGGAGGGCAAGCTTCTTTCTCACAGCTTCATTGGAAGGCATTTCAGGACAGTGAGACACAGGCACTGGCTTTGCCTTAGGAAAGTGCAGTAGCTCTTGAACCTGCTAACGGTGTGACCCAGGGTCAATAAGCTTTAGTCTCCCATCTATAAAACGGAAGCTGTGAGAATTCCTTGACCACAGTGTTTTTGTGAATGCAGGTTCTTACTTTTTGTCTGAAACTCATGCCGTATGCTGTGGATTTCACAGCACACGAAATCCACAGCATGTGAATTCTGTAGTACCTGCTGTAGTGAAATGCATTAGTTATTTTCCAGTCAACTGTATGAATATTCATGCCGGGGCAAATAAAGATAATATATGGGTTCACGTCATTTCAGGTCATAGTATTTAACCAAATGAGTTCATGTCTGGCTAGGCTATGCCCCTAAGTTATGAATAAATTTTCAATTTTCAGAGCTGTGGGGATGTGGAAATTGTGCATAATGGATTCTGAAGTTGTACTGTGTTACAAAAGACACATGAAGCTGTAGCTGGTACAATAAGCCCTCAATAAATATTAGTGGTTATCACTACCATGGCATCAGAAACTGTTTAATGTGGAAGTTTGTCCTTATTATTGCTCTCTTCAACTTTTCAAAACAATAATATTCTCAATTACATGAATTTTCTTCTCTTCTGTGTCCACTCACTTTTGAAATTAGCATTTTGTACTCTGCAGCCCTAGAGAATAAAGTGTACTGTAATCCAAAGCAGCATCTGATCCATCATTCTGTCAGTGGATTAATAAGTGGCAATATGGTGCCTTGCAATGGTGCTATACATCAGGATTTCTTGAACGATTCTCTTAAACAGAAAAGAGGTATGGTAACATCAAGGATCCCAAATTTTCCAAATGGAGCTGTGGAGGGTAGTCCTTCCAATTCTGACCTTGAGTTTGTAGTTAATACTAAGCAAGGGTCAAAGAGCTTAAGCAAGAGGCAAAGAGCTTAAGTAAGAGGACAGACCCTTGGAAAAGGCTTTCAGAAGTTGCTATCTGAGAGTCGTTAACATCATACCAAAAGCCCACTACCAGCAAAGAGCTCACCATCTCTGCACTTGCTGAAAGCTTTCAAAAACATTACTTCCAGTTCTCTAGAAAGCCATATATTTGCAGAGGACAGAGTTGTCTCTGAGCAGCCTCAAGTGAAAAAAACTTAAAGATTAAAGGACTGGCACCTGGAAGCACTCATGGGCAGTGCAGTGTTGAGGCTACACAGTGGCATTTCCTCCAGACAAGTCTTCTCTACCCCTTTTCCGAAAGCAAAAAGAACCTTAAAGTGAAATGTATCTGGAAGGTTAGCCACCTGGACAAAGCGTTGTGTGCTGCTCTGGAGTTGGGTAGCTACCCTCCATCTCTCCACCCATGATAGAGGGTTGCTGTGAGAGTCAGCAGGACAGACTGGCAAGGTCTAGTGTCTCCTTTACACACAGAGGTGTTTAGATACTAAGAGCTGTCTTTCCTTTGCTGCCTGTTACTTTCATGCATTTTATTATTGCCAGTGCAATTAACTTAGGTGTTTGAATCATTAGTTTTGTGGATCTTATGCATCATAATTTGCTATTTGCAAGGATAACAATTTATTTTTGAACTAATAGAGCTCTTTAGAAACCGCTTGGTATCTTCATGCACCTGGTAATATTCTTGCCTTGGTTCCTTCTGAACCTTAGGTCTGGACAGATTACATGTGGGTTCCCCAGTCCTTGTTCTGACAGAATGCCCCAGCAATCACCCACTGAGTCAAGGCACAGCCTCTCCAACCCTCCAGACCAAAAGTTTCGGTAAGTACAACTTTCTGATTGACTAGCTTCAGCTGAATCACGTTACTTAGTCTGTCAGCCTTCACTTATTTTGTTTGTTTTTTTTTTTTTTTTTAGGTTAATTTTGCAGACCATTTGGCAGTATAGAAGTTAGAATCAGATTGCAAAATGATGTGTGATATTTGAGAATCATCTAAATTATGAAGAGAAAAAAGGATGGCTTTTAGCAAATAAGTGGATAATGCATATTTGCTAAACTGGACATGTAGAACATGAGATATGGTATAAATAAGCATCTTCATAGTTCTGTCAATAGACTCAGTTTATTAAGATAAAAACAAATGTACAAAATATGTGAAAGCAAACAAATGGAGTTTATTTCTAAACTTGGAAAAATTATACACATCATTAAAAAGTCATTTAAAATATTTTGGCATTGAAATATAAACAGATACATTTTTGTTTTTTGTTTTTGTTTATGTTTTTGTTTTTTGGTGAGTGAGGGCAGAGTCTTACTCTGTCACCCAGACTGGAGTGCAGAGACATGATCTCCACTCATTGCAACCTCTGCCTCCTGAGTTCAAGTGTTTCTCCTGCCTCAGCCTCCCAGGTAGCCTGGATGACTGGAGTAGGCCACAACACTCGGCTAATTTTTGTATATTTAGTAGAAATGGTACTACACTATGTTGGCCAGGCTAGTCTCAAGCTCCTGACCTCAGTTAAACTGCCCAGCTCTGCCTCCAAAAGTGCTGAGATGACAGGTGTAAGCCACAGTGCCAGGCCTAGATAAAATTCTCATTTCCATAACATTGCAATAAATTCAAATGTGGCAGTGGACTCTAGAGCATGATTCTTGAAACACTAAGGAGTGGGTGTTTTTAGGAACTGGACTAGTGGGTTACCAAGGCTGTGATTTGAGTCATGAGGAGACTTCTACCCATACATGGGCCCCACAGCAGAGAGAACTGGCTCCACAATTCCAGGCTCAAGCTTCAGTGTCTGCACTGAAAAGAAAAGAAAAATAAATATCTATAACGTCTCTTCTTCTCTGAAACATTAATTATGACTATGTTTCCCAATGCTTGTATTTAGTAAGATTTGAAGCTTACTGTTTTTTTTTTTGTCTTTTCAATGCAGCTACAAGGCTACAAGCTATGCAAGGCTAAAGTTATGCTAACTCAACAGTTATGCTATAAATTATGTAACCTGTCATTGTCAAATTAGCTTCTGTAGTTCTGCTTTTGTAATTTGGCTTACAAATATCCCCCTCAGTCTTTGTTCAATGCTCAGCATTTTTGGATATAAGTCTGCTGAGCCAGGGCACCTAAATACATCCTCCTATTTCCCCATATTAATCTCTGTGGTCCTCTGCTTCCCACAACATTATTGGCCAGTCAGCCAGGAGTGGAGATGACAGGTTTCCTGTCTCCTTTGCCCCTGGGGCTTAAGCCCTGGGTCTCAGGAGTCCTGTGACCCAAGGAGCACCACTGGGAGAACTTCAGCCTGGAGGGGAGATCAGCCATTTTGTGACCTCGTGCCCCTACCAAGCAGTGCAATGGTACCTAATGGGTTATAGGACGATTCCAGGAACAGCTCACTTCAGAAACCACAGTAAGGTATTGGGACCCAAGGCAGGACACATCCCACAAGGACCAAAAGGGAGCCTAATCACCTCCTAGGTTATAACCGGTAATCCAACCCAGAGGTGCTGCAGGCCGCAAGAGTGGTTCACCAATTCAGAAGAAACTTACACCTCAACCAACACAGCATGTGACAGTGGCTCACTAAATCAGCTCAGAAGGAAACTGGAGGTGGTGAAAGTGACTCGCCACCCCAACCAGGAACATGAGAACTGGTAGAAGGATGATGTGTGAGTGGTGAGGCCTAACTAGGCTAATCGGCCATAAAGTGAGGAACCACAAGTCTCTTAGTGAAGAATGTGTTCCAAGCCAAGTGTGGGGCTGATCAAGACTAGTGGTGATCCACATATGGCTAAAAGAAGCTACCCCACAACTTCAGCAATTGTGTTGGGCTTAAGAAACTCTCCAAAGCTAAGTAGTATCTAAAAACCCCCATAATAGGAGATGGTCTAACTGGCTGGAAACAAAGGTAAAAAGTGAGCACGAGTACACTGCATCATAACTGAAAAGAAATGGGAAGAGAGTTGTCACAATATACATCATTCAAATATATGCTAAAAAAAACTTTAAGAAAGGGTTTACAGGAAACTATAAAATTAAGCTAACCCTGCAAAGGTAAAAAGCTCTCTGTAAACTAAAATGGCCCCCTTTTGGTATTAAATAGGTGACCCAAAAAACTATACACATAGAAAGAATTGGTCATGAGTTTGAGGTAATGACAGGGGTCTGAGTATAGCCAGGGTACCCAGACCAATTTTCTTATATTAACTCATAATTAAATATAATACAAACAAGAACAACATGAATCCAGCCCTGCTTCACAGCTTATTGCAAAACACTTGTAGCGCAGGCCGAGCCAAAAGTGAAAATAGAAGCAGCTTCACCAGCAAACACTGAGTTAAAAGGAAAGTCCCAAGGACAGAAAGGAAACCCAGTTTTAAAAAACTACAAAAGGAAAAAAAAATTCTCCTCCATTTTTCATAGCCTACCTCCCTTTGCTGAGGCAAACAGCCCCCCAGGAGCTAGGTTCCATTGCCAGTACACCCCAGGTTTCACCCCAGAGGGAAGAATTGGAGCCTTGAGAGGCCAGTGATGGAATTCAGGATAGTGAACCAGGCTGCCTCAAATCTGATCATGGTCAAGCTATGTAAATACCTCTCAGGGAAATGCAAGGACTCATCTGTTATAATGACCAGTGCCACATCCTGGTGTGGGGGGCAGCAAACCTTCCTCTATCAGCCCTTTTCAACCACTAATCTCCTAAATGTAAATCAACACACTAACTCCTACAAGGAAAAGCCCCAAGCTCTCATAAATCTAACACAGTCCACCTTTCTAACACACAATCCAACCTGGCTAAATTGAAGATAACTTATCTTAACATTGTTCAACATGGAGGAGTGCCAGAGGATAACTCAGGCATCCCATCAAGGGCTAGAAGCCAATGCACCAGCTGCAAAAAGTACATGGTTTTGCAGGCACGAATACAACCCAGCTTACAGAAATGGCCACCAAAATGTAGGTTAACCATCACCAGGAAGCAAAGAAAAAAAAAAAAAGCAAATCAGAGGTTTAAAAAAGGCCAATCTCTTAGCAGCAGCTCTCATTAAAAAAATGACTAGCAATATACAAGAATGTGGATGTGCACGTGCATGTGAAAGATGTCAATTTAGTCAAAAATTTAAAAGCCAGCCGAGGCTAGAGAGAAAACAATGTGTGTGATGCAAAAGAAAAATACTGAAAGAATAAATGTCCAGAAGGTAATAAAAAGTATAATCAGGACTGTGGTATAAAAGAGTCCAGCTAAGGGCTGCCTCACTGTGGGAAAATCAAATACGAATCTAAACAGGCTGGCTGGCACTAAAGGATATGGGTACTAGGACAGACCAGGCTTTTTCTTATTACAACTCCATTGGCCCATGGTCACATTAAAAGTTGAAGGCCAGCTGATGGACTTTATGTAAACACCAGGGCTACACATTCAATACTGACTCAACCCATAGGGCCACTATCTGAAGCTATAAAACTATTATAAAAGCCACAGGAATCTCAGAGAAAAAAGCTGTTCTGGTAAGGAGGTGTGTCATCAAAGGATGGGAAGTTCAACATAAATTCCTATACCTCCTGAATTGTCCAGTTCCCTTGTTAAGAAAAAAAAAAATTACTCCAAAAACTGAAAGCACCAATTACATTTCAGCTGCAAAAAAAAAAAAAACAACTTTTTTTCTGACTCTCCAAAAAAGCATGGTGCTAACCCTTATCATCCTGCAGGCTAAGGAATGGAAACTTTATACAAAGAAAGTGCAAGCAGCAAATTAGAATTGCAGGTGGGATAAAAAAAAATTATTTCACTTAGTTAATAACATTTCTGGAGTATGGGTTAAAGGCAACCTACTTGGATTAGCTGTACATCATGCACAGGTGGTAGTCATGTTAAAACCAAAAGAAACTCCGATTTGGGTTCATCAGTACCCAGTCCCCTGAGAAGCTATTCCAGGTATCTATAAATATTTAAACTGGCCTTACCAACATGAAGTCTTAGTTCGATGTCAATTGCTCTAAAACACTCCACTTTTGGAACATGTGTATTTTAATAAATCTCATTCCAGCAAGTGCTACCTGATTTGCAGTCCTAAATTTAAAGAATGTATTCTTTTATATCTGCTTAGCCCCAGTTAGTCACCCTATATTTGCATTTCAATAAAACAAATAAGTTGTTCAACTCACCTGGGCCAGGCTCCCGCAAGTTCAAAGACTCTCCTACAGTCTTTAGGGAAGCACTGACCTTGAAGCCTACAACCTGCCAAATGTTAACTGTGCCTTGTTGCAGTATGTGGATGACCTTCCTCTAGCAGCCCCAACCCAGGAGGACTGTTATCAAAAAACTCAAGACCTCCTCCATCTCCTATGAAAAACAGGCTAAAATTATCTTTTAAAAAAGGACCAATTATTCTTAAAAATGTCAAATATGTAGGTTTCATAGTAAGCCATGTGGAATGCCAGCTTGGCCATAAGCAGAAACAGGCCGTTTGTACACTCCTGACACAAACCACTAGGCATTACATTAAAAAATTCTTAAAAGAAGAAAAATTCCACCATATCTAAATCATAAATTTTTCACTGATGGCTAAGCCATTATATAATATTACAAAAGGGGTAAAAACGAAACCCTCCTCTGGCAAACTAAACAGCAAATATCATTTAAAAAAATCAAAAAAACCCTTAACTCAAGTCCCAGCCTTTGGTCTGCCAAATGTAACTTAGCCTTTCTTTCTGTACCTGCATAAATGAAAAGAAATGGCTATGTGGTTCTTAACTGAAATTATAAAATTATAGCATTGTCCAGTCAAATACTAATCTAAACAATTAGACTCTGTGGCACTAGGATGGCCTCCTTGCCTTAAGGCATTAGCCACCACTGCCTTGCTAATGCAAGAGGATAACACACTTACTTTGAGACAGCAGCTAACAGTCCATGTGCCACACTCAGTCAAAACTTTGATGAACAAATAAGCCATCATTAGTTGTCAAATCTGAGAATAACGCAGTACCAAGGACTTCTATATGAAAACCCTTACATTACTTAAAATACAGCAAACAACTTAAGCCCAACCACCCTGCTCCCAGTCAAATTTGATGCTCCCCTCCATAACTGTGTCTAAACAGTGGATCACGTATTTGCTGAACCAGGAGATCTTACAGATCAATCCCTCAAAAACCCAGATGTTGAATACTTCATAACTGAAAGAGTTTTGAGCTAGAAAAAAATCCAACAAGCCGAGTATGCAGTGGTAACATTAAACTCAATGATAGAAGCTCAATCTTTGCCTACTGGAACATGAGACCAAAAGGCAAAATTAATAGACCGAACAAGAGCCCTTTTGCTGCAAAAGAAAAAAAGGTCAATATTTAAACACATTCTAAATATGCTTTTACCACACTACATGTTCATAGAACTATATATAAAAAGAAAATTTCTTAACAACTGGAGGCAAATAAATAAAGTGGACAGAAAAAATCCTACAGCTCTTAGCAGCTGTATATGCTCCAGAAAAAGTGGCAATAGTGCATTATCTGGAACACCAAAAGGCAGGGAAGTCAAAAGCCAAAAGAAACAGGAAAGCTAACACTTTCCCCACATAACCTTGATATAAAAAAGCACCCAAAAAATGATGCCCACCCTCTACTCATACTACATAGCCCCAAAACAACATAGCCAGGCCCACTGCTACTCAGTTAATAGCTCTAACTAAATGTCAACCTGTGCCAAAAGAAGAAAACATGCTTTCCCATAAAGAATAAAATGATACTAATGCCTTCGATTAAATTTATCCTATAAAATGATTTTTTAAAAAAACAGAAAAATTTGGCAAGACAAGGGTTCAAATGAAAAGAAAACATGTTTTTCTCTGTGTAGCTATCTCACTCCAAGACAGTTATAAAATAACACTGTCTAAAAAGTTGAGGCCAAGGGAATGGGTCACAAATACCCTACACTGAAGCAAAGTTCAAAAGGAAAGCAAATTACTTTACTGTCTCTCCTTCTCTGAAGCATTAATTATGACTATGTTTACCAATGCTTGTATTTCGTAAAATCTGTATGTTCCTGTTTCTCTTTCAACCTAGCTGCAAAACCCAGCTATGCAAGGCAAGAAGTTATGCAAGTCAACAATTATGCTGTAAATTACATAACTGTTCATTGTATAATTAGTTGCTTTAGGTCTGCTTCTGTAAGTTTGCTCATAAAAACCCTGCTCAGTCTTTATTCAATACTCAGCCTTTTTGGATATAAGCTCACTGAGCTGGTGCACCTAAATAAATCCTCCTGTTTCCCCATATCAGCCTCACTCATACTCTGTTTCCATCAACACCAGTCATATTTCCAAAGTTTTTATCTTTTTTTGAGACAGAGTCTTGCTCTGTCACCCAGGCTGGGGTGCAGTCTCACCTTACCGCAGCCAGTGCCTCCTGGGATGAAGGAATTCTCCTGCCTCAGCCTCCTGAATAGCTGGGACTACACACACACCACCATGCTTGACTAATTTTTGTATTTTTATTTATTTATTTTTTCTTTTTTTATTATACTTGAAGGTTTAGGGTACATGTGCAAAATGTGCAGGTTAGTTACATATGTATACATGTGCCATGTTGGTGTGCTGCACTCATTAACTCATCATTTAACATTAGGTATATCTCCTAATGTTATCCCTCCCCTCTCTCCCCACCCAACAACAGGCCCCAGTGTGTGATGTTCCTCTTCCTGTGTCTGTGTATTCTCATTGGTCAATTCCCACCTGTGAGTGAGAACATGCGGTGTTTGGGTTTTTGTCCTTGCGATAGTTTGCTGAGAATGATGGTTTCCAGCTTCATGCATGGCCCTACAAAGGACATGAATTCAACATGTTGTATGGCTGCATAGTATTCCATGGTGTATATGTGCCACATTTTCTTGATCCAGTCTATCATTGTTGGACATTTGGGTTGGTTCCAAGTCTTTGCTATTGTGAATACTGCCGCAATAAACATACGTGTACATGTGTCTTTATAGCAGCATGTTTTGTAATCTTTTGTGTGTATACCCAGTAATAGGGATGGCTGGGTCAAATGGTATTTCTAGTTCTAGATCCCTGAGGACTTGCCACACTGACATTCACAATGGTTGAACTAGTTCACAGTCCCACCAACAGTGTAAAAGTGTTCCTATTTCTCCATATCCTCTCCAGCACCTGTTGTTTCCTGACTTTTAATGATTGCCATTCTAGCAGGTGTGAGATGGTATCTCATTGTGGTTTTGATTTACATTTCTCTGATGGCCAGTGATGATGAGTATTTTTTCATGTGTCTTTTGGCTGCATAAATGTCTTCTTTTAAGAAGTGTCTGTTCGTATCCTTCGTCCACGTTTTGATGAGGTTGTTTCTTTTTTTCTTGTAAATATGTTGGATTTCATTGTGGCTTCTGGATATTAGCCCTTTGTCAGATAAGTAGATTGCAAAAATTTTCTCCCATTCTGTAGGTTGCCTGTTCTCTCTGACGGTAGTTTCTTTTGCTGTGCAGATGCTCTCTAGTTAAATTAGATCCCATTTGTCAATTTTGGCTTTTGTTGCCATTGCTTTTGGTGTTTTAGACATGAAGTTCTTGCCCATGCCTATGTCCTGAATGGTATTGCCTACATTTTCTTCTAGGGTTTTTATGGTTTTAGGTCTAACATTTAAGTCTTTAATCCATCTAGAATTAATTTTTGTATAAGGTGTAAGGAAGAGATCCAGTTTCAGCTTTCTGCATATGGCTAGCCAGTTTTCCCAGCACCATTTATTAAATAGGGAATCCTTTCCCCATTTCTTGTTTTTGTCAGGTTTGTCAAATATCAGATGGTTGTAGATATGTGGCATTATTTCTGAGGGCTCTGTTCTGTTCCATTGGTCTATATCTCTGTTTTGGTACCAGTACCATGTTGTTTTGGTTACTGTAGCCTTGTAGTATAGTTTGAAGTCAGGTAGCGTGATGCCTCCAGCTTTGTTCTTTTGGCTTAGGATTGACTTGGAAATGCGGGCTCTTTTTGGGTCCCATATGAACTTTAAAGTAGTTTTTTCCAATTCTGTGAAGAAAGTCATTGGTAGCTTGATGGGGATGGCATTGAATCTATAAATTACCTTGGGCAGTATGGCCATTTTCACGATATTGATTCTTCCTACCTATGAGCATGGAATGTTCTTCCATTTGTTTGTATCCTCTTTTAATTCATTAAGCAGTGGTTTGTGGTTCTCCTTGAAGAGGTCCTTCACGTCCCTTGTAAGTTGGATTCCTAGGTATTTTATTCTCTTGGAAGCCATTGTGAATGGGAGTTCACTCATGATTTGGCTCTCTATTTGTCTGTTATTGGTGTCTAAGAATGCTTGTGATTTTTGCACATTGATTTTGAATCCTGAGACTCTGCTGAAGTCTATCAGCTTAAGGAGATTTTGGGCTGAGACAATGGGGTTTTCTAGATATGCAATCATGTCATTTGCAAACAGGGACAATTTGACTTCCACTTTTCCTAATTAAATACCATTTTTTCCTTCTGCCTGATTGCCCTGGCCAGAACTTCCAACACTATATTGAATAGGAGTGGTGAGAGGGGGTATCCCTGTCTTGTGCCAGTTTTCAAAGGGAATGCTTCCAGTTTTTGCCCATTTAGTATGATATTGGCTGTGGGTTTGTCATAGATAGCTCTTATTATTTTGAGATATTCCCATCAATACCTAATTTATTGAGAATTTTTAGCATGAAGCATTGTTGAATTTTGTGAAAGGCCTTTTTTGCATCTATTGAGATAATCATATGGTTTTTGTTATTGGTTCTCTTTATATGCTGGATTATGTTTATTGATTTGTGTATGTTGAACCAGCCTTGCATTCCAGAGATGAAGCCCACTTGATCATGGTGGATACACTTTTTGATGTGCTGCTGGATTTGGTTTGCCAATATTTTATTGAGGATTTTTGCATCGATGTTCATCAGGGTTATTGGTCTAAAATTCTCTTTTTTTGTTGTGTCTCTGCCAGGCTTTGGTATCAGGATGATGCTGGCCTCATAAAATGAGTTAGGGAGGATTCCCTCTTTTTCCATTGATTGGAATACTTTCGGAAGGAAAGGTACCATCTCTTCCTTGTACCTCTGGTAGAATTTGGCTGTGAATCCATCTTGTTCTGGACTTTTTTTGTTTGGTAAGCTATTAATTATTGCCTGAATTTCAGAGCCTCTTATTGGTCTCTTCAGAGATTCAACTTCTTCCTGGTTTAGTCTTGGGAGGGGGTATGTGTCAAGGAATTTATCCATTTCTTCTAGATTTTCTAGTTGATTTGCATAGAGGTGTTTACAGTATTCTCTGATGGTAGTTTGTATTTCTGTTGGATCGTAGTGATATCCCCTTTTTCATTTTTTATTGCATCTGTTTGATTCTTTTCTCTTTTCTTCTTTATTAGTCTTGCAAGATGTCTATCAATTTTGTTGATGTTTTCAAAAAACCAGCTCCTGGATTCATTGATTTTTTGAAGGGTTTTTGTGTCTCTATTTCCTTCAGTTCTGCTCTGATCTTAGTTATTTATTGCCTTCTGCTAGCTTCTGAATGTGTTTACTCTTGCTTCACCCACTTTCCGACACTCCCCAGTGAGATGAACCCAGTACCTCGGTTGGAAATGTAGAAATCACCCATCTTCTGCTTCACTCACACTGGGAGCTGCAGGCTGGAGCTGTTCCTATTCACAATCTTGGCTCCACCCCCAGTGTGGTTTCTTTTTCTGTGTCAGGTGTTCTCAGTGTTCAGCTCTGACTCATGAGTGAGGAAATGTAGTGTTTGGTTTTCTGTTCCTGTGTTACTTTGCTGAGGATGATGGTTCCATCTTTATCCATGTCCTTGCAAGAGACATGATCTAATTGCTTTTTGAAGCTGCAAAGTATTTCATTGTGTATATGTACTACATTTTATGTATCTAGTTGATAATGTTCTCTGAGTAAAGTCGGCATTTGAGTTGATTCTATGTGTTTGCTGCTGTTAATTGTACTGCAATAAACATACACGTGCAGGTATCTTTCAAATATGAAACATTTGTATTTTGGGGGTAGATAGCCAGTAATGACATTGCTCGGTCAATGTTGTTTCTAGATCCTTGAACAAATTACCACGCTGTCTTCCACAGTGTGGACACTAATTTACTTTCCCACCAACAGTTTAGAAGTCTTCCTGTCTCTCCACAGACTTTCCAGCATCTGTTATTTCTTGACGTTTTAATAGTCACCATTCTGACAGGCCTGAGGTGGTATCTCATTGTGATTCTGATTTGTATTTCTCTACTGATTAATGATGTTGCCCTTTCTGAGTTAAAAAAAACCTTTTAAGAGAAAATAGGTCAAGAAAAAAATCAAGATGATTACTCAAAGACACCACATACAGGGTTTAATTAGATAGATTTGATAACAAACATTTATAAGGCCATGAGCAATAGTGTTAGTGCCAAAGCTAAGAACTCTTTAGAATAAGATTAGCTCCTGTTTTACAGTACATGTGTCATATCCCTCTGAAGTTTGAAGGACCAATAACTCTTTTCTTACTCTAACCTGGTCTTCCAGTATTAGCTCTTCAATAGCCATTTCACCTGAGTTTTTAACACTATTCTGAAAGAAAAATATTATTTGCCCAATTTATAAGATGGAGATACAAAGGGGCTGGAAAGTAGAACAGGAAACAGTTGGTGAAAAATCAGCACTTCTGTAAAATTTCCACCAACCTTTCTTTTCAAGTGGTTTCTTATTTCTTCTTCAGAACACTCCAGAATAGGAAATTTTAAAGTATTTTCATTGACAAGACACAAAGATATTTGCTCTCATTTTAGGCTGTTTCAATTTTTATGTCTTCAGATTTACTGAAGCTCAATCTGTTGTTAAAGTTATTTAATAGTTTTTTTTTAATCCAAGTAATTGTGCTTCTTATCTCTAGATTTTTCAGGTTTTCTTTTTTAATTTGTCTTCTGGAAGGACTTTTTTAAGGAGTCAGAGGGACCGATGGGGTTGAGGAGGATACTTATTATGTAGATGCACCGGCCCACTCAGATTAACCTCTGAAGGACTGAGCCCTGAACAAAGAGTTAAGTTACCTTTTAAGCATTCTGCCTTTTCCCATCAGGCAATACAAGACTTTCCAATTATGGAGATTTGCAACAAGCAAACACTGGCTGAGACTGCTGGCTTTATTGGTAGGGTTTGGCGAAGTGAAGTTATCTTGTGGCATTAATTCCTTTGCCCCCCCATGGCCACTGGTCCCCCGTATTAGTTCCTACACTTACATAGCATGAGGAAATTCCTCAGCCGCCAGCTATGTTTTCAGCTAGTTGAACAAACACATTTTTGGTTGATGGGGAAAGCTCAGGCATTGACTGATCAAAATGCTTACTTCTAGCCTTTTTGACAGTTAGTAGCAGAATTCCAGAGCCAGCTCCTTGTCTATCAACTTGTAATAGTGCTGTGCATCCTTTAGACCAAAAAGGTAGCTCTGGCTTTAAGGAGCTGTGTTAGTATAGATCACTGAATGTTACAGTCTGGGTATCCGATTTGTGGTCTCCATCTAGATATTTGAGACTGCTGCTGTTAAACCTTTCTTGTGTCAAACCACCGCGGACTGCTTCTGTTTCTGTTTTGTTTTGTTTTGTTTTAAGATTATGATCATCCCCAGCCTGGCAGGCATCAAAGTACAAGAGAATAGGCCCTTTATAGGAGGGAGGGGCTTCTTCATGTTGACCTATAAACTCTCCTTCTTTTTCTCCCTCTGATTTAATATGTACCTCAAACCAGAATTCACAGGGTAAGCACTTAGGGTCATAACATACATATAGCTGATTATTTCCTGGGTCACAGGCTGAATAAGGGGTGATTGGTTTTCTTACATACAACTGAGTTTCTGCTTACACATTCTTTAATTTCTTTTAATTCCTGTTCCAATCTCACTGATATTCCCATGTTGATCTTTTATCTTTCATCTGTCATTTTTTATTTGTTCATACTTAAAACTGCAGGTTTAAAGTTTTTGTCTAAAAAGTTTAGGACAGTTTCAGTTTGTGTTTTTACTTCACATTAGCCATAAATTTGTGGGATTTTTTGTGCTTTTATTTTTTAGAATGCTATATTTAAAATATTATAACATGTTAACTCTGATAGTCAGGTATTCTTTATTTATTCAAGATGTGCCCTTTGTTGTTTAAGGCTTAGCTGGAATTCCAACAGCGTTTTGACAGAGTGTAATATAAAAATATCAATTTTTAAAATTGGGTCTGTATTAACACTCCCCTTTATCATGTAGGGAGATAGCTTAAAATTCTGCGTTAGCCTTCACTTTCTTCTCACATTAAAATTATAGCTAATTTTCTGAATTAATGCTTAGAGTTTTGCGCATTTTTGAAAATATCTTCTGTTATGTTTATGTAACTAAGTTTTTAAATACCTCAGGTTATTTTAATACTTTTGAAAGTCAAGATTTTTTTTGAAATAAAGATCTATTCATCTTTTACTTTATTTTACACGTTGTCTATTTTATACATCAACGGTATCCTTTGCTCCCAGGACTTAAATGTTAGTTACCTGTGCTTAACATTTTTAACTATAAATCAGTTCTGCATCAGACAAAACAGAGATAAGTGTGCCTCATCAATAATTTATGTAACCCCTAAAGGGTAGAACAAACTCAATAAATTAGCACAGACATTATTCTTCACACCTTCCTAGATCAGAAATCCCAGCCTCACTTTGCGAATGTGGAATTTAACTTTTGAAACGTCATCTGTGCCTGGATGGTTGAATGCAAAGACCGCAAAAAATTTCCCAGCGGTTTCAACTTGTCTTTCTTGATTAACTCTTTGATTGGTTGATATAAATAATTATTGGTTTCCAAGGTCTAGACAATTTTTTTAATTACTTGTTATTTATGAAGCGATAATTGTATTTTCACATGAGTTTATTTATATTTAGAAGATTTATAATTTTACCTGTTACTAACGTTGAGTAAAATAAGTCAATCTACTAATTTGGATTCCTGAATATTAGGTGGTAATAGTATAAAGCCGGCTTTGTTTTGCTTTTGCTTTGTTCTTAAGTGAGGTTATCAATTCCATATAAAATACATTAGGCAGGATTCTATATTACCAAGTACGTTTTGGTTGTATATAAAAAACTTATAAAATAATTTGCTTACATGGAGACTGTCAATACCTAAATGAAAGAACAAGAGAATAAGCCTGTAATTATGCAGTAGGATCAAAAAGTGTAAAGACTCCTGGCATAAGCCTGCTTATCGTGTTAGGAAAAATGGCAAGATCACCGTGGCTGAAGCATAGTGTGGAAGGGGAACAATTATTGATGAGCTCATGGAGCTGACACACATTCCTTGTGATTTTCTAGGGTTTTCTATAGATCAATAGATTTTACTCTAAGCCTGATTCATGACTGGGAGTGGAATTCTTAAGGTTGCTTTTAGCATCTAGTGGTTAGATGCTAGAAATGAAGATAAATATTCTAAAATCTAAGTATTTTAATATCTAGAGTCTCAGGTGCCTATAAAAAATTGATAGCGTTGGACTATATCTTCTGAAAATTGTAAAGAAAGGCGTACATGTAGAACTTTCTGATATTATATTTTCAAGGTTTCTTAACCCAATCTGTGTTTTTTATAAATCAGAGATGTTAAGAAGCTTTTGAAAAATTTGGTTGTTCAAGTTGAGATAAATGGGGTGAAGTCAATTATGTTGATTTATGATTAGAAGCTAAACCATAGAGTTTATATTTCTCCCCTTTTCTTTCTCATTACATTTTAATAATTTCTGTGCAACGCTAATATAGCAAATGAAACTGTAGACAGTCTAAGTTTCTGGGGTCCCAAGAAAGAAAATTCAGTCACTGATGATTGGTGAAGAGCTAAATTTCACTACAGCTGGAAGGCATACACAATACACATCAACATATGTATATTGGCACACCACATTATGCATACACATTATGCATAACGTTTTTATAAGACAGATACTGAATGTGTCTTTTTGTGTGTGTGTGTGTGTGTGAACATTTTTCTTTTTTTATTATTATACTTTAAGTTTTAGGGTACATGTGCACATTGTGCAGGTTAGTTACATACGTATACATGTGCCATGCTGGTGCGCTGCACCCACTAACTCGTCATCTAGCGTTAGGTATATCTCCCAATGCTATCCCTCCCCACTCGCCCCACCCCTCAACAGCCCCCAGAGTGTGATATTCCCCTTCGTGTGTCCATGTGATCTCATTGTTCAATTCCCACCTATGAGTGAGAATATGCAGTGTTTGGTTTTTTGTTCTTGTGATAGTTTACTGAGAATGATGATTTCCAATTTCATCCATGTCCCTACAAAGGACATGAACTCATCATTTTTTATGGCTGCATAGTATTCCATGGTGTATATGTGCCATATGCAGCCAAAAAACACATGAAAAAATGCTCATCATCACTGGCCATCAGAGAAATGCAAATCTAAACCACAATGAGATACCATCTCACACCAGTTAGAATGACAATCATTAAAAAGTCAGGAAACAACAGGTGCTGGAAAGGATGTGGAGAAATAGGAACACTTTTACACTGTTGGTGGGACTGTAAACTAGTTCAACCATTGTGGAAGTCAGTGTGGCGATTCCTCAGGGATCTAGAACTGGAAATACCATTTGACCCAGCCATCCCATTACTGGGTATATACCCAAAGGACTATAAATCATGCTGCTATAAAGACACATGTACACGTATGTTTATTGCGGCATTATTCACAATAGCAAAGACTTGGAACCAACCCAAATGTCCAACAATGATAGACTGGATTAAGAAAATGAATGTGTCTTATGATACAAAAGTTGCTAGAATCTTGTAATAAAGAAGCCAAGCAAATACCAGGTTTTCAAGAATTATAGTTGGGGCTAGATAATTCTTCTTTTGCAGAAGCTGTTAAACAGAAATAACCGTCAAGTACTCTCTACTGTTTAAGAAAGATATTTGATAGATGATTTTAAAGTAGACATCCAGGATTCAATATATTTATGCTCTTTCTTGTTTTAAAAGAATCCAAACAAATAAGCACCTGACGTACAGGTTCTCTTCTTAATGCTAGAGAGTAATCCACAAAGCAAAACCCCTACAGAGACAGACTTTGCTTTCTCCCTGAGATTAAAAGATTGCTGCTCAATACAAAAAAAAAAAAAAGTTATTTAATATATGAAGGAAAAGCTATGCTAGTTAGGCACATTCTTGGGACCAGGCAGACAATGTGAAATCTAGACATTAGCAGACTTTAAGTGGTGTATGTGGGCTGGCATTATTGATAGAATTCAAGTTATTCCGGGCTAAATTGTATGTAGAGAAATATATTTGTTGGAGTTTTTACTTGGCTCAGTAATTTTTCAATGAGTCAGAGATCCAGATATTGGTACATTTTAACTGGTGTAAGTGCATTGGCATTATTTATGGAAATCAAGTTATTCAAATGAAACTTGTAGCTAGGGAGGTGTATTTCTTAATGTGTGTCATTTTCCTCTTCCTGTGTCCCTGTGTTCTCATCGTTCAGTTCCCACCTATGAGTGAGAATATGTGGTGTTTGGGTATTTCTCCTTGTGATAGTTTGCTGAGAATGATGGTTTCCAGCTTCATGCATGTCCCCACAAAGGACATGAATTCAACATTTTTTTATGGCTGCATAGTATTCCATGTTGTATATGTGCTACATTTTCTTGATCTAGTCTATCACTGTTGGACACTTGGGTTGGTTCCAAGTCTTTGCTATTGTGAACAGTGCCACAATAAACATACGTGTGCATGTGTCTTTATAGCAGCATGTTTTGTAATCTTTTGTGTATATACCCAGTAATAGGGATGGCTGGGTCAAATGGTATTTCTAGTTCTAGATCCCTGAGGACTTGCCACACTGACATTCACAATGGTTGAACTAGTTCACAGTCCCACCAACAGTGTAAAAGTGTTCCTATTTCTCCACATCCTCTCCAGCATCTGTTGTTTCCTGATTTTTAATGATTGCCATTCTAACTAGTGTGAGATGGTATCTCATTGAGGTTTTGATTTACATTTCTCTGATGGCTAGTGATGATGAGCATTTTTTCATGTGTCTTTTGGCTGCATAAATGTCTTCTTTTAAGAAGTGTCTCTTCATATCCTTAGTCCACTTTTTGATGGGTTTTTTTTTTTTTTTTCCTTGTAAATTTGTTGGAGTTCATTGTGGCTTCTGGATATTAGCCCTTTGTCAGATAAGTAGATTGCAAAAATTTTCTCCCATTCTGTAGGTTGCCTGCTCACTCTGATGGTAGTTTCTTTTGCTGTGCAGAAGCTCTTTAGTTTCTTTAGATCCCATTTGTCCATTTTGGCTTTGGTTTTGTTTTGTGTGAATTTGATCCTTTCATTATGATATTAGCTGATTATTTTTCTTGTTAGTTGATGCAGTTTCTTTCTAGCCTCAATGGTCTTTACAATTTGGTATGTTTTTGCAGTGGCTGGTACTGGTTGTTCCTTTCCATGTTTAGTGCTTCCTTCAAGAGCTGTTTTGGGGCAGGCCTGGTGGTGACAAAATCTCTCAGCATTTGCTTCTTTGTAAAGGATTTTATTTCTCCTTCACTTATGAAGCTTCGTTTGGCTGGATATGAAATTCTGGGTTGAAAATTCATTTCTTTAAGAATGTTGAATATTGGCCCCCACTCTCTTCTGGCTTGTAGAGTTTATGCTGAGAGATCAGCTGTTAGTGTGTTGGGCTTCCCTTTGTGGGTAACCCAACCTTTCTCTCTGACTGTCCTTAACATTTTTTCCTTGTTTTCAACTTTGGTGAATCTGCCAATTATGTGTCTTGGAGTTGCTCTTCTTGAGGAGTATCTTTGTGGTGTTCTCTGTATTTCCTGAATTTGAATATTGGCCTGCCTTGCTAGATTGGGGAAGTTCTCCTGGATAATATCCTGCAGAGTGTTTTCCAACTTGGTTCCATTCTCCCCGTCACTTTCAGGTACACAAATCAGATGTAGATTTGGTCTTTTCACATATTCCCATATTTCTTGGAGGCTTTCTTTGTTTCTTTTTATTCCTTTTTCTCTAAACTTCTCTTCTCCACTTCATTCATTTCATCTTCCATCACTGAGACCCTTTCTTCCAGTTGATCCAGTAGCAGATTCAGTGCAGATCCAGTAGTAGCTGTATCTCATACAGCAGTGGTCATCCAGCAAATTCCAACTGATCTGCTACTGAGGCTTGTGCATTCATCACATAGTTCTCTTGCCTTGGTTTTCAGTTCCATCAGGTCCTTGAAGGACTTCTCTGCATTGGTTATTCTAGTTAGCCATTCGTCTAATTTTTTTGTTAAGGATTTTAACTTCTTTGCCATGGGTTTGAACTTTCTCATTTAGCTTGGAGTAGTTTGATTGTCTGAAGACTTCTTGTCTCAATTGGCCAAAGTCATTCTCCATTCAGCTTTGTTCCATTGCTGGTGAGGAGCTGCATTCCTTTGGAGGAGGAGAGGTGCTCTGATTTTTAGAGTTTCCAGTTTTTCTGCTCTGTTTTTTCCCCCATCTTTGTGGTTTTGTCTACCTTTGGTCTTTGATGATGGTGACATACAGATGGGGTTTTGGTGTGGATGTCCTTTCTGTTTGTTAGTTTCCCTTCTAACAGTCAGGACCCTCAGCTGCAGGTCAGTTGGAATTTGCTGGATGACCACTCCAGACCCTGTTGGCCTGAATATCAGCAGCAGAGGCTGCAGAACAGCGGATATTGGTGAAGAGCAAATATTGCTGCCTGATCGTTCCTCTGGAAGTTTTGTTTCAGAGGAGTACCCTGCTGTATGAGGTGTCAGTCAGCCCCCAGTGGGGGATGTCGCCCAGTTAGGCTACTTGGGGGTCAGGGACCCACTTGAAGATGCAGTCTTTCCATTCTCAGATCTCCAGCTGCATGCTGGGAGAACCACTACTCTCTTCAAGCTGTCAGATAGGGACATTTAAGTCAGCAGAGATTTCTGCTGCCTTTTGTTTGGTTATGCCTTGCCCACAGAGATGGAGTCTACACAGGCAAGCAGGCCTCCTTGAGTTGCGGTGGGCTCCACCCAGTTCGAGGTTCCCAGCCTCTTTATTTACCTACTCAAGCCTCAGCAATCATGGGTGTCCCTTCCCCAGCCTCGCTGCCCCCTTGGAGTTTAATCTCAGACTGCTGTGCTAGCAATGAGTGAGGCTCCTTGGGCATAAGACCCTCTGAGCCAGGCACAGGATATAATCTTCTGGTATGCCATTTGCTAAGACCATTGGAAAAGTGCAGTATTAGGGTGGGAGTGACCTGATTTTCCAGGTGCCATCTGTCACCCCTTTCTTTGACTAGGGAGGGAATTCCCTGACCCTTTGCACTTCCCAGGTGAGGTGATGCCACACCCTGCTTTGGGTCATGCTCACTATGCTGCATCCACTGTCCTGCACCCACCTTCCAACACTCCACAGTGAGATGAACCCGGTACCTCAGTTGGAAATGCAGAAATCAGCCATCTTCTGCATCGCTCTTGCTGGGAGCTGTAGACTGGAACTGTTCCTATTTGGCCATCTTGGCTCCACCTAATTTTTATATTTTTAGTAGAGACGGGTTTTCACCATGTTGGCCAGGATGGTCTCAAGCTCCTGACCAAGTAATCTGCAAGCCTCAGCCTTCTAAAGTGCTAGGATTACAGGCATGATCCACCACACATGGCCAGGTTATTTTTTTTTTTGTACTTGTGATAAGCGAAAAGGAAGGATAAGACACACACATATGCTAAGTAGGGCACTCTGTTCACTCAATTTTTTGCTAATGCCTCCTCATCTGGCTCATGCTGATTATATGCAGAAATTGTTTTGGAAATGTTTTATCATTATTGAAAAAGTAAACTCCTAGGAGTAGCATTCAGAGTCCAACATTATTCTTCCTTAACAACTGTAGTACCCACTTCACAGTATAACATAGTTACAGTGAGTAACTGAGTAAGCAGGTATTAATTGCTGAGAACAGTGCCTCATGATGGTGGTGAGGTGGAGTAATCTTTACAAAAAAAAGAGAAAAGAAATTTTTCAGAGCATTTTCTTGAGTAACAGAAGGATTTTTGCCACCTGATGCTCTTGGGTTTTCCATTATTAGAACTTCATATTCATGAATTTTATTTTTCCAATCTAGCCTTTACCACAGACAGAGGGAACTTCAAGACAAAAGTGAATTTTCAGTTGTCAACAAGCTAAATTTTAAGGACAATGACTAATTTGACTCACCTTTTAAAGGTAAGTTTCAACATAAGTATCAGTTTTTATAAGTTGAAGTTGTAGAAAAATTAGTTTTGGTGAAACATATCTATTGGTATTAAAAAAAAGCAGCTACAAATTGGAACATTTTTATTCTGTGATAAAACTACAAGTACAGCTGCATCACCTCATTTTCCTATCATGAAACTTTTTATGGTTGTGTCTGTTTACTTTTAAAAATCTCAGCATGACAAATTTCAGAGTTTGAGCTAAGCTCATAAATACATCATTAACTTATCAGATTTAAAATGAGTGATTTTAGAGAATGTATTTCTTCTGAGGTGGGCAGATCATGAGTCAGGAGATTGAGATTATCCTGGCTAACACAGTGAAACCCCATCTCTACTAAAAATACAAAATATTAGCCGGGCATGGTGGCAGGCACCTGTAGTCCCAGCTTCTCTGGAGGCTGAGTCAGGAGAATGGCATGAACCTGTGAGGTGGAGCTTGCAGTGAGCCAGGATCACACCACTGCACTCCAGCCTGGGCTACAGGGTAAGATTCCATCTCAAAAAAAAAAAAAAAAAAAAAAAGGAAATAAAGGGTATTCAATTAGGAAAAGAGGATGTCAAATTGTCCCTGTCTGTAGACTACATGATTGTATATCTAGAAAACCCCACTGTCTCAGCCCAAAATCTCCTTAAGCTGATAAGCAACTTCAGCAAAGTCTCAGGATACAAAATCAATGTACAAAAGTCACAAGCATTCTTATACACCAACAACAGACAAACAGAGAGCCAAATCATGAGTGAACTCCCATTCACAATTGCTTCAAAGAGAAGAAAATACCTAGGAATCCAACTTACAAGGGATGTGAAGGACCTCTTCAAGGAGAACTACAAACCACTGCTCAATGAAATAAAAGAGGATACAAACAAAAGGAAGAACATTTCATGCTCATGGGTAGGAAGAATCAATATCCTGAAAATGGCCATACTGCCCAAGGTAATTTAGAGATTCAATGCCATCCCTATCAAGCTACCAATGCTTTTCTTCACAGAATTGGAAAAAACTACTTTAAAGTTCATATGGAACCAAAAAAGAGCCTGCATCGCCAAGTCAATCCTAAGCCAAAAGAACAAAGCTGGAGGCATCACACTACCTGACTTCAAACTATACTACAAGGCTACAGTAACCAAAAGAGCATGGTACTGTTACCAAAACAGAGATATAGATCAATGGAACAGAAAACAGCCCTCAGAAATAGCACTGCATATCTACAACTATCTGATCTTTGACAAACCTGAGAAAAACAAGCAATGGGGAAAGGATTCCCTATTTAATAAATGGTGCTGGGAAAACTGGCTAGCCATATGTAGAAAGCTGAAACTGGATCCCTTCCTTACACCTTATACAAAAATCAATTCAAGATGGATTAAAGACTTAAACCTTAGACCTAAATCCATAGAAACCCTAGAAGAAAACCTAGGCATTACCAATCAGGACATAGGCATGGGCAAGGACTTCATGTCTAAAACACCAAAAGCAACGGCAACAAAAGCCAAAATTGACAAATGGGATCTAATTAAACTAAAGAGATTCTGCACAGCAAAAGAAACGACCATCAGAGTGAACAGGCAACCTACAAAATGGGAGAAAATGTTCGCAACCTACTCATCTGACAAAGGGCTAATATCCAAAATCTACAATGAACTCAAACAAATTTACAAGAAAAAAGCAAACAACCCCATCAAAAAGTGGGCGAAGGACATGAACAGACACTTCTCAAAAGAAGACATTTATGCAGCCAAAAAACACATGAAAAAATGCTCATCATCACTGGCCATCAGAGAAATGCAAATCAAAACCACAATGAGATACCATCTCACACTCCTTAAGCTGATCACCAAGTTCAGCAAAGTCTCAGGATACAAAATCAATGTGGAAAAATCACAAGCATTATTAGACACCAATAACAAACAGAGAGCCAAATCATGAGTGAACTCCCATTCACAATTGCTTCAAAGAGAAGAAAATACCTGGGAATCCAACTTACAAGGGATGTGAAGGACCTCTTCAAGGAGAACTACAAACCACTGTTCAATGAAATAAAAGAGGATACAAACAAATGGAAGAACATTCCATGCTCATGGGTAGGAAGAATCAATACCGTGAAAATGGCCATACTGCCCAAGGTAATTTATAGATTCAGTGCCATCCCCATCGAGCTACCAAGGACTTTCTTCACAGAATTGGAAAAAAAAACTTTAAAGTTCATATGGAACCAAAAAAGAGCCCGCATTGCCAAGTCAATCCTAAGCCAAAAGAACAAAGCTGGAGGCATCACGCTACCTGACTTCAAACTATACCACAAGGCCACAGTAACCAAAACAGCATGGTACTGGTACCAAAACAGAGATATAGATGAATGGAACAGAACAGAGCCCTGAGAAATGATACCACACATCTACAACCATCTGATTTTTTACAAATCTGACAAAAACAAGAAGTGGGGAAAAGATTCCCTATTTAATAAATGGTGCTGGGAAAACTGGCTAGCCATATGTAGAAAGCTGAAACTGGATTCCTTCCTTACCCCTTATACAAAAATTAATTTAAGATGGATTAAAGACTTAAATGTTAGACCTAAAATCATAAAAACCCTGGAAGAAAACCTAGGCAATACCATTCAGGACATAGGCATGAGCAAGGACTTCATGCCTAAAACACCAAAAGCAATGGCAACAAAAGCCAAAATTGACAAATGGTGTCTAATTAAACTAAAGAGCTTCTTCACAGCAAAAGAAACTACCATCAGAGTGAACAGGCAACCTACAGAATGGGAGAAAATGTTTGAAATCTATTCATCTGACAAAGGGCTAATATCCAGAATTTACAAAGAACCCAAACAAATTTACAAGAAAAAAAACAAGCAACCCCATCCAAAAGTGGGTGAAGGATATGAACAGAAACTTCTCAAAAGAAGACATTTATGCAACAATCAGATATATGAAAAAAATGCTCATCGTCACTGGCCATCAGAGAAATGCAAAGCAAAACCACAATGAGATACCATCTCACACCAGTTAGAATGGTGATCATTAAAAAGTCAGGAAACAACTGGTGCTAGAGAGGATGTGGAGAAATAGGAACAATTTTACACTGTTGGTGGGACAGTAAATTAGTTCAACCATTGTGGAAGACTGTGTGGCAATTCCTCAAGGATCTAGAACTAGAAATATCATTTGACCCAGCCATCCCTATTACTGGGTATATACGCAAAGGATTATAAATCATGCTGCTATGAAGACATATGCACACGTATGTTTATTGCGGCACTATTCACAATAGCAAAGACTTAGAACCAACCCAGATGTCCATCAATGATAGACTGGATTAAGGAAATGTGGCATATATACACCACGGAATACTATGCAACCATAGAAAAAGATGAGTTCATGTCTTTGTGGGGATATGGATGAAACTGGAAACCATCATTCTCAGCAAACTATCACAAGGACAAAAAACCAAACACCACATGTTCTCACTCGTAGGTGTGACTTGAACAACGAGAACAGTTTGACACAGGAAGGGGACTATCACACAGCAGGTCCTGTCTTGGGGTGTGGGGAGCGGGGAGGGATAGCATTAGTAGACATACCTAATGTAAATGATGAGTTAATGGGTGCAACACACCAACATGGCACATGTATACATATGTAACAAACCTGCACATTATGCACATGTACTGTAGAATTTAAGTATAATATTTAAAAAAAGTAAAAAAAAATAAGGAATTGGGGAAATAGATTTCGTATTTCAATTTTTGGAAAAGCTGTAACACTGGTTTAACTTAGCACTATACAAAAACTGGCCATCAGACTTCTCTTGTCTGTCCCACTTTCTTATTCCAGCCTTCTTTAAGATTACCAACTTTCCTTGCTGGAGATGGAGGGAGATGGGAAGAGAGATGTTGGAGCTTTGCACTTTTGTTCCAGGGCTGAGCAAACATCCAGGATCCTTTCTTTTGGGATCAAAGTGTTTAATCCTCAAATATGAAAGATAATTTCTCAAGTTAAGCCACCTCTTTGTTCCCCACAAATATTGAAAATACATCTTCTTCAAAACATTACCAAAACGTCTGGTTAGCAGTTTTTTGGGTGTATTCATGGCACTGAGGAACACATAGAATTACTTAAATAGGCAAGGGATTTTGAGAAATTGTGTTTTGCTGATTCCCGAGTAAATCTGCTTTGGAAAGCACTCAGTGAGACTTGATCTAGAGCCTCTGTCTGCTGGGCACTTTCCTTGGGGCTGAACATACAACAGTGAACCAAACCAAGCCTTTGTCTTCCTGATTTCTAGACATTGAGGCAGATGGTCAGCAAGCCATTACCCAGGACTGCAGAAGAAACCGGTTGCAGCTGATGCATAGGTGACATGGCCACAAGAGGGAGTTTCTGACAGGCAGCCATTTTTCACAGGCCTAAGCAAGGGAATAAAAATAACATGATAGAATAAACGAAATCAACTGAGTAACAAGGTGTTCTACCTCTCAGAGAGAATGTACATTATAATATTTGCCTTAAAATTTTTAAGCAGCATAGCGAGTAACATAGTTGTTATTGAGAAATTTTTATATTCATCATTTCACCTCTGCATGGGCACAGATGATATGGAAAAGGCTGAAATTTGTTGTCTCTGCTATGAGGTACCCAATAAACATACTTTATTTCTTTGCCTTTGTGTCCAAAGACATTTCTGTATTCCACCATACAGGTGCAAAATACACACCAGAGTAGAAAAGTAGTTTGTTCTTCCTATTTATTTCTCAATATAAATGTGCTTAAACAACATTGCTATTTTGAGAATACTATTCCACATAAGAAAGCAATCTCACTTTAGAGTAACTTTTGTTTCTTCTTTAAACAAGGAGGAAGTTGCATTTCTGTCTGCAGAAATTGTCCCTTTTTGTATTTTAATTTCATCAGAAGTATTGAGACGAGATGGGTGGTAATGAGAGAAAAAATTGTGTTGCTTCTCTCTTATTCGTGAAACTAACTAACTCCCTGCTGATGACTTTAAAATAAGGAAGAGCAAAAGGGTGCAGAATCCTCCTGTAAGCCTATGAATTTTTCTTGTTATTAGCATTGCTAGCTTTATAAAAAAATAAGTTACGTGTCAGAACTTGAAGAGAAAGGTCAGTAAAATTGTTTCTGAGCATGAGATGTAATTAAACATGTGAGATGCAGAGATCTGTGCCAAGATGCAAAGGGAAGAGACAATTTATTAAAACATGGGCATTCCCTGGATAAAATAGAAGTGGACGAAACAAGTATCTGTAGGTTTTCAAGAAGCAGGTGCAAGATATCGTGCAAGTAAGGTGCTGGACTGGTTTGGTTACTTGTCCCTTCAGAAATAAGGAGGAGATGACATTTCAGTTAGGTTTTATCATTTCAGTTAGGTCATATCAGGCTTTATGACAGCATGGGATTAATACAGGCTGAGGATACAGTAAAGGCAAATGACAAGCAAGGAAGACACAGCCATGGCCAGGCCCCAGTGAGTGGGTTGAGAGAGATGAAATATTTCTAGTACAAAGCTGGTGGTGTTACAGGAAATCGATATGGAAAGATAAAGGCAGATTATTGGAGCCCATACTACCATGGTGTTGAATTCTACCAGAGCAGAGACACTGCACAGCAGATACACAGGAAATGCCTCAGGAAATGCCTGGTAGAAATGATCACAAGTTACTAGAAGGTACAGACTGACTTCAAGGAGAGTCCTGACTGGGCTGTTTAAGTATTTCAGGGAGATGGTGTGGAAGACCCCTGTTGCAGCTGAAATACAGGGAATATGAATGTGCCAGCGCTGGTTGCTGGGCAGATGGAGGATGGAAAGAGCATGACAAAAAAAAAAAAAAACAAAAAACAAAAAAACAAAACAAAACAAAAAACTAGAATGATCACACCCATGATGAAGCTGGTATTGTGGGGATTTCACATGTGTATAGTAGAAAACTATCAGAACTGTGGATGCAAGGGTAGGTGAAGAGAGCAGGAATAGAGGAAAAGATATGGAAAGGATCCTTATCTGAATAATAGTGAAAACCCCAGGAAGGGCTGCTGTCCATTTGGAGGAAGTGGGAAATGAACAGTGAGATGGCTAGAATGGCTGGGGGAGTGCAGGGGTTTGATGTCTGTTCTGTTTTTCAGAGTAGAACAGAGTTGAGCATCTTTATGGGAGTAAGAATTATAAAACTGATCTGTATAGAAATAGGGATCAGTGGCTCAGTCAGGGTCATACAGATAGGAGAGGTATTATAATGAAAGGCAGAGGTTGAAATGTAGGCTTTGCTTTCAAGAAGAGAAAGGAGATCTGTGTAAAGGACAAGAACCTGTGACATGGAGGGAGGATATGTCAGTTGGAGTCGGCCATGATGAGGGTGACTTGTATTCATCTCAGCCAAGTGAAGTGGAATGCAGTGGCAAGGAGTGGGATTGGGGGCCTGAAGTCAATGAACAGGGAAGAGCAACTTGAAGCAGGTCACATGTCAACCAAAAGCCCAGCAGAGTCTCTCCGGATCTTGGCAAGGACTCCTGCAGAATGGTCCTGCATTCATTTGAACAATGTGATACAGGCAGCAATTCTTTATTTTCTGTTCTATTAGATCTAGATCAGAAAGAAATTGAAGAACAAAAGGAAGAAGAAAAAAATGTGGAAACAGCAAGTGAAAGAATGAAGGCAGAGAGAAGAAAAAAAGGCAGAGTAACCTACATTTTAGAAAGGGAACAGAGGGAACTAGAAAAACTGGATCAAGAAAGGGTAATAATTATGACTTAATTCTCTGTACAAGTTGCTGCATTGTTCACCTTTAGTAACTACATTGAGGTGAGTGAAGGGAGTCAATTAGTGTCCAAATTCAGAGGAGTGGCAGGTGCCCGAAAAGGAATCCCTGTCCTCTTCTTGTCTTACAAGCAGTGAGAAATGCTGTGTAGAATATGCAGCTTAGGAGTTTGGTAGTAAATGGTTGTTTTTGAAGGTAATTTTTGTGCATTCTCATCTGATCCTTAAATAAGGCTGTAAAAAAGTAGACTGTGCTTTGCTTCAGAATGTTGCTTTGAAATCAGAGTTTAAGGAAGAGGCTGTCAGTGTCAGCTAGCTGGTACTAGAAGAACCCAAAGGTGGAGATGGCTGCCAGTCCAAGTTTGCTTCCAGGGGCGTATGCTGCACCCCTTTTTCCTCAGGTTCTCTTCTTCACATCTGTATTCTGATTCTTGTCCTATCAGATGGATTACTCTGTCCACTTAACAACCTTGTTAAGTCTTGCTTGAATTACTGTAACATAAGAATGTTCCCTGGATTCCTGGTTAATTCAAATCTAAAGCGCAGGACACTTGAGGGAAATTAATGGCTTCCTTCATTGAGATGATCTATTTGTTTTCCATTGATGATAGGAATGACTTCCATTATGAAAAATTAGTTCACTGGCACACACACTGTGGGCGGGGACACACAGGGCTTCTGTGGTTTATTTTTACTTCTCGAAACAAGAATGCACATCCAAGTAATCTTTCTTCTCCGTTGAAGACAAAAAGGTGAAAAGCATAAAAAATCGAAAGTTCAGATGGAACCTCGAGTCTTTTAAAGGTATTACTCTTCCGATAAACATTTAAGATAAAATATTTCATTCTTAAGATAAAATATTTAAGAGATTTTAGTTTGTCAAAATTTGTAAGGTAGGGTGGTTCACTGTTTTAGGACCAAGAGAAAAAAAACTATTATCATATAACAAGGACATTAGTACTGACATTAATATTTTATATGTCAGAAGCATCATGGTGTTAAATGCATACCTTATGGTTTATTTTGATGTGCTTGCTAAATTTTGTGTTTATAAATCACTGCTTTTTTAGGCTTTCAAATTACATGTATGTTTCAAAAATGGTTCTTAGCCAAGTATTTCATAAAATTAATGCATACCTAATTTCAAAATTCTTCCCTTTCCCCCAGGTAATCAGAGCTCAAGAAAGGTGATTCAGGAAGGCTCCCTATAGACATGCTTCAATCTAGTGACAAAGTTGAAATGGACTTGGTTTCCCCACACTGTGTTTTATGTGTGAACGGTTAATTGCTTATTTTTTCAGCCAAAAGAAATGGTTAGAAATTTGAGGTTGCCTGTAAGAAGTTATTGAATCAGTCAGAATTACTGACTATAAAAAGAAAGGATTGGATTTTCTAACTTGTGAAATTGATCCTAATATAATTGATAAGCAAGACCAGAAACTCCCCAGAAAATAAATTGAGAACATTACAAAGATACCAAATAAATCTGACACAAATTTTCAAAATTTTTACGTTTTAATTTTTGTCTCCCCTTTGGTAATTGAACAGGATTTTCTCATGAAGGACCAGATCACTCTTGAAAACCAGGTTTGCTCTCCAGCTTCTATTGCAAATATAATGAGAAGATACATAACATTTACCCCTTTGTAAATGTTTCTCTGTCATCAGACAAAACTCTCGATAGAAATCACTGTGTAATCCAGTGTATTTGTTTTTTCCTAATTGCATTTGATACTATAGTGTATGAACCAAGAATAATCGAGTCAAGTGAAACCCCTTTTCCAGTCATAAAATGTCTCATTCATTACACTAAAAGGAGCTGTTCTTTTTAAAAAACATTCTTATTTTGGTCTCAAATTTTTAAATGTGTTTAACCTATCTTATTTGTCAAATCTAGGCCTATATTTGGGAAGGGTGAGCTGTGTTCTTTCCTCTGAAGAGCTGGGCTGCCTTCTGTAAAACAAGAGGCCATTTTTCCCAGCACATTTCTGTTTTCTACCTGAACACTAAAATACAGATTTTTCTAGGCATTAGAAATAGTACAATATTGCCTCTGGTCTTTGCATTTGATGCCTGTGGCTTTAGTAATTGTGTCCCTCCAGAATTTATATGTTGGAATTTAAACACCCCAGAATGGTAGAAGTAAAAATTCAAGATTTTGGGAGGCAAATAAGAGAGCAATTAGCGACCTTATAAAAGAACTCAATGGAACTAACAAAGCTTTTTAGCCCTTCCACCATTAGAAGACACTGTATTTGTCCTCTCTAGAGAAGGCAGCAACAAGGTGCCGTCTTGGAAGCAGAGACCAGGCCTTCACCAGACATGGAGACCATCAATGCCTTGATCTTGGACTTCTCAGTCTCTAAAACTGTAAGAAATTTACTTCTGGTTTTATAAGTTACCCAGTCCAATGTATTGTGTTATTGCAGCAGGAAGGTACTGAGATAGCATCTTTATTGTGGAACCATTGGTCCTCATACTTAATGAATGGGCTTCAAGTGTTTCATTAATTTTAAAACACACGGCTCCTTCTTTACAATTGATTTCATTTTTATTTTCTAAAAATCAACGTTTACAATGCAGAACTGGAAAAAAAAATCTCTACTGAAACCTGTAGATTGTCCTAGGTTTTTTGGCAGAATCACTGTGGATAATTTAGAGGCTGCCTGTGATCACATCTATGTATTATTTAGTTTCCTGTCTATTCATGTGACTTAAATAATTGCACAAAATGCTACTTAAAAGTAGGAAGAAAGGAAGGTGACAAATAGCACACTAATTGAACTGTTGACTGTTTTTCTGTCATGTATGAATAAAGGATGATGATCCAGAGTCAGCACCTCAATGAAGAGTAGGCATGTGTCAATAGTGACAAAGGCTAGGCCTCACTAAAAAAGGTCAGATGCGGACAATCCAAATTCAGAATTATATTGACAAATAAGGAGTTGAAAAACATTATATAATAATACTCTGAGTAACATATTTAGCTCTGCAACTCTAGAGAGTAATTGTTAGAACTGGTTGCTCTATATTTCTGAGTAAATCTTTCAATTTTTATACCATCGATTTGAAAAATAAACAACTACACATGGGCACTGATTGCTTGTAATTTGCACAAGTTTAAGCCTTGTTAATCTCATAGGTAGGTGGCTTTTATTTGTTTCAAAACTAGTCAGGAAAGTACTTACTATATACAGAAAACTACAGAAGTGCTTTTGGCACTTTTATACCCAGTACAGCCCGGTAGATTATAATATTTTCTTAAATGGCTGAAGAAAATTTTCCAGAAATAAACCAAGTAGCACTCACAGACTTGACTACCACACCAGTGTGAAATCTTTACTACGCACATTATTCAAAAGTCACAGCATACTAGGGAAAAAGAAAGATAAGATTTGTATAAAGTAAAAAGGCAAGTGAATGAAGCTATACTTTTATTTCATTTCTCTTAATATATCCACAACTATTTTCACCAATATAGATCTTTAAAATAAGCATAGACAAGGATTAACTATTATCTACAAATACTTATTGTAACACTTGAGTAGAACAATAGGAAGCCCTTGACACTGATTGACAATGTGGATTAACTGTTAGATTACAAAAAATTATACATAGCAAAATTTAATTCTCTTTACATAAAAAATAAGGCTACATAAACAAAGCTTTCAAAAGTTTCTGACAATAGCTACCAGAATTAGAAAGTTAAAATTAGACTTGAGGCACTACATCTTCTGCAATACTGGACTCTGAAGGCACCACCATTGCTGGAAATAATAGTTAATTTTGTCATGCAACAGGAAAACAAAACACGTAACTATTTTGGAATATTTGTTCTATACAGAAGAGAACTTCTCTCAGTTAAAATTAAAAAATCCCAAACAGGCATTTTTATAGAGTAACCAAAAAAATAAAAATAAAAAAAAAGAAAAACCCACTGATACATGTGATACTTGATGTTCAAATTTAATAGCATCCATATAAAATTGTACTTCCTTTCTTAATTTTGAGTACATTTCTGCACATGTGGTGCTCTCAAATCCAGGAAACAGCCAAATCACAAGTTAAATTTTAAGGTGAATATACACAATGGATCCTGTATTAAGCAGCCCATTTGAAAAACACTGATGTACCTAACAGTTATGTAGAGTATTTCATAAAGAACTGCACAGAATTTACCATCACTAACACACTGTAACTATAGTCACTGAATATCTGGAATACAATAAGGCAGAAGGCAAATTTCTTTTGAAAATGTCTTAAACTCAGGAAGTTTTCTTATGCAACACCAAACTTTGTTATTCCAAGGAATTAAGATTTAGATAAGAAGAAAATGAAATACCAACCCTAATTTAAATTACTTACATCTTCAAGTCTATAGAAGTCAAAGGTTACAGATCTTTGGCCAATTTGAAATTAGGTTTTAGATAGTGGATGTGAAACTGTTTACCCAGAGCACTGAAAAATAGTTTAAACTGGTGGTTGTTTTGGTGAGGTAAAAATTCTTAATTTAAAAAAATACATAGAACGAAATTCTGTGAAAGATATTTAGGTCATTGGTTTTGATATAAATTCTGAAAAATGTATACCAAATACTCTTTAAGGCAGAGATGACATTTATTTCTCAAGGATAATAAAAACTAGATCAGTATTTTGTTGAAATAAAACCTATTATAAAAGTGCTTCTGGAATTCTTGTCAATGAGTCTGAATCTAGATTTTTTAGAGTATCTAGTAGAGTCAGCAGAATTGTACCTACTTTTAGGATTATTGAAAAATATTTTCTTCTTGGCTGAGGAAATTAATGGGACACGGACTTCGGAGAGAAAGCTAATTTAAAAAGTCATGAGATGAATCACGTTACTTATGCGCCAAAGTTTAATAAGTGCCAGCTGTCAGAATTGAAACTTCACACCAATTTCACTTTATTTCCTATGTAGGTAACACTTATTTGAGAATAGATAGCATATATATGAATTTATCATCTCATCTTTTGATGCTGGCATGTCACAGGTCCTTATCAAAGAGTATCACATATTCCATTGAGTGTCTTGAGAGAAATGTTCTAGCAGCAAATGTGAATGTGCCACAAATTTCCAGAGTGAAAGGTCATTTTGTCAAAGTGTTACCTTTTAAAATTGCTAACATATAACCTGCAATATTTGCTCTAAAGAAAAAGATGTACTCACTGGAAGGTATTCCGGGAGCTACATCTCAGCAGCTTGAGACAGAAAGGTGTTTGAACGTCTACTTTAGTTTGGTGGGATATACATCTGTAATGCAGAGCAGTTGTCTGATAATTTGTCAGAGCTGTCAATGTGTTGGCTGAAACACTCTGGCAAACATTTATGTGTAAGAAGTGAGTTACTCCTTTTAGAGAAACTGGATATCTTGCAGTTCGTGTTCTTTCTTTGCTTTGATACCCTGGTAAGCCTGCATTTTGCTGGCATCCATGTAAGCCAGTTAGAAGACAGTATCATGAGAAAGTGGATCTGGAAAAGAAGGTTGAGCATGATGACTAGTAAGCATGTCAGAAGGTAAAGCAAGGTGCTACTTAGATTAGATAGACTTGATGTTAAAGGGGATGAGGGTTATTCTGTATTAATTCTTTCTCTACTAGCAGAGCTGTCAAATCCTGAAAATGTGCTCTACTACTAGGCTTCACTTTAAAAAACTGAAGAAAAGTAAGTACATAAACATTGCAAAGTATATCTATTAACTATTAAATTTCTGTATACTCATCAGTCTAAGTGAGTAATATATTAAACACCTCTCACTACAATTGGGATTTGTCTACATAAATAGATATTCATAAAATTTGCCTCAGGTGTAGGTTGAGACAATGCTGCTGAGACATTTAAATTTGTGACTGTTATATTATCTTTAAAATATATTTTCATATTTTGATATTTCTTATTTTGTCTGTTACCTTATAAATTATATTTTATTATCCCTCTTTATTGTTTGTATTTTCCTTAAAACTCTCCTTTGCCTTGTATAATATCAGTGACCTTACTTTTTTGATAAATACCTGTTGATTTTCTCTAAACCTTTATTTTCAATATTTCAGGGTGATTATTTCTAGGTAAAAGCAATTTTTTCTCAATCTAATATTAGAGTACTTTATATTTTAACACAGAAATATAAACCGTTTACATCTAATATGGTTACTCTCATAGCTCTCTAACTAATATCTGATTAGAGAGTTGTTCTACCCTAGATTTTCTTTGTCTCTGCTTTGGCATATCTGCCTTAGTTCTTCTCTCCCCTTCCCCACCTGCCACCTATTTTCCTAATTGTGTTGATTTAATTTTCTTACTCATATTTATTTCTTTTCCTGCTTTTGACATTTGTCACGATATTTCTAAACTTTCTTAGCTTATCAGTAGAACCCAGTTAGTTAACTTTTTTCTAACAAAGTAACACATTTATTAGCCTCATAAAAAATTCTTGTAATACCTCTTTCATTTGGATATTTATTCTTCTTGCTAAAAAAAGGAAACAAGGAAACCTTTATTCTTCTTTTCCTTGGTGTTTTGATAGGTCTTTGATATTTGCATAGTCTTCATAAGTTGAAAAATGTATCTCTAAGTAACAAAAACATATGTGGAATAATATTCTGTGTAGAGATAATTTTTGTATTCTGCCTGTTGCCCTTTCTAAACATTTTTGTCTCATGGTGTTTTTTTTAAATGCAGATGAAAGTTTCCTAATCTGAGCTCAACTTTCATAACTTCCCTTTCATGTATGGCCACCAGATAAAATGAAGGATTCCCAGTTACATTTTCATTTTAAATAAACAACAAACAGCATTTTAGTATAATTCTCAATAGCTTTGTAATTTAGTAATATTCTCAATATTGCATGGACAGACTTATACTGAAATATAATTCTTTGTTGTTTGTCAATACATTGCCAAATTTCAAATTAAAATGTGATATTTAAATTCCTGTATTTTCCCCCTACATCTGGCAACCTTACTTTCACATCTACTTAGGAAATTACTTATTCTTGCTATATTTATGCTGAATCTTCTGTATAAAAAACAAACAGGCCAGGCGCGGTGGCTCACGCCTGTAATCCCAGCACTTTGGGAGGCCAAGGCGGGTGGATCACAAGATCAGGAGATCAAGACCATCCGGGCTAACACGGCGAAACCCCGTCTCTACTAAAAATACAAAAAACATTAGCCAGGCATAGTGGCGGGCGCCTGTAGTCCCAGCTACTTGGGAGGCTGAGGCAAGAGAATGGCATGAACCCGGGAGGCGGAGCTTGCAGTGAGCCGAGATCGTGCCACTGTACTCCAGCCTGGGTGACTGAACGAGACTCCACGTCAAAAAAAAAAAAAAAATTATTTGATTTCCCTTAATATATGCTTCATTTAGACAATGATGAATAATTGTCTATTTAAAAAATTTGTATCCTGTTACCCACTTGTTTTTCCCTTAGATTCCATTTCTTCATCCCCAAAAACACCTAACCCTAGTTATTATGAAGACTCTTTTGATTTAACTTTTCATTTTTGAGGGTGACCCCTAAGCATCTTGACTATCTCTTAGGGCATGGAACTTCCAACATTGATTTTGCAATGTTGTCTTTGAAGTGGTAAATGAAAGTTAACCTTTTAAATGTAAAGTTATTATTGGTGGGTGGGCAGTTTTATGTTAATCTTTTCAGGTTTTTAAGAACTTAATTGTTCAATCTAGTATTTTATTCCAGTTTCTTATTTTAAGGTAGTTGTATCTTTCAGGTAATATGAAAATCATCTCTTCAGTCTAGAATATCACACTGGATAGAGGTTGAGATATGAAATTTTAAGTCATGGCTTTGAGTAAAAACCTCATTCTGTGTTAGATCCCAGTATCTGTGGGCATGGCTTTCAGTATTGACTCAAATGTTCCCACTAAATGTCTGAGCAATATGAACTTTCACCAATGATTTAGGCAGGGGGTCCAGCCCTCTTGAACAAAGAAATGGTTTCTTTCCTGGGAGTATATCCAACTTTACTCTTCAATTGACTACTTCAACAAACTACTAAGGTTAATCTCAACCAATATTATTGGAGTCCAAACCTCAGAAATGATGTTTTTCTTGATAGTGAGTTTGAATTTTTAAAAAATAATTTTGTCTTACACTTATAGTCTCTGGGTGTCATGAGAGTTGCTTTTGCAAATTTTCACTTTGCTCCAGAGAGCTAGAAATAAGTGCTTGATTTCTATCAAATCACTTGTTACTTAACAAAGAAAACCTCTGAGAAAGGTGTTATTACTATATCCCTTCTGCAGTTGAAGCAAGACATATTTTTGCTTACATTTTCTGAAAACATTGCCAATGGTATTATTTTTCCAAGTGTATGGAAGGTATTCTATCTTTTCTTCACTGTCCTATATTATTTATATGCTATAAATCATTGGCTATTTCACATATATTTCACATATATTATAAAAACTTCTTTGAGATTATTTAATTTTGGTGAAAACTTTATTTTATACAATCAGTTCATTGTAGGTATATCTAATCATGCCATTCTCTGTAATATTATCTTCTATGATTTCTTTGCATGATACTTTAAAAGCCTTTCTATAACTTTCACTTTTTAGAATTCCCAGTTACACTGCAACACACCAATGTTTCTGACATAATGTCAGAAGGGAAACACAGACTCTGAAAAGTAGAAAGAGAAAGACATTTTCTCTAGGGACTTCACAACTTGAAGAGTGACAGTATGTAAATTTACTGGGATTTTTAGGTCTTTCATGTATCCCAGATGATGGACTGTAGAAGCTTCTAATTGACAAAGTCCAATAGGCACAGATAAAAAGGGCTTCAAGGAAATACTGTTTTCTCCCAGTCAATGAACCAGAAGAGGATGACCTACCAACACACAAATCCAAAGAACACTTCTAGAGAGAATATCCAAGCTACTCAAAAGTCAAGCCCTGTCTTTGTTTGGGGCTCAGTGTTTAAATGTTAATCTGTTAAATCAGGGTGCACACAATACAATTCTTCTTTTCCACCCACTGGTCTCTACTATTCCTTAATTCCTGCAACATTTTCTGGGAGCTCATCCAGGATTGGAGACAACAGGTATGCTGTTTCTTTTGCCTGTCAGACTGGAGCTCCAGGCCAGGAAAGACCTGTGACCCCAGGTGCACCATCAGAAGAACTTCAACCTGAAAGAGAGGCCAGATGTCCTGTGACCCTGTGCACCCCCCGAAAGCACAATGGAACTTAAGGGGCTACAGGACAATTCCAGGGACAGCATGCTGCTGAACCATGGGAAGGTTTGGGGCCCAAGGAAGGACCCATACCATAAAGATGGAATGGGAGTCTGATCACCTCCCAGTGCGTATCTAGTTATCCAAATCAGGACACAAGATTTGCTCTCTAATTCAGATGAAACCTACACCATAACCTCTGAAGAGGAACTGAGAGTGGAAACTGTGTGAATGCATGTGCAAGAGTAGGGCGATGTATGTGGGGCTGCAAGTCTCTTAGCATAGACCATATGTCCCAAGTGAAGTGTGGGACCAACCAGGATTACTGGCATATGTCCTCCGGAACTACCACATATGGCTTAGTCAGGCACCACACAATTTAGTGATTGTGGTGGTCTGGGTTCAGGGGTTATACAAACCATCCATTAAAGCTAAGCATCATCTGAAATACTCCCACAGGAGAGGTGGTCTAATCATTCTGAAGCAAAAGTAAAAGAGTAAGTGTATGACACTATAACTGGGAGGAGATGTGAGGGAAGTTGTCAAAACCCACCATATTAGAATACACGTTAAAAAGTTTAAGAAATGTTACACTGGGAATTGTAGTATCAAGTCGACTCCCCAGAGGTAAAAGAGTCTTTGTAAAATAGAGAAGCCCTATTTTAGTGTTGGGTGGCCAGCTGAAGGAACAATAGATGGGGAATAATTGACCATGCACATCAAGTGGTGACTGGGGTCAGAGAATAGCCAGGGTATCCAGACCAATTTTTTTATATTGACTTATGGCTAAATATCATCCCAACCAGCATGGCTACAGTCTTTCCTGATGGCTTACTGCAAAACGCTTGTTGCTCAAGCTGAGCCTAAAGTGAAAGAGGAATCAGCTTCACCAGCAGCAATGGAGAAAAAGGGAAAGCCATAAGAAGGGCAAGAAAAACTGGCTTTGTGGAAACCACCAGAAGAGACAGAAATCCCTCCTCCCTATACCCCAATTAGCCCCCTTTTACCAAGGCCAATGGCCCATGAGGAGTCAAATTCAGATGGTGACACACCCTGGGTTTCACCCCAAAGGGAGAAATCAGAGCCCCTGCCCCAGGAGGTCAAGGAGGAGTGTCAGAATAATCAAGTGAGCTGCCTCTGCTATGGCCATGCCCTGGTTCTGCAGATGCCTTTCAAGGAGACTTGGGGAGGCCTCTACTTTGATGAATATGGCCATACGTAAGGGGGGAAATGGACCCTTATCTACCAGCCTATTTCAATCACTGATCCCCTAACTGGAAACACCATATTCTCTCCTACATGAAGAAGCCCCTGGCCCTCATAGATCTGATACAGTCCATTTTCCAGACACATAATTCAATTTGTCCAGATAGTAAACATCTTCTCCTGATGCTGTTTAACACCAAAGAGCATGGAAGGATGGCTCATTCAGCCCTCAACTGGCCAGAAGCCCATGTGCCAGAAGGCACATTTAATTTCCAGGCATACTCTCAGGTCCAGTTCCCAGAAGCACACTCCCACTGGGACCCAGATGATTTGACCAGTTTCAGCATCTGCAGGCATACTGAAAACCACTCTTGCAAAGGCTAAAGGAAGGCAGAAAACAGGTAATCAATATAGAAAAAATCTCAGAAGTGCTTCAAGAAACTGACGAGAGCCCTAGCAAGTTTTATTAGAAACTGTTTGAGGCATTCTGGCTTTACACTCCATTTGACCCCAAGGATAAGAACCAGCAGATAGTAAATGCAGCATTTGTAGGACAAGCCCAGGGGGACATAAGATGAAAAGTGCAAAAGCTAGATGGTTTTGCAGGCATGAATGCCACCCAGCTTTCAGAATTGGCCACGAAGGTGTATGTTAACTGTGACCAGAAAGCACAAAGTGAGGCTGATTGGAGACTCAGGAAGAAGGCCGATCTACTAGTGGCAGCCCTCATGGAAAGGGAAGCTATCATCACAAGCAGATGCAGATGCAGACTCAGATGTGGAAGGGGCCAAGCAGGGCAGAGACCCAAAAGTCAGCTGAGACTAGATAGAGATCAATATTTGCACTGCAAAAAAAGGGGGTCCCTGGAAAAATAAGTGTTTAGAGGGTAGTAAAAGAAATAACAGAGGACACAAAACTATCAAACAGCCAGCCAAGGACCACCACACCATGAGGGAGCCAGGCATCAACTTAATTGGGCTGGCAGAGACCGAAAAATAGGAAGACTATGCAAGACCGGGCTCCATCTCCCAAGTCCCCAGGAGCCCATGATCACAGTAGAAGTAGGGGAGCAACAGATGGACTTTATGGTGAACACCAGCTCTAAACACTCAGTAGTGACACAGCCCATAGGGCCACTATCTAAACATGATACAACTATTATTGGGGCTACAAGGGATCCAGAAAGGAGGCCATCTTGCTGGCCTAGAAGGTATGTCATAGAGGGACAAGAAGTCCAACATGAATTCCTATACCTCCCAAGTTGCTCAGATCCCCTACATGGAAGAGATCTGCTCCAGAAACTGACAGCACAGATTTCTTTTGGGCCACACGAGGATATAACTTTAAGCCTAACTCACCCAAAGGTCATGGTGTTAACCCTCATTATTCTGCAGGCTGAGGAATGAAGAGTATAGACAAAACAGTCACCAGAACTGTCTCATAAGCCAGGGCTGGAGAAAGTGTTTACACTACTGGGTAAAATTTTTGGAGTATGGGCTAACAATAACCCACTGAGCCTGGCTGTAAAGGCTGTAAATCAGGCACTGATAATAGTAAAGCTAAAACCAGGAGCAACTCCAGTTCAGGTTCACCAATACCTATTTCTCTGAGAAGACACGCGGGGTATTCACAAACATTTAAAGTGACCCTTCAAACACAGAATCTTAGTCTGGTAGTCTGGTGTGAGTCACCCTGGAACACTCCACTGCTACCAAAACAAAATACAGAGTCTGGTAAATCTAAACCAGTGCAAAACTTACATGAAATGAACCAGGCTACTGTAACCTTCCACCTGGTGATACCAAATCCGTACATGCTAATAAGATTCATTCTGGCAAGTGCTGCCTGATTTACTTGACTAGACTTAAAGAATATTTTCTTCTATCTGTGCCTGGCACCAATTAGTCAGCCCATCTTTGCATTTCAATGGGACGATTGAGTCACAGGCACAGGGGAGCAGCTCACATGGACTAGACTCCCACAAAGATTCAAAAACACTCCTACAATCTTTGGAGACACACTGGCCTCAGACATCAAGGCCTTCACCACACCAAATGACAACTACACCTTGCTACAATACATAAACGACCTTCTCCTAGCAGCCCCAACCCCAGGGGGCAGATACCAAGGAATCCAAGACTTCCTCCATCTCCTTTATGGAAAACTGGTTATAACGTATTCAGAAAGAAGGCCAAATTTGCCAAGAAAGTGTCAAATATCTGGACTTCATAGTAAGCCAATGGGAACACCAGCTCAGCAGTGAGCAAAAGCCATGTCTTTATGCACTCTCAACTCAAACCACCCAGTGCCAAATGGGAAAATTCTTGGGGAATGCAGGGTTCTGCTGTATCTGGGTCCCAAATTTCTCACTAATTGCCAAGCCCTTATATAAAGGCACAAAGAGAGGGGAAAGGAAACCCCTCCTTTGAGAGGCTGTCCAGGAAAAGAAGGTGTTTAAACAAGCCAAAGAAGCCTTAACACAGGCCCAAGCCATAGGACTGCCAAATATAAGTAAGCCTTTCTTTCCACATGTCCATGAATAAAAGGGATTGGCTATAGGTGTCCTGACCCAAGTTGTGAAATCATGAATTCGCCCGGTGATGTACTTATCCACACAATTGAACTCCTTGGCCCTAGCATAGCCTCCTTGCCTTAGGGCACTAGCTGACACCACCCTATTGGAACAACAAGATAGAAAACTAGCTCTAAGACAACAGCTGACCATCTGGGTATACCACAGTCAGTTCTAACTTTAATGGATTAGACAGCGCACTATTAGTTATCAAATCCAAGAGTGACTCAGTACCAGGGGCTCATATGCAAAAATCCCGACATAACTTTGGAAATAATAAACACCCTTAACCTGGCTACCTTAGTCCCAGTCAAACCAGGGGTCCTCCTTCATGACTCTGTGGAAACAGTAGATGATGTATTCTCAAGCCAGAAAGACCTTATAGAGCAACCCCTCTGGGACCCAGATGGTAAATACTATATACTGAAAGGGGTCCGTGAAACTGGGTATGCAGTGATAACATTAGATTCAGTGGTAGAAGCTCAGCCCACCAGAACATCAGCCCAAAAGGCAGAGCTAATAGCCCTAATGAGAGCGTTCTGCTGACAAAACGTAAAATGGCCAATGTTTATACTGATTCCAAGTATACTTTTGCCACGCTGCCTGATAATGGGGCTATATATAAAGAAAAAGGATTCTTAACTGCGGTGGGCCAAAAAGAAAAAAAAGTACAAAGAAAAAATTCTGCAACTCTTAGATGCTGTATGGACTCCAAAGAAGACAGCTGCTATGCACTGCAAGGGGCACCAAAAGCCAGGATCACTGGAGGCCAAAAGGAACAAAAAGGTAGACAGGTATGCAAAAGGGGCAGCAATGACTACCCATAGACAGACAGACAGCCATAGCTGACTCTCCTCCCAAATATGCACCTCTCAGAGGTTTCAAGTTACCTCCAAATGAGAAGCTCTGCTTTTCCCAAGGGTCTGGAAAATATATAAAAAGGGACGGTGAAAATTCTCCAATAGGAGGCTAGCCAACCACGAAATGCTGGCCCCAAAATTTGTAAAACAATTCCATCAAGGAACCCACATGGGAAAAATGTCACTGAAAACACTGCTAGGACACCATTTCTATGTGCCACAGCTCACTGTCATCACTTGATCTGTCTGCAAACAATGTCTAACTTGTGCCCAGAACATTCCATGACAAGGGCCCACTTGGCCCCTGGGAATTCAGGAAATGGGAGCCACACCCTGTGAAAACCTTCTTAGAAACTTCACTGAGATGCCCCAATCAGTGGGCTGTAAGTACATACTGGTGATTTTCTGTACCTTTTCAGGATGAGTTGAGGCTTTCCCCACCCTAACAGAGAAATCATGAGAAGTAACAGAAGTACTGTTAAGAGACGATATCCCCAGATTGAGAATGCCTCTAACTCTAGGGTCAGAAAATGGACTGAAATTTGTGACCGAGACAGTTCAGGGACTATTTTCCACTGGCCATCCCCAATCATAGCTCAAATTAGGGGTGAACTTTGCAAACTAGGGAATTAACTTTAAGAAGGCAAAGGCAGGCGTTAAAGAGAGCCATGCAAGAGGTCCATGGCTGGGTATGGGAAAGATTGTCCATAAGCCCAACAAACACAGCACACCACTTTAGACCTGGGGACTCTGTGTAGGTCAGAAATAAAATCCAACCACTCTAGAACCCATATGGGATGGGCCCCATCCTGCAACCTTGTCCACTTCCACTGCTGTTAACATTGCAGAAATTGTGCGTTGGATCCACCACAGTCAACTAAAACTTGCAGCCCAAGACAAGTGGACCAGCAAACATGACCCAGACCATCTGAGCTGGCTAATCCTATGACCTATTTGCCCTGAGAAATGATGAAGCCCTACTCTGGTCATTCCGAAAGCTGACTAGTCTGTTCTCAGCTAAAACTTGAGGAGTCAACAGCCCTGCTGTAGTCATCCTGGAAGCTGACTACTGTACGTACGTTTGAAGCTGGAGTAAAATATAATAAAATAGTGATAAAAATCTTAAATCCAATCATTGTTTTACTATTGTTCTCTCACTTTGCTCAACCTCCTCCCCTGTGTAAAAACTTCTTCTTTTCCTCCCTGGTATAAACATGTTACTCTTTACTTATTTCCTATTCCAGGCAATAGGAAAGCTAAGCCCACTTCTTTTCCTCCTAACTATAATACTCCCCTTATTTGTTTCAGAAAAGGAGACCAGAGAAGAGTGCCCACACTGCACTAACAATATGGTCAGGGAGCACCATAACCAAAACCCTGTTATATCACACTTATTAAAAGTGTACAGGGACCCACCTAGAAACTTGTACTCACAACGAAACTACTCAGTCTGTGACCCAGGAAATGGCTAGACTTATATGTGTTATAACCCCAAATTCCTACCTGAGACCTCTTTTAAAATTCATGGGTCAATAGAAGGAAACCTGCTACACCAAACCAAGGTCTCATCCTCCCATTGGGGAGTTATGTCCTTATCCTTTAATATATGCCAGTTAACATCCATGGGCTCAACCTTTCCCATAATCTCTAATTCTGAAGAGCACTATAATAGTTGCCACAAAAATATATGTTCACCCCTTGCTTTCTTTGCCAGTTTCTCAGAGACAATTTGCTGGAACTGCATAATTCAGTCCTGTAACCTGCAATCACTGGGGTGAGTCATACTTACAGCAAAAACAAACTGTAAGGCAAGCACTTGCTACCTGGAAAATCTCAGTACCTTAAAACCGTATCTGGCTGTATGGGCTACAAGTTTAAAGGCTCCTCTAGGAATACAAGTTAGTGGCCAGAAAACAGACTCAAAAGCCTATTTACATATTATCAAGAAATCTCGGATGGTTACACCTGAAAACTCTGTTTTAAAATCATTCTGTAAAAATTTCAACCAGGAACTGTTTGAACCCTCTCTCTTAGCCAGAAGCCTATTCAGTTGAAGTATATGGAAGCCTATTCAGTTGATGTATATTCAACTGGCTGAAAACATAGCCAGCAGCCTACATATCTCCTCATGCTATGTTTGTGGTTGGACCAACATGGGACACCAATGGCCATGGGAGGCAAGAAAGCTAATGCCCCAAGATAACTTCACTCTTACTGTCTCTTCCCCTGAACCTGTGTTCACAAGCCAGAGCATCTGATTCTTAAAGACCTCCATTATCAGAATATTATGCATTTCTTGTTGGAGAAAAACCTTACAGGCCCAGTAGGAAAGTCAACTTGCCTAGAACAATAATATTACAATAAAACAGTAGGAAAAACTGTATGTTGTGGTAAAAATAATTCCAAACTGCCCCAACCAGGCCCATTCTCCTGATTCCCTTCTTTAAAGCATTCTTTGTACCAACTTAACGCTCCTAATACCCGTCAGGTGCCCTCTGAGCTCTACTGGATCTGTGGGCCATGGGCATATTGCCCATTGCTGGCTAAATGGTCAGGGGCCAGTGTACTGGAAAAAATTAGGCTGTCTCCTTTCTAATCGCCTTAGGACAGGGAGGACCTTTAGGGTATCCGGTCTATTATAAAACAAATACAGAACAAACAAACAAAAGACATAACCATAAGAAATTGGTAAAACAATTAATGACCCCCTAAAAATTCCAACACCATGGCTCAGCCACCTGGACAGAAAATGGAATTTGGGGATACTGCACTCCTATTTACATATTCTACCACAACATAAGGTTACAGGCAGTGCTGAAAATTATTACTAATAACACTGCAAAGACCCTAAATCTGCAGGCCCAACAAGCCACAAAAATGAAGAATGCTATTCATCGAAATAGACTGTCTTTAAACTACTTCCTAGTCCAGGAAGGAAGGGTATGTGGAAAGTTCAATCTAACTAAATGCTGCCTAGAAAGATCATTAAGAATACAACTTCCAAAATCCAAAAATTGGCCCATGTTACAGTCCAGCCTTTTAAAGGGTAGTCTCCAGTTTCCCTCTTTGGGGGCTTATTTTCATCCTTTGAAGAATTTAAGATCTTAGTAAAAATAGTTCTAGCCATACTAGGATTCTGCCTTGTTCTAATTTGTCTCTTACCCTCCTTGTTAAAAACATTCAAGCAGCCATAGAGGCTCTTGTAAACAAACACACGACTACTCAACTAATGGCTCTAACTAAACATCAACCCCTGCCAAATAGGGAACTGCTCCCCCTTGAAGAATTACTAGGTGATTCTCTCTATTAATCCTCATTTACAAAAAGCATGAAAGGTGGAAATGAAACAGGGAATGTTAAAAAAAAAAAACATATTCTGTGTACTGAGCTGACTCACTCCAAAAACCCAGGGATAAGCCAGGCCCTGTTGGGGCTCTGATAGCACTATCAGCAGAGATGGGGCCTGTAAAGAATGGGTTCCAGGAGCAGGAGTGAAAATAACACGTTCTTATCTGTTTCCCCTCTCTAGTACTCTCACCCAATACCATTATTCTTTGATGTGCTCTCACATATACTTTTATAACTACTTCTGGAAGTTGACAAAAATTTTGTAGGTTTCTGTTTTCCCATCCATATATTATTGAAAGTCATGATACATGCCTGAGTTATAACACCTGTCACTTTTTTTTAAAAACTCTCTTCATTCTACTCCTATAAGCTTGCTTGCCCATCCTGCAGATTTCATGCCATTAGCTGCCAACCCTCTTCAGTTGCATGTATGAAAGTCAAGCCCTATCTTTGTTCAGGGCTCAGTCTTTAAATGTTATTCCGCTAAGTCAA